>NC_000016.10:27577395-27880425 GCF_000001405.40 Homo sapiens
TTAAACAGGTGTGAGGCCAGGCATGGTGGCTCATGTCTGTAATCCCAGCACTTTGGGAGGCTGTGGTGGGCAGATCACCTGAGGTCAGGAGTTTGAGACCAGCCTGGCCAACATGGTGAAACCCTATCTCTACTAAAAATACAAAAATTAGCCGGACGTGGTGGCAGGTGCCTGTAATCCCAGCTACTCGGGAGGCTGAAGCAGGAGAATCACTTGAACTCAGAAAGCGGAGGTTGCAGTGAGCCGAGATCGGGCCACTGCTCTTCAGCCTGGGTGACAGAGTGAGACTTGTCTCAAATGAAATGAAATGAAATAAAATAAAATAATGAAAATCAGGTGTGGTGTCTTGTGCCTGTGATCTCAGCTACCCTGGAGGCTGAGGCGGGAGTATCGCTTGAGCCCAGGAGTTCGAGGCTGCAATAGGCTATGATCACACCACTGCATTCCAACCTGGACAACAAAGCAAAACCCTGTCTCAAAAAAAAATTTTTTTTAATAAATAAAATAAAAGTTCCCAGGTGATTATAACGTGTAGCAGTTTGAGAACCACTGGCATAAAGCAGTCAGCACAGGGCCTGGTGCAATTCATTCATTCATACATTTATTCATTCATTCATACTTATATAACTAACCCAATGTCCAGGCCTCTTTCCAAACCAGTTAGGTCAAAATATGTGGGTGTGCAACCTGGGCATCAGAATTTTTTAATCCCCTAAGTGGTTCCAATGTGCAGCCATGCATGAGAACCAGCTCTTTCCATGGATTAAGTAGACTCTGGCATACAAAAATTAGCCAGGCGTGGTGGTACATGCCTGTAGTACCAGCAGCTCAGGAGGCCGAGGCAGGAGAATCTCTTGAACCCAGGAGGTAGAGGCTGCAGTGAGCCAAGATCACACCACTGCACCCCAACCTAGGCGACAGAGTGAGACTCTATCTCAAAAAAAGAAAACAAAATAAATAGCTCTGGCTGTCGACCCAGGTGCTTCTTTGTACCCTGTGCCTGGCCTCTCTGGCCCTAAAGGCACTTCAGTTCTCCACCGCTGCCACAGATACCAGGAGGCAAAACCAAAGAAGAGAATGATAAACATTATAGATGAGCCCCAAATAAAGCTCCAGGGAGTGCCAGAGGAGGGAAAGACTTCCTGGGAGAGGTGGCCTGAACGGAGGCATTGGAAAGGTTACGGTCATTTCTTTTTTTTTGAGACATAGTCTTACTCTGTCACCCAGGTTGGAGTGCAGTGACACAATCTCAGTTCACTGCAACCTCCACCTCCCGGGTTTAAGTGATCCTTCTGCCTCAGCTTCCCAAGTAGGTGAGATTACGGGTGTGTCCCACCATGCCTGACTAATTTTTGT
The DNA here is from genome assembly GCF_000001405.40 of Homo sapiens. NCBI lineage: Eukaryota > Metazoa > Chordata > Mammalia > Primates > Hominidae > Homo > Homo sapiens. Next base: position 27,578,752 of record NC_000016.10, read on the forward strand.
ATTTGTAGTAGAGATGGGGTTTCATCATGTTAGCCAGTCTGGCCTCAAACTCCTGCCCTCAAGGGATCCGCCCACCTCGGCCTTCCAAAGTGCTGGGATTACAGGCGTGAGTCACTGTGCCTGGCCAGGTTACAGTCATTTCTGAAAAATGTAGCTTTGATGGTTGGCTTGAAGTCAGTAGGTAATTTCAGTTCAGCTGGTAAAAATATTCTTAGCCTCATTTCTAACAAGTATTCATGGTTCCTGCCTGTGGAGATTATATAGTGTTTATGGCCCTTGGACATGAATTATTAATGATTTTGAAATTGTGGTCATTGTAGTTTACTCAAAAATCATTAGGAAGTAAATTTATCATGCAGTGTTGGAAAAAAGGAGATCACAGAGGAGGAAGAAATATTTATTCATCTTCCAATTCATCCCTACAGCATCCACACTGGTGCCCAGGGCACTGTGGGGCTCATGAGCATGGCGCTGGGGACATGTCCCCTTACTGCTCAGAGCCACTGTGAGGCCACTGTTGACTCTGTGAATTAATACCTCCAGTTTGCTGTGAGGGCTGCAGTTCAGGTCCTGAGGCCAAGCAGCTCTGCCTCAAATCCCAGCTGTGTGACCTTGGACTTGAGCCCTCTCACCTTGTTTGATAATGTCCACTTTGGAGAGGGTTAATACAGTCATGTATTAACGTACCTAGCACAGTGCTGGGCACACCATAAGTGTTCCATAGATGTTAGTTGTTATATTACTTGAAGTGTCTAGGATTTAACAGAGAGATTCACAAGGAGAAGGCAGCACAATTAATTACACTTTCACAGAAGGGGCCTCCCTCACTCCAGCCAGACTTGAGGCTGATTCCAGCCTTCCTGCTTCCTGGCTGTGTGTCCCCAGGCACCTGGGCCCCCAGGCAGGCTAGCCCCAGGGCCCTCATTCTTAACCACTCTGAGAGCCTCCCATGATAACGGAAGGCCGTTTTTGCAGTTGATTGGAGATTCCAAAAAATGCTCTTGACAGCACACTCATCTGCTGAACTGACTTTGCAAGGATTGCAAAAGTCATTGAACTCACCCAACTAGAAAATGTTAAGCCTTCCCTTTGCATGCATGCACATGCACACACATACACACACACACACCTTCCTGCTAGTAACAGAGACTTCTGGTACAAGGCTAGAGGCTTCCTTCATTTTTCCCAAGCAGAAGAGGAGACAGGTCTGAGGGGAACACAGCAATGGAGGGAGTACAGGATCCAGGGTGCCTCCAGGGACGAGGTTATCTCGACAGCCCTCTCTGTCTCTTCAGTGTGCAACCACAGACACACCTCTGCTCTCCTCTGGGTCTTCTGGGTCTCTTTATCTTGTTGCTATCTTTTTTGTTTTTTTGTTTTAGACAGGGTCTCGCTGTGTTACCCAGATTGGAGTGCAGTGGCGCTGTATCAGCTTACTGCAACCTCTGCCTCCCAAGTTCAAGTGATCCTCCCACCTCAGCCTCTTGAGTAGTGGAGACCACAGGTGTGCACCACCAGACCCAGCTAATTGTTGTATTTTTTGTAGAAACAGGGTTTTGCCGTGTTGCCCAGGTTGATCTTGAACTCCTAGGCTCAAGCAGTCCTCCCCTCTTGGCCTCCCAAAGTTCTGGGATTATAGGCGTGAGCCACCTAGCCTGGTCCTTGTTGCTGTCTTGATCCTCCTATTAGCTCTTCCTCCTCTATAAGCCCAGGCCACAGGCCAGTGAGAGAGTCTGGCCTGGCTAATCAATACTCAAGAGTATTCAGGGAATACAATATTCCTGACACCAGTCTTCATTTGCCCTCCCAGGAGGCAACGACTATAATCAATTTCTTATGTGTCCTTCTAGAAATATTCTACAGGTATGCAGCTATGCAGAACATATGCTTTGTCTCCTTTACCCACCCATCCATTCCCCTCATGCAATACACATTGTTTTCTTCTTGATTTTTTTTTTTTTTTTTTCATTTAACAACATGTCTTGGAGAGCATTCCTCAGCAGGTCATAGGGACAGACCTCTCTCTTTTCATGGCTGCCTAGTACTCCATTGTGAATTTACAGGAATGTAATTCTTTACTCGAAACATTTAAGGCCAAATATATTTCATTTTTTTATATTTAAAAAGTTATACCATCCTATAAGGACCTGGAAAAGCACTCTATAATCAAATACATTAATATATGTACAGAACTCATTGAGGTGGCTGATGCTTGTTATCCCACCAGCTACTTGGGATGCTGAGGTGGGTGGCTCACTTGACCCCAGGAGTTTGAATCCAGGTTGGGCAATATAGTGAAGCCCCATCTCTAAAACATATATATATATAATGTATGTGTACAGCAAAATATGAATATTTATACTAAGTGGGTAAATAAAGGCTATAAATTTTATGTCATTTCAGGTCAGGTTTTGGTCCTAAATAATTGCATAAATGTATTACTAATTCTTGATTAATGAATATCTAGTCATTAATAGTCTTTTGCTACTATAAGAATACTTTAAAGAATATTCTGGAGCAGACATCCCTGTGCACATAGGAATAGCCAAAGGTTAAATGCTTAAAAGTAGAACTAATGGATCAAAGGGTGTGTGTTCTATTTAAATTGATGTTTCCAATTCATCTTTTAACAGTGCATGAAAGGGATAGAGCTATTTTTTTTCCCCCAGGTTATCTTGTAGCAAGCTGACCAGATTCAAGTGTGGCTGTCCTTGACCGAGGTGCCCACAATGGACCCATTCAGTGACCACTCCTATAGTTCCCTAGTTCACTTGTCTTGTGGGGGTGAGAGGAGGGACGTTTACTTGAGAAGGACTTGGGGGTATATCTAGCACCTTGATTTCTTTTGTTTTACCATAGGTTTGGGGGGAACCGGTGGTATTTGGTAAAATGAATAAGTTGTTTAGTGGTGATGTGTGAGATATTGATGCACCCATCACCCAAGCAGTATACACTACACCTAATTTGTAGTCTTTTATCCCTCACCCCCTTCCCACCCTTTCCCCCTGAGTCCCCAAAGTCCACTGTGTCATTCTTATAGCCTTTGCATCCTCATAGCTTAGCTCCCACTTGTAAGTGAAAACACACAATGTTTGGTTTTCTATTCCTGAGTTACTTCATTTAGAATAATAGTCTCCAGTTCTATCCATGTTGCTGCGAATGCCATTAATTCATTCCTTTTTATGGCTGAGTAGTATTCCATCATATATACATACCACAGTTTCTTTACCTACTCATTGATTGGTGGGCATTTTGGTTGGTTCCACATTGCAATTGTGAATTGCAGCACCTCGATTTCTGCAAGCCATCTCTTGCAGCCCTGAGCTCGTAAGATTTGTCTTGGCTGATTACAGGCTGATTACAGAAAAGACAGGTGACTTTTCTGTGAGTTTCAGACTCCACTAGCGCGCAAACTGCAGATACTTCCTTCCCTTTTCTCCATTCAGTTCTCCGTGTTCTTGCAATTTCAGTCTTGTTGCCCCGTCCATATTTACAGATCTCAATTGCTTTGTTTTAAAAAAAGTTTTTTTAAAGGAAGAAAACAAAAGAAAAGGCAAGTTGGTGGTGTTGCATTACAAAGAGCCTGGTATGACAGCTGACATTCCAACTCTGCACTTTTACGGGAATGAAACCTTTTAGTTCATATTTCTGGGCAGAGAAGAACAAAATCTATTTTAGATTCAACTGCCAAATGTATTCCCACTTGCGAAATTATTGTTGTCAGTCTTTCTGCTTCTTGAGGTCTTGGTCTCTCTGCAGCTTTGAGAACTTGAAGAGAGGGGCCCTGGTAACATTGACAACTTCTGATTTATGCAGGGCAAATAAGACACAGGGCAGGATTAGAAGCAGTGCAGCAGAGGAATTGAGCTTGCGAACCCTGGAACCAAACAGCGTGGATTCCTAGGCTAGTTCTATCACTCAGGCAAGTGACTTACCTTTTCGTGATTCGACTTCCCCCTCTATAAGATGGGGATGATATGAAACCTGCATTTCACAGGACTGTGGCAAGGATTCAGTGAATTCATACGTGTCAAGTGCTTAGGATGGAACCTGGCACATACTCAGAGCTCAATAAATGTCAACAATTATAATTTAGGACTGGCAGGGGAAAATATCCTATTTACAAAGCTAATCCCTTGAAAGTCACAGGTGGAGAAGTCTTGCTGAGAAAGAGAAGGACACAGATTGGGCCCCTTTGGTATGATGGAAGAATGGTGCATAATCCATCCCTGTTGGAATTCCTTTGTATCTGAGTCCCCAGCCTGTCCCAGGACCTCTGCAGTTAGGTTGGGCACTGCAGGAGATGTGTACACAAACACCCAAGTTTAACAACAACAGGGCCAAGACTCCAGTGCCGAAAAGCAAAGAGAATCAATTTCTGATAAAATGCCAGGAAGGAGATTGACATGTCTAAAACCTTCCTGGTATCAGCTTAGCTTCCAGCACAAGATTAAACTCTAGGAAAAATCCCATCAGAGAGCTGCAATTTGTGACCAGACAGAGATAATGTTGACAGCTTCCCTTTCCCGAGTCTGTTTTGGATAAACAATGTGCCCTTCAACAGAGCACCATCAAAGTGTTCTCTATCCTCAGATCTTAGGCATGAAATAGCCTTTAAGATAGCTCTCTTTACCTCCTCCCTCCACCCCCAGAAGTCACTGTATGGAATATGATTAGAAGAGAGAATGGTGCTAAGAGGAGGTTCCTGCAAGTTACTCAGGAAAGGTATGTCTGCAGGATAAAAACACCCCATGAAAACTGTCACTTACTCTGGGGACACTTTTGGAGGAGCAAGACACAGGTCATGAAAGTGCCAGGCCATGGGGGCTTCAGTCCTGGCTGCTGTCACTGACCATGGACACACTTGCTTTCCCCTCTCTGAGCCCGTATTTCCTCTGTGGTCCCCCAAGTCTGACAAGAGCCAATGCTTCTGTGACTTCAGCTTTAGTAGTGTCCACAGGCCATGTCTGTCAGCTTCTGTTTAAGTGATAGAAGCCTTCCTTAAACCAGCTTCTGCAAAATAAGAGAATTTGTTGCCTCACCTAGCTGAAAAGTTCAGGGGTGGACATCAGGCATGGATGGATCTAGGTGCTCTGACTTAGTCCCTCTTGACTCTGCCTTCTTTGGTGGCAGGTCTGCTCTCTACCAGGTGGCAAGATGGCTACCAGCAGCCTTAGGCTTACAGTGTAGAGGCCAGATGGCATGGTGGGGGAAGCTTAGGTGCTAGATTTAAAAGGTTTGGGGATGAATCCTGGCTCATCACTCACCCAAGCAGCTCAGCCACCTCATAGCTTCAGTTTCTTTCTATATAGAATGGGGATAGTGGCAGCACCTGTCTCACTAGGTGGTCAGGGTGCCTAGAACAGTGCCCTACAGGTTGTGAATCCCTGAATAGTGATTGGTGCTTCTTCCTCCTTCTTTGCTTCCTCCTCCTTCTCCCCTTCTCCTTCCTGTCATTTTCGGAATTCTCTCAGCAACTTCAGCAAAGAGTGAGCGCTCTCCAAGGCTAACTCTTCAGCCACGGCCCCAGATAGAGACTCGCTGGCCCATCTAGGGTTGTGCACTTGTCCTGGAGACAAAGGTTGGGTGGGGTCAACCCTACGTAAAGCACATGGTTAGGAAGGGATATTTTCCAAAAGGAAAATCAGGATACTGGTGCCAGAAAAAGGGGGAAAGGCAAAAAACAGCAGCTGTCCCCTTCATGGCCACTGTGTGGTGGGAATAGTAACTGACAGCACAATTGTTAAAAATTATATTCAAAGCCGTGCATGGGGGCTCACGCCTGTAATCCCAGCACTTTGGAGGCTGAGGTAGGTGGATCACCTAAGGTCAGGAATTTGACCAGCCTGGCTAACATGGCAAAACCCTGTCTCTACTAAAAATACAAAAACTAGCTGTGTGTGTTGGTGGGTGCCTGTAATCCCAGCTACTCAGGAGGCTGAGGCAGGAGAATCGCATGAACCCATGAGGCGGAGGTTGCAGTGAGCCAAGATTGTGCCACCACACTCCAGCTTGGGCGACAAGAGCGAAATTCCATCTCAAAAAAAAAAAAATCATGTTGACATCTGTTGTCTTGTTGACTCTTCACAATGCCCTATAAGGCAAGGAATATTATCCTTATCTTACATGAGAGGAAGTCTAGGCTCAGAGCGGTGAGACAGCCTGCCCTGGGTAACACAGCAAGTACAGGGCTCAGCTGATAGCCTGTGTTATGTGCACCCTGGCAAAGTGGCAAGAACATGCCACTCCCCCTCCTCCCTGTAGGCCCTTGCTACTGGTTTACAGCCAGACAGGAGGACCCCAAACTCCTGTGACCACAGGGCTGGGCAGAGGCAATGACTGCCAGGTAAATGTGAGACTCAGTTTCCTCATCTGGCAAGGGGAGCTGGTCTGATACTTACCTCCCCAAACTCAATGCAATTAACTACAGCCAGATTCCAGTTAGAAGCCACTAGACACAAATCAAAACTACAATGAGATATCATCTCATCCCAGTTAAAATGGCTTTTATTCAAAAGACAGGCAAAAACAAATACTGGCGAGGATACAGAGAAAAGGGAATCCTTGTACATGTTTGTTGGGAATGTAAATTAGTATGATCACTATGGAGAACAGTTTGGAGATTCCTCAAAAAATAGCTACCATACGATCCAGCAATTCCGCTCCTAAATGTATACACAGAAGAAAGGAAGTGGGTATATCGAAGGGATTTTTCCACTCCCATGTTTCTTGCAGCACTGTTCATAATAGCCAAGACTTGGAAGCAACCTCAGTGTCCAACAGACACACGTATAAAGAGAATGTGGTACACACACACAATGGAGTCCTGTGCAGCCAGAAAAAAGAATGAGATCCTGTCATTTGCAACAACATGGGTGGAACTGGAGGTTATTATGTTTAGTAAAATAAGCCAGGCACAGAAAGACAAACTTCACATGTTCTCACTTATTTATGGGAGCTAAAAATTAAACTCATGGACATAGAGAATAGACGGATGGGTCCCAGAGGCTACGGAGGGTGGCAGGAGAAGTGAGGATGGTTAATGGGCACAAAAAAAGTAGAAAGAATGGCTGGGTGCAGTGGCTCACACCTGTAATCCCAGCACTTTGGGAGGCCGAGGCAGGCGGATCACTTGAGGTCAGGAGTTCCAGATCAGCCCAGGCAACATGGTGAAACCCTGTCTCTACTGAAAATACAAAATTAGGCGGGCGTGGTGGCACACACCTGTAGTCCCAGCTACTGGGGAGGCTGAAGCAGGAGAATCACTTAAACCAGGAAACAGAGGTTGCAGTGAGCCGAGATCATGCCAATGCACTCCAGCCTGGGCGATAAGAGGGAGACTCTGTCTCAAAAAAATAATAATAATAACTAAAAGAATATACTTGGGTTGTTTATAAACACAAAGGATAAATGCTTGAGGGGATGGATACCCCTTTTACCCTGATGTGCTTATTATGCATTGTATCCCTGTATAAAAACATCTCATGTAACTCATAAATATATACACCCATTATGTACCCACAAAAATTAAAAATAAAAATAAATTAAGAATTTCTTAAAAAGAAGCTACTGAAGGCCAGATGTGGTGGCTCATGCTTGCAATCCTAGCATTTTGGGAGGCTTAGGCAGGAGGATCACTTGAGCCCAGGAGTTTGAGGCCAGCCTGGCAACATAGTGAGACCCTGCCTCAAAAAAAAATTACAATTAAAAATAATTACCAATAAAAAAAAGAAGCAAGTGAACTGTGCCTTCCTCCCCACCACCACTATATAATTCAAAACAAAAACTGAAATAAGGTCAGATGCAGTGGCTCACAACTGTAATCCCAGCACTTTGGGAGGCCAAGGCAGGAGGATCACTTGAGCCCAGGAGTTCGAGACCAGCCTGGGCAACATGGCAAAACCCCGTATCTACTAAAAATACAAAAATGAGCCAGGCACAGTGTTGCATGCCTGTAGTCCCAGCTACTTGGGAGGCCGAGGTCGGAGGATCACCTGAGCCCGGGAGATTGAGTGTGCAATAAGCCAAGATCGCGCCACTGCACTCCAGCCTGGGTGACAAAGTGAGACCCTGTCTCAAAAAAAAAAAAACAAAAAAACAAAAAACAGAAACTGAAATAAGTATAAGGAAGTTCAATAAAATTCTGGACTTTTCCAACTTCTTCTTCTTTTTTTTTTTTTTTAATATAGAAACCTAAACTCTTTAAAAAATACATTGTTTGGGCCACTCGTGCTTTATTGAAGTCCTGGGAGATGGCTTGGCACTGAGGTGGAACGGTCCCGGGCAGGCAAGGCAGGAGGCTGGGGCAGACAGCCTGGGTTCACATCCTGGCTCTACTACTAGCTGTGTAGTTTTCAGCAATTACCTAACCTCTCTGCGCGTCAGTTTCCTCAGCTGCAGAATGGAGCTGAAAATAGAGTACCTCCTCCTGGAGTTGTTGAGAGAATTAAAAGACTAATACATGTGAAGCACTTAGAACCATATCTGTAAGGGCTGTTTAAGTGTTTGCTGTTTATTATTCATTGAGTCCCTCTGTCAGATCCTGTCCACACCGTGTTCCATCAGCTGGAGTAGCTGGGGTTGGGGTAGGGAGGCAGGGTTGGTGTAGTTTACACCTGCAGATAGCCAGGCCAGTGGGCCCTGCATTCGACATTTAATTTCTTTCTGATTCCACAACTAATGCATGCTGATTGTCAAGAAATTAGAAAATGCAGAAAGGTACAAAAATGGTTCGTTATCGTACCAACCTAGATAATCACTATTACAGATGCTCCTTAACATACAATGGGTTATGTCCCAATAAACCCATCCTAAGTTGAAAATACTGTACTTAACCTGCTGAACATCATAGCTCAACCTAGCCTACCTTAAATGTGCTCACGGCACTTAAATATTAGCCTACAGTTGGGCAAAATCATCTAACACAAGGCATGTTTCATCATGAAGTGTTGAATATCTCATGTAATTTATTGAGTACTGTACTCAAAGTGAAAAACAGAATGCTTGTTTAGGTACTTGAAGTACAGTTTCCACTGAATGTATATTGCTTTCATACCACAATAAAGTTGAAAAATCCTAAGATGATCCATTGGTATCATCTATTTATATTTCTTTCTAGCTTTTTTTTTTCTTTTCCCTTTTCCCTTTCCTTTTTCTTTTCTTTTCTTTTCTTTTTTTTTTTTGAGGCAGGGTCTCACTTTGTCACCCAGGCTGGTGTGCAGTGGCATGAACACGGCTCAAGTGATCCTCTCACTTCAGCCTCCCAGGTGGCTGGGGACTATGGGCATATGCCGCCATCTCCAGCTAATTTTTGTATTTTTTGTAGAGACAGGATCTCGCCATTTTGCCCAGGCTGGTCTTGAACTCCTGAACTCAAGCGACCCTCCTGCCTCTGCCTCCCAAAGTGCTGGGATTACCGCTGGGAGCCACTGTGCCTCTAGCATTTTTTTTCTATGCAACTACATATATTTCAGAAATAGGACCATACTAAGGGACAATGAAAAATGCCTACTTTGCATTATTCTTTTTAAAATGTATTTATTGAGGTATAACTTATGTGCAATAAAATAAGCTTAAGTGTATAGTTTTATGAATTTTTATATATAAATATATAAAATCAGTTATTCACATCAAATGTAGAATAATCTATATTTAAGAGGTTTTCACATGTCCCCTCCCAGTTAATACCTCTCCAAGGATAACCACTATTTTGACTGTTTTTTGTTTTGTTTTGTTTTGTTTTGGAGAAAGGCCTTGCTCTGCCACTCAGGCTGGAGTGCAGTGGTACAGTCACAGCTCACTGTAGCCTCAAACTCCTGGGCTCAAGCAATCCTGCCTCAGCCTCCCAAGTAGCTGAGCCACCATGCCTGGCTCCATCCATGTTTTTTAATGCATCAGTAGTTTGTTCTTTATCATCATAGTGTAAGACCTTCAATTCTTCTCGGAAAAATTAAATCGCAAAATAATTTGAGTACATTGTTGTTATTAAAAATTTTTCAAGTTTGCACGTTAAACAAAAATAGCCTGTCAAATTTACCCTCAATCTCATTCCCCTTCCCAGAAATAACTGCTGTTATACATTGGATGTTCATCTTTCTGGAGCTTTTTCTATTTATGCAACTCTATTCTTTTTTTTTTTTTTTTTTTTTGAACCGGAGTCTCACTCAGTTGCCCAGGCTGGAGTGCAGTGCAGTGGTGTGATCTCACCTCACTGCAACCTCCGCCTTCCAGACTCAAGGGATTCTTGTGCCTCAGCCTCCCTAGTAGCTGGGAGTAGCTGGGATTATAGGTGTGCACCACCACTCCAGCTAATTTTTGTATTTTTTTTTTTTTTTAGTAGAGACAGGGTTTCACCATGTTGGCCAGGCTGGTTTCAAACTCCCCGCCTCAAGTGATCTGCCTGCCTTGGCCTCCCAAGGTGCTGGGATTACAGGCATGAGCCACTGTGCCCAGCCTATGCAACTCTATTATTTATTTCAACTAGGAGTAGCTTTGGCCACAAATAGCAAAATACCCAACTAATAATGGTCTAAACCAGGGGTCAACAAACTTTTTTCTGTAAAGGATCAGGTAATAAATACTTCAGTCTTTGTGGGCCACACGGTCTCTTGTCACAACTACTCTGCCATTGAGCACAAAAGCAGCCATAGTCAATATGTAAATGAGCATGGCTGTGTTCCAGTAAAACTTTATTTGCAAAAATAAGTGGCTGGCCAGATTTGGCCTGTGATTAATTTGCTTACCCTTGGCCTAAATAATAGGGATTTGTTTGGCTTATGTGGTGGGAAATCTGGAAATAGCCTCATGAGAAAATCTGAATTTACACTTTACCCAAAAACATCTGAGACAGCCTGTCTTTCTAATTGTATGGAATAGTAATTAACAGCTTTTTATATTTTTGCCAGTCCTCTTTGTCTTTATTCCTGTGTTTTGGAAAAATGCCTCTGTTTAATCTTCCAGATCACTAATGTTCTCTCTATCTGTATCTATTCTGCCCTTCAGCATGTTTTGATTTCTTTTACTTTTTTATTTTATTTTATTTTATTTATTTATTTATTTTGAGACAGAGTCTCGCTCTGTGGCCCAGGCTGCAGTGTAGTGGCATGATCTCCACTCACTGCAACCTTTGCCTCCCTCCTGCCTCACCCTCCCAAGTAGCTGGGATTACAGGCACCCACCACCATGCCTGGCTAATTTTGTGTTTTTGGTAGAGACATGGTTTCACCATGTTGGCCAGGCTGGTCACAAATGATTTATTTTGATGACTAAATCTTTTATTTGTGATTTTTTTTTTATGTTTCCCAAGTTACCAGCAATGTAATTTTTTAATTAGTTGTTTTTCTGTAATAGGCTGTTCTTGTTTGATAGATGCAATGTCCTTCCTCTCTTATCCTTCTGATAATATTAAATATATTTTAAGTGTCTCTGCTTGCATTATTATCTGTTTGATTGTTATTTCCTCTATTTATTAAATTAGTCCCTGTCTTTCATGGATGTTGGTTTTCCTGGAATGTTTTGTGATTTGTGGATATGTGCTCTTCTGTGTAGTATGATTTCCTGTTTCCTATTTTCTTTTTCTTTCTTTCTTTCTTTTTTTTTTTATTTATAGAGAAGGTGTCTCACATGTTGCCCAGCTTGGTCTGAACTCCTGGCCTCAAGCATTCTTCCTGCCTCGGCCTCCCAAGTGCTAGGATTACAGGCATGAGCCACTGATTTCCCATTTCCTTCTCTGTAGATGCTATAGATTGCTGCCAATACTTACGGGCAGAGGGTCAGAACTTGCTGCGAGAAGTAAGATGTAATACTTGGTCTTGTGAGCACAGGGTCTCTTTTTTCTTTCTGGCTACGTCCTGCTTTTCTGTCCCAAAGACCTGTAGTCACAGCTCCTGAAGGCTAGTGGGATTGACAGGCTGCCTCCTGGTATCCCCACGGGAGCTCTCCATCAATCTCTTTGACCCTTGGCCTGGGGCCTTCTCCTCTCCCTGGAGAATGTGCTGCCTCTAGGTTTGGAGCAGCCCGGGCCCACCTTCACCTTTTGCGGCTGTCCTTCTGTTTTGGTCTGTGTTTTTGTTCATGAATTCAATTCTGTCTGCCATTCATTTCTCAGGGATTTCTCAACATTTTTAATCTGCTAGTGGCACCCCTTTTTATTTTCCACTTTAGCCTCCCAAAGTGCTGGGAAATAAGCATATGCTGCCATAGACTTTAAATGGTGTCATTTCTGTGGACTCGGGTAGGAGAGGCTGATATACGGACTTGCTCTTGGTTTTCCAAACTTGATTCATTCTCAAGGAGACTTCCTGTGTGAGTTTTCACCTTCCTGGTCACCTTCATCTGGAAAAGTTCATCTTTCTCTAAAAATACACTGAGAACCAAATGGGATATTCCAGTTTTGAACTGATCAGTATAGAATATAGGAATGGAGTTGCACTTTCTTTCTTTTTTTTTTTTTTGAGACGGAGTCTCGCTCTGTCACCAGGCTGGAGTGCAGTGGTGCGATCTTGGCTCACTGCACCCTCCGCCTCCCGGGTTCAAGCAATTCTCCTGCCCCAGCCTCCTGAGTAGCTGGTATTACAGGCACGCACCACCACACCCAGATAATTTTTGTATTTTTAGTGCAGATGTGGTTTCACCATCTTGGCCAGGATGGTCTTGATCTTTTGACCTCGTGATCCACCCGCCTCGGCCTCCCAAAGCTGGGATTACAGGTGTGAGCTACCACGCCTGGCCGGAGTTGTGCTTTCTAATGAAAACTGGGTTCAAATACCATATCTGCTCTCTACTACCTTGGTCAAGTCACTTCACCTCTCTAAGCCTTAGCATTCTCACCTCTCAAATGGGGATAATGATAATAATACTTATCTCCTAGGGTTAATGAGAGTGTCAGTGGAAATAGCAAATGTCAAGTGTTCAGCATGGGGCCCGGCATGTATTAGTTGCTAAAATATGTTAGCGCCCTTCATCTGTCTTAGTCTGAGCAAATATTTCTCACGCACTCATTTTGTGCCATGGTAGTGGTGGTTTTGGCAGCCATACCATAATGTTAGCTCATACTGAGCACATCAGCTAAAAGCCCTGTCTTTTGCCTCCTGAACTTTTCTTAAGCACTCTTCCCTCCCAATGCCTCCCCTTGTAGAGGACCTTTACCTTGGCCATTATGCATTTTTTCAAGCTACTCTTGCTCTATCCGTAACCTGAAGAAACTGATCTGAACCCAGATTCCGTCATCCAGTTTATTCTGTGTGCCTCCCATCTGAATGTCATCCGCCAACATAATAAACAGCTTCAACAGCCAGATCCAGCCATTGATAAAATTATGGCCTGGGAGACGACCAAGGACAGAACCCCATGACATGCCACCCTTCCAGGGAAAAGTAATTTAGATGACTGGGCATGATGATTAATTTGTCTAGTTCCTGTAATAGTATGTCTTTGTGGCTTGATTATAATATTAGCAACCATGTATTCCATGTTATTTACCATGGGCCAGGCACTGAGGTAAGAGCTTTGCATATATTACTTTTTTTTTTTTTTTTTTTTTTTTTTTTTTGAGACAGAGTTTTACTCTTGTTGCCCAGGCTGGAGTGCAATGGCCTGATCTTGGCTCACTGCAACCTCTGCCTCCTGGGTTCAAGCAATTCTCCTGCCTCAGCCTCCCAAGTAGCTGGGATTATAAGCATGCATGGTAAAGCCCTGTCTCTACAAAAGTACAAAAAAATTAGCTGGATGTGGTGGTACGCACCTGTAGTCCCAGCTACTCAGGAAGCTGAGGTGGGAAGATCACTTGAGCCCAGGATGTCGAGACTGCAGTGAGCTGAGATCACGCCACTGCACTCCACCCAGGGCAATAGAGTGAGACCCTGTCTCAAACACACACACACACACAACCAGATGTGGACACAGGAGCATATACAGGAGTGTGGGGGACCAGCATGTTGTTCATTGTGATAGAGGCACCATCACGCCCGGCTAATTTTGTATTTTTAGTAGGGATGGGTTTCACCATGTTGGCCAGGCTGGTCTCGAACTCCTGACCTCAGGTGATCCACCTGCCTCAACCTCCCAAATTGTTGGGATTACAGGCATGAGCCACTGCGCCCAGCTTATTATTTTTATTTCTTACAGCAGCTCTACAAGGTAAGTATTTATATTACTCAGGACGTGGTTAAAAAAATAAACTTAGTCTAGTTTAGCAGAAGGGGAACTTCATTACTTTCTCACAGGCTCTGAAGCAGTGGAGCTTCACAGAATCATCTGGATGTGAAGAACAGATGGAGCCCTCCAGGGTCCTGGGAGGTCCCCTCTCTGTAGCTCTTATCTATCTACCTCTCTGCTTCTGTGTCCTTCTCACTAGGTACAAATCGACTTTCTTTCTTTCTCAGTTCACCTGGCAGAAAATGGTTCCCACCAATGACTCCTAAGTTCACTTACCCACTTAAAGAGAGTAGCCAGATCTGCCCTAAACCCCTTAAACACCCACCCCCCACCCTTTTTTTTTTTTTTTGTCTGAGACGGAGTTTTGTTGTTGCCCAGGCTGGAGCGCAATGGCGCAATCTCAGCTCACTGCAACCTCCACCTCCCGGGTTCAAGCAACTCTTCTGCTTCAGCCTCCCAAGTAGCTGGGATTACAGGCATGCACCACCACGCCCAACTAATTTTATATTTTTAGTAGAGATGGGGTTTCTCCATATTGATCAGGCTGGTCTCAAACTCCTGACCTCAGGTGATCTGCCTGCCTTGGCCTCGCAAAGTGCTGGGATTACAGGCGTGAGCCACCGTGTCCGTCCTAAACTTTTTTTTAGGCAGGGCCTCCCTCTGTTGCCTAGGCTGGAATGCAGTGGCATGATCATAACTCACTGCAGCCTCGACCTCCCAGGCCAAGCGATCCTCCTGCCTCAGCCTCCCATGTACCTGGGACCACAGGTGCACCACCACACCCAGCTAACTTATTTTATTTTTTTGTAGAGATGGAGTCTCAAACTCCTGAGCTCAATTAATCCTTCTACCTTGGCCTTCCAAAGGGCTAGGATTACTTCAGGTGTGAACCACGGCAGCTGGCCCAGCCTAAACGTTTTCATCCAAACCTCTCAGGATTATTAGCCCTACTTAGGTCAGGCACCTTCTCCTGATCCAGGTGCCTATGGTTAGTGGTGGGGTCACACTGTCCCAATATGGCATCCAGGAATCTCAGTGCTGTGACCTTGTGGCTGATGGGGCAGTGACATCCAGAATCCAGCTGCACATTTTACAAATAAAAGTGAGGCCCTAAGTCACACAGCTAAAAAGAAACCAGGGCTTGCTCAAGACCAGCCTGGGCAACATGGCAAGGCCTCGTCTGTACAAAAAAAAAAAACTAAAAATTAACCGGGCGTGGTGGTGTGTGCCTGTAGTCTCAGCTACTTGGGAGGCTGAAGTGGGAGGATCACTCGAGCCCAGGAAGCCAAGTCTGCAGTGAGGTGTGTTCATGCCATTGCACTCCAGCCTGGGTGACAGAGTGAGGCCCTATCTCAAAAACAACAACAACCAGGGCTTGTTCCTGGTCTGTCTGATGCTGAAGCTCATGTTGTTAATGCTCTGCTCCTTACGCTGGGCCACACTGTCCCAGGATGGTTTTGGTTGTGGTGTCCGTGACTCACGTCTGGCCAGTGACTCAGGCTAGAGAGCCCAGGGACCCACCTTGTGTCACCTACCATGGTCCAGTCCCCATCAAGGGCTCTGAGATTCCTGGTCGGTTTACTTATTTCTTTGGTGACTTGAAAGTCACCTCGGCCCTGGCTGAAGTCTCAGATCTCACAATTTCATGGTGGAACCTGACACTAAAGGTGACAAGCAGAGACACTGGAGTTCAATAAAGCTTGGTGTTTTTTGTTTTATTTTGTTTTTGTAGAGACAGGGTCTTACTGTCTTGCCTAGGCTGGTCTTGAACACCTGGCCTCAAGCCATCCTCCCACCTTAGCTGCCCAAAGTGCTGGGATTACAGGTGTGAGACCGTGCCTGTCCAAAGCTAGGTTTAAATTCTAGCTCTGTGACTTCTCATTGGATGACTCTCTATGCCTCCGTTGAGGAAAAATAGAGATAATCATAATAGCCAGTTTATCAGTTGCTGTGATGGGTCTGTAAGATAAAACATGCAAACCACTCAGCACAAATTAGTTACTCAGCACAGAGCAATCAGTTTATGAACTCTGAAACAATGGGGAAAAAAGAGGAGTCCAGAGGAGGAAGTCTTTACTCAGCTAACAGGACAGGCAGTGGGAAGGGGACTGGCCAGGGTTTCAGGAGGAATTGGCATTGAAGCCTGAATAGATGATGGCAGGATTGGGGTAAGGCCCAGCGGATAAGAACAGATGTGGGCCGGGCATGGTGGCTCACGCCTGTAATCCTAGCACTTTGGGAGGCCTAAGTGGGTAGATTGCATGAGACCAGGAGTTCGAGATCAGCCTGGGCAACATGGTAAAGCCCTGTCTCTACAAAAGTACAGAAAAAGTTAGCTGGATGTAGTGGCACACACCTGTAATCATAACTACTCAGGAAGCTAAGGTGGGCGGATCACTTGAGCCTGGGAAGTTGAGGCTGCAGTGAGCTGAGATCACGCCTGCACTCTATCCAGGGCAATAGAGTGAGACCCTGTCTCAAACGTACTCACATACACACACAGAAAACCAGATGTGGACACAGGAGGATATACAGGAGTGTGGGGGACCAGCAAGTTGTTCATTGTGATAGAGGCAAAGAAAAGAATAGGTATTGGGAGCAAATGAGCATCACCAAGTCTGGTCGTGTAGATGGGGGCCCTATAGAGGAAACTTTGTGCACTCATTCTTTCATTTATTTGGCAAATGTTTATCAAGCACCTGCCATGTGACAAACATTGTCCCAGGCCCTGGAGAGTCAGCAGTGAACAAAATAAACACAAATCCATGCCCCTGTAGAGCTTATGTGCCAGCGGCTGGAGGCAGACACTAAGCAAATAAAGAAGCAAAATATAAAGGGTGTCAGAGAAGAAATAAAGCAGGGAAGAGGGCTGGGGACAACGGAGGAGGGATGTGACATTAAATAGGGCCCTCAGAAGGGCCTTGCTGAGAATGTGAGCAGAGACTACAGGAAGTGAGAGGAAGCCACGCAGATCTCTGGGAAAGGAGCATTTCTGCAGAGGGAACAGCAAGGGCAAAATCGCGGGGACAGGGGACATCCGTGTGGCTGATGGAGGAGGAACGAGGGTGGTGGGAGAGGAGGACAGAGGGGTCAAGGCCAGGTCGTGTAGGGCTTTGTGTCATTTGTAGGGTCTGGGCTTTTACTCTGGGGGCAGTGGGAGCCAGGGGAGCATTTTGAGTAGAGGAGGACCGTGACCTAGCAGGCTTTAACAGGACGCATTCCCTGGCCATGTGGGGAGAATGACCACAGGCGAAGGTGAAAGGAGGCAGTGGCTGCTGCACAATCTCCGTGAGAGATGACGTGGCTTCCTTTGGGGCAGCAGCTGTGGGGGTGCTGAGAAGGGGCCTGATCCTGGGTATTGTAAAGAGAGAGGCAGCTGGACTTGTTGGATTAGATATGGGTGGGAGAGAGAGAAAAAAAACAAGACCTCTAAGTCTTGGTCTGAGCTGTGAGAATGATGGCTGCTTTATCTCCTGAGATGGGAGAGAGAGTGAGAGCAGGCTTTAGGGGGAACATCAGGAATTCAGCTTAAAACCTAGGAAGACCCTGTAGGCAGCTGGAGATGGGAATCCAGGGCTCAGGGAGAAAAGCTGTATTAAGCTGAGTCTGTCTGGAGTGTGGGACCATTGACAACTTTTTTCTTTTTTGTACACAGAGGTAGAGTGGGCTGAGGTCATTAGTTATGCAAGTAATGCATGAAAACAGCTTTCTTTAGAAATGGTAGCTCACACTGTTTTGCAATAGGCTGTTTTCGTGCATTACTTGCCCGAGCCCAGGAGTTAGAGACCAGTCTGGGCAACATAGCAAGACCCCGTTTCCACAAAAAATAAAAATAGGCCAGGCATGGTGGCTCACACCTGTAATCTCAGCACTTTGGGAGGCCGAGGCAGGTGGATCACTTGATGTCAGGAGTTCAAGACCAGCCTGGGCAACATGGTGAAAACCTGTCTCTACTAAAAATACAAAAATTGGCTGGGAGTGGTGGCGTGTGCCTATAATCCCAGCTACTGGGGAGGCTGAGGCAGGAGAATCACTTGAACCCGGAAGACAGAGGTTGCAGTGAGCCGAGATCACACCACTGCACTCCAGCCTGGGTGACAGAGTGAGAATGTCTCAAAAAAATAAATAAATAAAAATAATTAGCTGGTCATGATGGTGCGTGCTGTGGTCCCAGCTACTCAGGAGGCTGAGGCAGGAGGATTGCTTGAACCTAATAATTCAAGGCTGCAGTGAGCCATGATCACATTGCTGCACTCTAGCCTGGGCAACAGAGTGAGATCCTGTCTCTAATAAATAAATAATATAAAAATTGTCACCTTCTAGATAAGGCTAAAATCCATTTTGCTAATCCCACCCCTCCCTAAGGCCAGTCTTCCCATCCTGGAGTAGCTGTTGCCATGAGCTAGGCATGCATGCTTCCAGGCCTTTCTCTGTGCATTTGTATACCTGAGTGTATCCATAAAATATATGTGGTATTTTTTAATGTATTTTCTTTTCTTTTTTTTTTTTTTTTTTTTTTTTTTTTTACCAGAAATGGTGTTACACTGAATGTACTGTTTTGCAACATGCTTTTGTAACTTGTAACTTGCCTATTCTCCCTGGGCTATGTGTCTTGGAGATCTGTGCTTGATGTTATCTGCTCTTTTATTTCTTAACCTGTTGCATCGGATTCCCTGGTATTCAGCTGTTCTCCAGCCGGAGGACATTAGAGTTGCTTTCAACTAGCATTTTGTCCATTCTTCTCAGGCACCTGCGTGGCTTTCTCTAGGCTGGATTGCAGGAGGGAAATGGCTGGGTCTGAGTAGATGAAGGGTCTGTGGGATTTGGTGTCTTGTCTCAGTGGATACTGCCACATTGCTTCCCAAAGTGCCTCTGTCCACTTCTCTGCCCAGCCCTCAGGTTTTGAATGAAGAAAGCCACAGAGATCTGGGTTTTAGAGCAAAGCACAGGGAAGGGGCTATGGGTTGGAAGGTGGGACCAGGAAGCCAAGAAATCATGGACTTTGTGAGCTGCAGTTCCACTCTTAAGAACATGCATTTGGGCCGGGCATGGTGGCTCAGGCCCATAATCCCAGCACTTTGGGAGACTGAGGTGGGCAGATCGTCTGAGCTCGGAAGTTCAAGACCAGCCTGGGCAACATGACGAAAGCCCGTCTCTACAAAAAATAACAAAAGTTAGCTGGGCGTGGTGGCGTATGCCTGTTGCTCCAGCTACTTAGGAGGCTACTTAGGAGGCTGAGGCGGAAGACTCACTTGAGCTTGGGAGGTGGAGGTTGCAGCAAACTGAGAATGCGCCACCATTGCACTGCAGCCTGGGCGACAGAGCAAGACTCCATCTCAAAAAAAAAAAAAGAATGTGCATTTGGAGAGAACATGAGCTACTTTAGGGGCTGACCAGACTCTCCCAATCCCCTCCTTCCCTCTTGAAAACAGAGCAGCACAAATGAAAAACCGTCTCTCTCCTGTCTGCACATCTGGCTTCTTCCCGGGCAGCTGGTTGCTATTCCTAAACCAGCTTCATAGCCCAGAGTTGCGGCCACACCCCATGTGGCTACTCAGCCACTGAAGGAAGACTCAGGAGTTAAGGGCCTTATGTCACATGCTGCCACGGTGACCATATTTCAGAATTAAAATTGGGGCCTGTGACCTGAGGAGTTCATTGGACTTTGGGGATTCGGGTCTGGCCTGTTTGAATTCAGGACCACTGTAGGAAATCCTGGCCATCAGGATCATCCATTCGGTTCACAGTACATTTACAAGTGCCTTTTGATGTTAAGGCTCAGCCTGCCCTGGGAGCTGATGGTCAAGGAGGAACGATGTGCTATCTAAGCGTTCCCAGGATGCAGACTCTGAGCAGGAGATATACATGCAGGGGTTTATTGGGAGGGCTCTTGGATGACACCTGTGAGGGGTAAGGGTAGCAGGCTTGGGCAGAAGGAGGAGTTGTGCAGTTCAGGCTTTGGGGAGCCCACAGATCCTGGGTAGAAACAGGTGGGCCTTCAGAGATGTCCCAGTTGAGACAAGGAGCTGGGGTCTTTGCACCTTTGCCATTAAGCAACATCAGAGATCCAGCATAACCTGGGGAAGGATGGATTTCTTCCTGGGAAGGGATACAACTGTAAGCCACCAGCCATCCACACTCCCAGCAGCTGGGGCATGTGAGCGATCTGGGCCCCGCAGCCCAACACCTGCTGCCCATGCAAAGCCCACAGCCACTGCCTTTGATAATGCTTCAGCGAGGGGTGTGTGGAAATGCTTCAGGAACACAGCTGAGGGAGGGGAGAAGCCAGCCTGGGATGGAGGCCAGCAGGGAGGAAGTGGACCTTAACTGTGCCTCGAAGCCCTAAACTCCGAACCCGTACACCAGAAACTGCTCCTCTGGATGCTTCGAAGATTCCTCAAGGCAAGGCAATGACCTTGCAAGGGCAGTCAACACACGGGCAATGACCTTGAGAAGCAGCCAGAAGAGCTGAGTGGCTATTGAGATGGGGGTGGGGAAGGTGGGAATGAGGTCAGGAGAGTGGTGAGAGCAGATTGCATTCATGCGCCAGGCCACACTCAGACCTGCTCTCCCTCCAGCCTTTGCTCCATGAATGGTGCCCCGTCCCTCCAATGATGCAGGCCAGAAACCCTGGAATCATCCTTATAGACCCTCTCCCTTGTCTCTTCTTTCCAGCCTGTCACCAAGTCCTGTGCCTTCACCTTGGAAGCCTCTCTTCCCTGACCCTCCACGTGGCTGAGTCCTCTCATCTAAGCACCTGCGGTAGCCTCTCACCTGCAGCCTGGCACCCATTCTCCACCACCCAACCCCTTTCTTACTCCAACTTCCGCTGTCCGCTCCAGGAGCACCATGTGGCTTCCCAGTGGTCTGGAGTCTCAGGGCAGAACTCCTGCCGTGGGCACGCGGTGTTTGTGGTCCATCCGCCTCAGTCCCGTGTCAGTCTCTGTCCCACGTGCCTGCCTTGTCCCTTCTGCTCTGTGCTCATGTGCGTCTGCTGCCTTAGCACGCCTCCACTTTGCTTTGAGCACTCTCCCCTCTCCTCCACAATTAACCCATTCATCCTTCAGGTTTTGGTTCTGTTATCCTCTGCAGCGAAGCTTCACCTGCCCCCTTTTAAAGCCACTCATCGCCCCCGCCTCCCCCACCTTCCGAGCACTGACGTCATACATTTGGTAGGTCATTTGATTAAAATCTGTCTTCCTCACTAGACCACCAGCTCCATGAGGCTGGGGACATGCCCTGGCATGGATTAGGAGGTGTTTAGTAAATCTGGAAGAAGGTAGGAAAGAAGTGGGGTGAGGAGGGAGGAGGGAAAGGAACGCAGTCCCACATGGTCGGGGAGGGGACCAGGGTCAGAGAGAATGAGCATTTGCTGTCGCCTTTAAATTCCTAGATGAACATTGTCTCACATGGCAAAATCTTGACTGCAGTATGTGAGAGTTAATCCAGTTTGAGGCCCATGAACCCCACTGCACTGCCCTACACTTGAGAATGATATTTCAGCACCTGCCGTTAGCACAAACAGGCTTTGCCCTTAAGCATACCTGGGATGTCAGAAGCAAAGACTCTCTAGCCGTCCCCTGGGATCAGCCAGCAGGCTTTGATCACTCTCCACCCCAGCCCAAGACAGGCTCCTGGAGTCTCCTGGCATCTGCTTTTACAAACACTCTTCCCTTCTGGCCCCTGCTCCGCCCTCCCCCATTCTCCTGGTGAGCTCTTTTACAATTCGGTGTCTTGTTTTCTCTTCTGCAAAGCCCACCCAGCCCCGCCAGTAATCCCAGGCCCCCTCCACTCCACCCACTGCCCTTGTGGCACAGCTGCCTCCTCTTTTTTTTTTTTTTTAGACGGAGTTTTAATCTTGTTTCCCAGGCAGGAGTGCAGTGGCGCAATCTCGGCTTACCACAACCTCCGCCTCCCAGATTCAAGCGATTCTCCTGCCTCAGCCTCCCGAGTACCTGGGATTACAGGCACACACCACCACGCCCAGCTAATTTTTTGTATTTTTTTAGTAGAGACAGGGTTTCACCATGTTGGCCAGGCTGGTCTCAAACTCCTGACCTCAGGTGATCCACCCGCCTCAGCCTCCCAAAGTGCTGGGATTACAGAAGTGAGCCACTGCACCCAACCTCAGTTGCCTCCTCTTGATAGCATCTGCCACACTGCACTGGAGCAATTGTTCCATTTCTATCTCTCTACTCCAAGTTCCTTGAGGCCAGGGATTTTTGTCTTCCTCCCTTTCCTTCTGTTCCTCCGTGTTCTTTCCTTTCTGCAAATCCTTTATAAGCTCCTTGTACATGCCAGGAACTGGGAGACACAGCAGTGAGCAAGCTCGCATTGTCCCTGCTCTCGTGGGTCTGGCGTCCTGATGGGGGAGGCCATGTGTAAATGAACAGAGATACTTTCAGAGAGTGAGAGGTGCTACTGGGTGAGGAGGCAGACAGGGACAGAGGTTGTTGGGAGAGGCCCCTGGAAGAGGGGATGCTGCTAAACAAGCTTACCCTAGAGCAAGGAGGGAAACATTGCAGGCAGGGGGAACAACAGAGGCAATGACCTTTATTTATTTACTTATTATAGAGACGGGGCAGGGGGAGTGGGGCGGGTGCTCTCGAGGTATTTCCCAGGCTGACCTCGAACTCCTGAGCTCGAGTGATCCTCCTGCTTTGGCCTCCCAAAGTTCTGGGATTACAAGCATGAGCCACTGCGCCCGGCCGGCAATGACCTTGAGAAAGAGCCAGAAGGACCATGTGGCTATTAGGATGAAGGTGGAAATGAGGTCAAGGAGGGTGGCGAGGCCAGATTACACTTGTCTGTCTATCTCTGGCCCTTGCCCGATGCCCAACCCATAGGAGAAGCACAAGGAATATGTGTAGGATCAATAGGAAGGGAGTGCCCTCCCCTCTTCAGGGGGCCGGCAGCAGCCCTGGGGTGTGGGGGAATGATCATCTACTCAGACAGCCCTGCCTGCTGGGCTGGTGGTGATAGATGCCCTGTGTTGGGAGGTCCATTTCATTAGAAGGAAAAGTTCTTGGATGGAAATCAGGTGGATGGAGGCAAAGATTGGCGGAGGGTGGCTGCCTCTCTCCTCCCATCAGGCCTGGTGGCCAGTCCTGCAGGATTGAGAGGCTCTGACAGGTAAAAGTGGCCCTAAATCAGGTCCACTAACAGCACCAGCCTGAGAGGGCGAAAGCAGCTTGTCTCTTCTCAATTATTAGAGGCTGTTTATGCTGCCCCAGGCCTGAGCCCCCTCCTGGGCTGTCCTCAGGCAAGGAGGGTAGGGGCAGCCTCAATCCTTCTACCTGCAGGCCCTGTGGAAACCTTCTGAGCCTCCCTCAGCCCTTCTCAACTCAGGACTCGCTTAAAATCCAGTTGAAAGGATGTCAGGTCTGCCCCAAGCCCTCCAGTAGCTTCCCGGCCGCCTCAGCATCAGGCCAGAGTCTGCAAGGCCTGGCAGCCTCAGGGTCTGTCCCACTCCATCTCCTCCCACTCCCCTGCCTTGTTCAGTCTGTTCCAGCCACACTGGCCTCTGAGCTCTTCCCCAGATGTGCTGAGCCTCCTGGCCTCTGCACTCGCTGTTCCTGCCATCTGAAAGCCCCTTTTATCCCAATACCTTGTAACTGCCCAACGGGTTCATTCTGCCTGCTGCCCAGATACAGCCAATTTATCAAAACAGGGGACTTCAAACAGAAACAGAGTTTAATACATGTAGAGCCAGCTAGACAGCAGACCAGAGTTTTATGATTACTCAAATCAGCCTTCCTAAAAAGCTGGAGGCTAGAGTTTTTGGGTTTTCCTCTTCTTCTTCTTTTTTTTTGAAACAGATTCTCGCTCTGTTGCCCAGGCTGGAGTGCAGTGGCACAATCTCGGCTCACTGCAACCTCCTCCTCCTGGGTTCAAGTGATTCTCCTGCCTCAGCCTCCCGAGTAGCTGTGATTACAGGCGCCCACCACCACACCCGGCTAATTTTTGTATTTTCAGTAGAAACAGGGTTTCGCCATTTTGGCCAGGCTGGTATTGAACTCCTGGGCTCAAAGTGATCCTCTCATCTCTGCCTCCCAAAGTGCTGGGATTACAGGCATGAGCCACGGCACCCAGCTGATGCCAGGGCTTTTCAAGGATAGTTTGGTGAGCAAGGAGCTAGGGTCTGGGTGCCCTTGATTGGTTGGAAGGTGCAATCACAGGGGTGTGGCTTGGGCCATCTGGTTGTCAGAAATGCAAAAGCCTGAAAAGACATCTCAGAAGGCCAATCAGGATCCACAATCATGATCTGCCTTGGGGCAGAGTACTTGGGGAAGTTGCAAATCTAGTGACCTCTGGAATGATGGCTGGCAATCATTGAACTATGCCTAGATTTTAGCAGAACTCAGGCCCCTTTCATCCTCCTAACCTGGTGGCCTTTCATTGGCTTTACAAAGGTAATTTAGTTTGGGGAAGGGCTATTATTATTTAAACGATAAACTAAATTTTCTCAAAGTTAGCTTGGCACACGCCCAGGAATGACCAAGGGCATTTTGGAGGTGAAAGGCAAGATAGAATTGGTTATATTCAGAATTTTCTCTCTAGTATAATTCTTACAAAGGTGATTTTACCCTCAGGGTACACCTCCCCAGAGAGGCCCTCTCGGAGCCCTGAGCCCCACCACCCCCAACTGCAGTGAAGGGAAGAGGGAGCCCCTCCCCTTCCTCCTGCATTCTTCTGCCCCTTCCTACTTTCTTCTTTTTTAGAGATGGCATCTCACTATGACGTTGCCCAGGTTGGTCTCCAACTTTTGGGCTCAAGTGATCTTCCCACCTTGGTCTCCCAAAGTTCTGAGATTTACAGCACTTCCCACTTCCTTTTTTTTTTTTTTTTTGAGATAGAGTGTCCCTCTGTCGCCTAGGCTGGAGTGCAATGGCACGATCTCTGCTCACTGCAACCTCTGCCTCCCAGGTTCAAGCAATTCTCCTGCCTCAGCCTCCCGAGTAGCTGGGATTATAGGCACGTGCCACCATGGCTGGCTAATTTTTGTATTTTTAGTAGAGACTGGGTTTCACAACATTGGCCAGGCTGATCTCGAACTCCTGACCTCAGGCGATCCACCTGCCTCGGCCTTCCAAAGTTTTGGGAATACAAGTGTGAGCCACTGTGCCTGGCCGCCCTTCCCACTTTCTATTCTCCATAGCACTTATTGTCAGGTGACATACAATATATTTTAATTTAAAAAACTGATTGATTGAAACAGGGTCTCACTCTGTCACCCAGGCTGGAGTAGAGTGGTGCAGTCACAGCTCATTGCAGCCTCAATCTCCTGGGCTCAAGCGATCCTCTCGCCTCAGCCTCCCAAGTAGCTGGGACTACAGGCACATGCCATCATGCCTAGCTACTTTTAAAAATTTTTAGTAGAGATAGAGTCTCACTGTGTTACCCAGGCTAGTTTGAATTGCTGGACTCAAGCGATCCTCCCAACTCAGCCTGTGAAGTAGCTTGGACCACAGGCACACACCACCACGCCCAGCTACTTTAAAAAATTTTTAGTACAGACAGAGTCTCACTGTGTTGTCCAGGCTGGTCTTGAGCTCCTGGGCACAAGTGATCCTCCTGCCTCAGCCTCCCAAAGTGCTGGAATTACACTTGTGAGTCACCGCACTCGACTGTCTTACTTTTTGGAAATCATCTGTCTTCCTTTCGCTAGAATGTGAACTCTGTGGTAGTAGAGACTTTGCTGGGCTCACTGTTGTATCTCCAGAGACTAGTTCAGGGCCCAGCCAGAGGAAGTGTTCAGCCAATACTGAAGAAATGCATCATTGTGTGAAATAAAGTCAACACCACCCACCTCCTAGGGTTGTGTGAATGTGGAAGTTCTGACTCTGTGTTTCCCAGTGTGTGTTTTGCCTACCTCTGCCACCTTGTAGGTGGCAAGTAAACATTTTCTCTTTTAGTAGGTCTGTATTTATGTCTATGGTTACCTTCTGGCAAGCAATAATTATTTTCCATTTATGGCATTAATATAAACCTTCCTTTTTAAAGTAAACTCATTCAAGTTTTGTTGTTGTTGTTTGGTTTTTGAGATGGAGTCTCGTTCTGTTGTGCAGGCTGGAGTGCAGTGGCGTGATCTCGGCTCACTGCAACCTCTGCCTCCCAGGTTCAAGCAATTCTCCTGCCTCAGCCTCCTGAGTAGCTGGGATTACAGGCATGTGCCACCATGCCCAGCTAATTTTTTATATTTTTTTTAGTGGAGATGGGGTTTCACCATGTTGGCCAGGCTGGTCTCGAACTCCTGACCTCAAGTGATCCACCCACCTTGGCCTCCCAAAGTGCTGGGATTACAGGCGTGGGCCACCACACCCGACCTCAAGATTTTTTAAGTCTTCT
Source organism: Homo sapiens (assembly GCF_000001405.40). Taxonomy (NCBI): domain Eukaryota; kingdom Metazoa; phylum Chordata; class Mammalia; order Primates; family Hominidae; genus Homo; species Homo sapiens. Next base: position 27,605,254 of record NC_000016.10, read on the forward strand.
ATCTTTGTGAGTCTGAAAGATAATTGATAAATAACACCTTGCAATTTTAGAAGAAAATTTTTCTGAGAATAAAAAGAAATGCTCGTTATTTTCCACTGGACATGGATTGAAAATGATGTTTTAGATAGCTATGTAAGAAAAACATTTTTATAAAAATACACCGTAACTGTGTCCTGGGGTCCTAGATTCTGGATCTGCCTTGGCAGTCTATAAAACCTGAGACTGAATAGAAAATCTCAAGGTATGTATTGGTAGCAATAAAGAATGGTACATAGCAGGTAGGGTAGTAATAAATGTAACTCTAAGGTATTCGAAAAATAGCCCAAACGCTCCCTTTGATTATCCATCTGGCATGCGCGTAGGATGTAATATTTTGTTAGGACACCTATCCTAGGGCGTGAGAAACTCAAATGTTTGCTGCAGTGTTTTGTGCTGTTTCATTCTACCTCTAGGGGGCAGTATCAACCGTTGCTTTAGGTCTTTGTTGCTTGGCTTCTGCTGGTGTGATGGGTGCATTGACTGCAGAGTATATTTCTGTTTTCGAGGATGGGAATATAACTGATGTGTTAGCAAATGCAGTCAAAAGCAGGCTCAGGTCAGGTGCGGTGGCTCAGGCCTGTAATCCCAGCACTTTGGGAGGCCAAGGAGGGTGGATCACTTGAGTTCAGGAGTTCGAGACTAGCCTGGCCAACATGACAAAACCCTGTCTCTATTAAAAATACAAAAATTAGCTGGGCGTGGTGGCAGACGCCTGTAGTCCCAGCTACTGGGGAGGCTGAGGCAGGAGGATTGCTTGAACCTGGGAGGTGGAGGTTGCAGTGAACTGAGATCGTGCCACTGCACTCCAGCCTGGGCAACAGTGCGAGACTCTGTCTCAAAAAAAAAGAGAAAAAGAAGCAGGCTCAGATACTTTCTCATTTAACTCATGTGCACTGAGGACGGGCTCCACAGCGCTGGGACACACAGACTCACTGGGAGAATAGAGGAACTGGCACTTGGGGTGGGTTTTGAAGGAAGGCTGTGACTTTTGTACTGTAAGATACATTTGGATCATCTCTTCTTGTGGGCTTAGGGCCATTGGAGCATTCATCAAGGTATATTTAGTCCTCTATGAAATGCTTCTCTGAGCCCTTAGACATGGCAGGAACTTTGGATTCAGACACCGTCTAGTATTTGTTCTACCACTGTACCACCCAGTACCCACTCGGGTATAAATCTCTCTCATACACACACACACACACACACAGACACACACACACATACACACACACACATACACACACACTTCAAACTGGCCCAAGGAAAGAAAGGGATGTATTTGCTCAAGTGAGTAAAACGTTAGTGCTGGCTTCGGGCATGGCTGGATATGGTGGATTAACCACCATTAAAGGATCTAGTTGCTATTTGGCCTGTCTCTCATTGTCTTCCATTCTGCTGTCTCTATGTTTGTGTCATCAGTCTTGGACAGATTTTTCTAACTTTTTTTTTTTTTGGTAGAAGTGGGATCTCACTATGTTGCCCAGGCTGGTCTCGATCTCCTGGGCTCAAGCGATCCTCCCACCTCAGCCTCCGGAAGTGCTGGGATTATAGGCATGAGCCATCGTGCCTGGCATCTTGGGCAGATTTTTCCATGGAACATTTAAGGTTGCTCATAATTGTGAACCTAAAAAGTTGGTAAAATGACTCCTTCCTTTGTGTGTGAAGAAATGACGTCTTCCTCCCTTCCCTAGTAGCCCTGGCTCATATCACTAGTAATTGTAGAGGAGGAGAGATAAGGACTTTTCCAGGAGGGTCCTTGGGAGGCATAGCTTGGGAAGCACACCTATCCCTGAACCATCACATGGCCGGGGAGATGGAATGCACTGGCCGGGCCTGCAGTACGTGCTTTCCCTTGCAGTGTTGGGAGTGTTATTTCCACCCACGCCACGTGGACTGAGAGTGGACGAAAGGTGGTTTTCCTAGAGGAAAATCAAGGTGTTATACCCAGAACAGGAATGGATGCTGGCGCCACATAAACAAGGTTGTCTGCTATCTCCACTTAGAGGCTCTGAGACCTTCAGACAATTTGCTTCAGCTTTCAAGGCCTCCATTTCCTCCTCTGTAAAATGGGCACAAGGATCTTAGAGCATAGGATTGCTGCGTGCGTTAAATAAGCACCCACAGACAGCACTGATAAACAGCAGTAAAGGATGCCTGAAAAGCTGGACCCCAGTAACTTCAAGCATTAGCTTGTCACCCATAACTCATCCCTTAGTTAGGGTGTGCAGCCTATAGGGAGGCAGCGGGGAATCAAGTGACTTGGGGGTGTGGAAGAGCTCTGTGACCCTAGACAGTCAGTGTCTTTTTTTTTTTTTTTTTTTTTGAGATGGAACCTCACTCTGTCACCCAGGCTGGAGTGCAGTGGCACAATCTCAGCTCACCACAACCTCCGTCTCCCAGGTTCAAGCCATTCTCCTGCCTCAGCCTCCTGAATAGATGGGATTACAGTCCTGCATGGCGCTAACCATCATGTCCGGCTAATTTTTATATTTTCAATAGAGATAGGGTTTCACCATGTTGGCCAGACTGGCCTCGAACTCCTGGCCTCAAGTGGTCCACCCGCCTCCCAAAGTGCTGGGATTATAGGCGTGAGCCACCACACCCGGCCACAAACAGTGGCTTCATGGTCTCAGTGTTATCCCGTCTAAGTGATGGTTCTCTGGTGAGACCTGCAGTCAGCACGGTTGGGTATCCAGCATTCTCAAGCCCTAGAAACCAGCACTGCACTCTCAGCTGCTCCTGAATGCAGCTCAGGCTTCTGCATTCACTCATCAGCCCTGTTGAGGAGAATTCCAATATGGTGGCCTCAGAGGAATACGTGATCCTTGAAATATGGACTCTGTCTTTAAGTATAACTGATTCTTGGCATTTCATTCCAATTCTAGTTTTTTTTTCCCCTAGAGAAAATTAATAACATGGCCATTGGTAAAATTCTTTTTTTTTTTTTTTTTTTTTTGAGACAGCGTCTTGCTCTGTCACCCAGGCTGGAGTGCACTGGTGCAATCATAGCTCACTGCAGCCTCGACCTCCTGGACTCAAGCCATCCTCCCACCTCAGCCTCCCAAGTAGCTGGGACTACGGGTGCACGCCACCATGACTGGTGAATCTTTTTTTTTTTTTTTTTTTTGTATTTTTGTAGAGATGGGGTCCTGCTATGTTGCCCAGGCTGATCTCAAACCACAGTCCTAACTTCTCCCTTACGTCTACAGTGCCTAACTCTTGGTAGGAATTTTTTTTTCCTTAAAGAAAGGGTCTCACTCTGCTGCCCAGGCTGGAGTCTGGTGGCACGGTCATAGCTCACTGTAGCCTCGAGCTCCTGGGCTCAAGCTATCCTGCCACCTCAGCCTCCCAAGTAGCTGGGACTACAGCCTCACACTACCACACCCAGCTAATTTTTAAAAAACACTTTTGTAAAGACAGTCCTTGATAAAATTCTATGCCTTCTCCAGGGCCAGCATTGGGGATAAAGATAAGGATACCAATAAGGACATTGAGGCTCTGCTTTCGTGTCACATCCAAACTCCTTGGACCTTCCGCTGTAGGTCACTTGCGCCTCCTCAGCACCCGGCAATCTAGCCAATTCTTGATTCCCCCTTATCCCCCTGCAAGCGCCACATCCTAACCGAGGGATCGTTTATGGGTGACAAGCCAATGCTTCAGGTGACTGGGGTCCAGCTTTTCAGGCATCCTCTGGCCCGTCCATGAACATTTCATGTTTCTTCACACCCCCAAACCTTTGTTCATGCTGGCCCTGCTGCTTGGAATGCCCTTCCCTTTTCTTGTTGCCCAGGTAACATTTCAACTTTCAGATCCCTGCTCAAATGTGTCCTCATGGATTCATTCACTCAACAATTTCATTGGAATGCACAATGAACAAACTAGACAAAGCTCTCTGCCTTCATAGAATTCTCATTCTAGTGCAAGGACACCCCAATAAATAAAAGGTGTAATAAGTAAAATAAATTAGATGTGTGTTAGTGCAGGGAGGGACACAGGAGAGGGGGCGTGCAGTGTGTGCACTCTTTGCAAGTTTCACTATGGTGGTCAGGGGAGACGTCACTGAGAAGGGAATATCTGAGTTAAGTCTTTTTTTTTTTTTTTTTTTTTTTTTTTTTTGAGACGGAGTCTCGCTTTGTTGCCCAGGCCAAAGTGCAGTGGCGCGATCTCAGCTCACTGCAAGCTCCACCTCCCAGGTTCATACCATTCTTCTGTCTCAGCCTCCCAAGTAGCTGGGACTACAGGCACCCGCCACCATGCCCGGCTAATTTTTTGTATCTTTAGTAGAGACGGGGTTTCACTGTGTTAGCCAGGGTGGTCTCGATCTCCTGACCTCGTGATCCGCCCACCTCAGCCTCCCAAAGTGCTGGGATTACAGGCGTGAGCCACCGCGCCCTGCCAAGTCATTTTTTTTTTTTTTTGAGGTGGAGTCTTGCTCTGTTGCCAGGATGGAGTACAGTGGCATGATCTCAGCTCACTGCAACCTCCACCTCCTGGGTTCAAGTGATTCTCCTGCCTCAGCCTCCCGTGTAGCTGGGATTACAAGCATGCGCCACCATGCCCAGCTAATTTTTGTATTTTTAGTAGAGATGAGGTTTCACCATGTTGGCCAGTGGGTTAAGTCTTGAAGGAGGAAAGGAATGTGGGCATTTTCCTGAGAGAAGAGCATTCCACATGGAAGGAATGGGGCCTGAGGTGGGAGCTTGGCGGGTGTTGAGGACACTGGAGTGAGGAGGAGGAGTGGGGTAGTGGGAGGTGGCTCAGAGATGGGGGTCAAGGCCTAGAGTGCAGGACCTCATGGCCACTGGGATGGCCTTGCCCTTGACTCTGAGTGGGACAGGAGCCCCCTTGGGGTCCTAGCAGAAGAGTGACATGATTCCACTCACCTCTCATCAGGCCCCCCAGGTGGCAGCAGGGAGGACAGAAGGCAGGGAGGAGGCAAGAGCAGGAGTCCAGTCTGGGCCCAGACCAGCCTGGGAGGGGAGAGCAGGGAGAAATGGTCAGATTTTGGATACGCAGTAGTTTTCATATGGAGCTGACGGGTTAGATGTGGGATGGGAGACAGAGTGGGGCTTTGAAGATGACTCCAAGGATTGGAGAGACCTTCCTAGGGATCTAATTCAGACACTTGGCATTGCATTTTGTGTATTTTATTATAATTCTGTCCTTTGGGAGGGGTCCAGGTGCCTTTGATAGTCCGAAGAAAGTTATGGACTCTTCCAAGAACACCCCTGTGCATGCAATTAAATGGGTGTTCTCAGGACCCCCTGCAGGGATCCCTAGACAGTGTGTGGTTGCTTGACTGGTTGCAGTTGCAGCCCGCTTTTGTACAACATCAGGGGGCACAATTCACACGCACACATGATTGGGGCTGTTCAGTCCAGCACCCCCAACCAACAACCAGCAGTTGATTACAGCTGTGAAAGGAAAATAAATCTTGATGCCCCCAAATCACTAAACTAAAGGGAAAAGTCAACCTGGGAACTGCTTAAAGCAAACCTGCCTCCCGTTCTACTCAAAGTCACCTCTCTGCTCACTGAGATAAATGCATATCTGATTGCCTCCTTTGGAGAGGCTCATCAGAAACTCAAAAGAATGCAACCATTTGTCTCTTATCTACCTGTGACCTGGAAGCCCCCTCTCTGCTTCCACTTGTCCCACCTTTGCTTCGAGTTGTCCCGCCTTTTGAGGACCGAACCAATATTCATCTTACATATGTTGATTGATGTCTCATGTCTCCCTAAAATGTATAAAACCAAACTGTGCTCTGACCACCTTGGGCAAATGTCATCAGGACCTCTTGAGGCTGCATCATGGGTGCACGTCCTCAACCTTGGCAAAAGAAACTTTCTCAATTAACTAAGACCTATCTCAGCTATTCGGGATTTACAGAGTCTATACAGGCAAGTTGGTATCTGAATATACAGTGGGTCAGAGCTTTTGTTAAGCCCTGATCGCATATGCAAGGGGGCCAGCCACACAATAAGCCCTTGATAAATGTTTACTGAGAAACAGTGAAGATGAACTTGGCATTTTTTCAGGGTTCTCACACCTTTGCTGGGTGCCTTAAGTATTCATACATCCATTTTGTAGGCAAGGAAATAAAGCCTCAGAACAACGAGGGTTAACTGAATTAGGCACAAAAAGGGGTAGAATCTTGCCTGGCACATAGTAAGTGCTAAGTCAACCTTAGCAATTATCGTCATAGAGCTGGACAGCGGTGAAGCCAGGACTGGAGCCCAGGCCTCTAGGCACTCAGGCGAAACTCTGTCTCCTTCCCTGTGTCATGGGTCTGCCCTCCAGGAATTTATAATCTGACTGGGGAGCCAAGATGAGCAAGAAAGAAAATGATCCCAAATTACTTCCACTTTAATCCTAGGTTATCCATATAGCAGCCCTGTGAGGTAGACCTTATTGGTATCCCCTTTTCGCAGACAAGGAAACTGAGGCTCAGATGAGATAAACAGCAGAGTTCAGGGCTCACACCCACACCTCCAAATCCCCAGATAATTAGTGAGTAGTATATGTAGTTAAATGCTAACAACTCAGCACTTAATTATATCCGATTTCACACTGTATTGTATATAATTTAATACTAATTGCAGGCTTTCAGAAGGAACTGAAGTGAGTAGGGGAGAGAATGGCAAGGGAAGCCTTCATGGGGACTTTGGGAACCGAGCTGGCCCTTGGAGAGTCTGGGAGCGGAGGCTAGAGGGGGCTGAGTGGGTTTCTGGAAAAGGGAATAGGATGATTAAGACATCAAGTTAGGAGTGAGAATGGGGCGAGGTGGGACTCGGATGGTGCTGTTTTGGAAATGGAGTTCCATAAATGCACTTATAACTAATGTTCATTGAGAGCTTTGTAAGTGCCAGGTACTGTGCTAAATCCTTTCCACTGTTACTGCATCCAGTTCACTTAACCCTGTGAGGGAAAGAAAAGTTCCACCAGACAACAGGTACAGGCATCACCCCATCTTATAGGTAAAGAAACTAGGTGGCAACCTTGTGACACAGAACCAGGCTGGACTGCAGAGCCCATGTACCTCCCAGCTCAAGTTCAGAGACCATATGACTGTAGCTGGGGGTGTTGTGAATGGTGGGAAATAAAGTTGGCTAGTCTAGGGCCTTGCTACCCAAAGTGTGGGCCATGAGCATTACCTGGGAGCTCATCAGAAATGCAGACTTGGGGCCAGGTGTGGTGGCTCACGCTTGTAATCCCAACACTTTTGGGAGGCCGAGGCAGGTGGATCACCTGAGGTCAGGAGTTCGAGACCAGCCTGGCCAACATGGTGAAACCCCGTCTCTAGTAAAAATACAAAGATTATCCAGGCAAGGTGGTGCATGCCTGTAATCCCAGCTACTTGGGAGGCCAAGACAGGAGAATCGCTTGAACCCAGGAGGTGGAGGTTGCAGTGAGCCAAGATCGCACCACTGAACTCCAGCCTGGGCAAGAGAACAAGACTCCTTCTCAAAAAGAAAAAAAAAAGAAATGCAGACTTGGGCACTTGCCAGTCCTACTGAGTCAGAATCTGCATTTCAAAGCAGGCACGGTGCTACATGCCTGTAGTTTCAGCTACTCAGGAGGCTGAAGTGGGAGGATCAGTTGAGGCCAGGAATTTGAGACCAACCTGGGCAACATAGTGAGACCCTGTCTCAAAAAAAATAAATAAATAAAAAGAATCTGGGGCATGGTGGCACACTGGCGCACGCCTATAATCTAAGAACTTTGGGAGGCTGAGGCAAGTGGGTCACTTGAGCTCAGGAGTCCGAGACCAGCCCGGGCAACACGACAAAACCACGTCTCTACAAAAAATACAAAAAAAGAAAAAAGAAAAAAATTAGCCATGTATTGGCACCTGCCTGTAGTCCCAGCCACTCATGAGGCTGAGGTGGGAGGATAGTTTGAGCCCAGGAAGTTGAGGCTGCAGTGAGCCGAAATCGCACCACTGCACTCCAGCCTGGGAGGCAGAGTGAGACCCTGTTTCAAAAAGAAAAAAAGAATCTGCATTTCACCACGATCCCTAGGTGATTTGTAGGCACATCAACATTTAAGAAGTGGAGATGGATGGAAGTTTCAGTTTCTCGAGTCTTTCTGATGACATCTCCCTCCTGGCAAAGGAGGATCGATGCATTCCCTGGAGAGTTTGAGGTGAAAGCCCAGGGCAGCCAGCAAAAGCTGAGATTTCTTTGAAGTCCCATATTTCATCTAAAAATGTCATCCACTGTTTCATGCCATACCCATAATATATTAACGGTCATTTTAATGTTTCAAAATGGTTATGTAAATTGCCTTGGAGCAGCATCTGTGTTCTGGGAAGATGCATGGGAGGGTTTCCTTGTGTCTTAAATGGGGTAATAATCACTACTTCAAGGGCTTCTGTGAAGATCAAAGGAGAATCGTGTATATGGAAATGCTGGGTAAACTGCACGATTTATGTGTTATTATTCTGGAAGAAGGCGAGAATCCTCCCCAGACCCACTCTCCTGAAATCCAGCTCTCCCGAGGGCTGAGGCCTCCTGCGCTTTTCTTGCACTCAGGATGAGGCAGGACTCAGGCCCAGGGGAGGACAGAGTAGCCTCTGTAGGCACCTCCAGAAGCCAGGAAAGCTAGTTTGTTTTTTGTTGTTGTTTCTCGGGTTTTTTAGAGAGACAGGGTCTCACCCTGTTGCCCCAGCTGCAGTGCAGTGACACAATCATAGCTCACTGTAACCTTGAACTCCTGGACTCAAGCAACCCTCCTCCTCAGCCTCCCACATAGCTAGGACTACAGGCTTGCACCACCACACCAGCTATTTTTTTTTTTTTCCAAGACAGAGTCTTGCTCTGTTTCCCAGGCTGGAGTGCAGTGGTGCTATCTCAGCTCACTGCAACCTCCAACCCCCGGGTTCAAGCGATTCTCCTGAGTCTTGCTCTGTTTCCCAGGCTGGAGTGCAGTGGTGCTATCTCAGCTCACTGCAACCTCCAACCCCCGGGTTCAAGCGATTCTCCTGCCTCAGCCTCCAAAGTAGCTGGAAGTGCCCGCCACCTCGCCCAGCTAATTTTTTGTATTTTTAGTTGAGATGGGGTTTTACCATGTTGTCCAGGCTGGTCTTGAACTCCTGATCTCAGGTGATCCACCTGCCTCAGCCTCCCAAAGTGCTGGGATTACAGGCGTCAGCCACCGTGCCTGGCCACACCCTGCTATTTTTTAATTTTTATTTTTAAGAGACAGGGTCTTGCTATGTTGCCCAGACTGGTCTCAAACTCCTGGCCTGAAGCAGTCCTCCTGCATCAGCCACCCAGAGCACTGAGATTACAGGCGTGAGCATGCCCGGCCTTGTTTTTGTTTTTGTTTTAATTTCTTATAATTTCATTATGTCACCCTTTCTTATTATTACTTACTTCATGATTGGCCAACTTAGCCAGAAGCAAAGTCCCAGTGAAACTCAGAGGTTGCAGAGATGTCAGAATAGGAGAGAACATGAGGGTACATCATCCTGTTCCTGAGTGGGTCTAGAGAGAGGGAAGTCGGGAAGGAAAAGTAGAGGCTCCAGGGGAAGATGGAAGCAGATGGCAACAATCTGGGGCTCTACAGGGAACAGGAGGAGAAAGGGCATCAGGGTGTTAGCCCTGGACTAGGCATGACTGGGCTGCACATCAGGCTCTTTTCCTTGTAATTGGAGGGAGAAGTGAAGATGGGAGGGAGAAAAACCCAAGACTGGTGAAATGGAGACTCAGGCAGACACTGACCTTCCACAATTGAGGGCACAGGGTGAAGGCTAGCTAGAGAAGGCACAGGCAGAAAGCTGCATGGGAAGAGTGGCTCATTCAGCACTGCAGATGCAGAGGAAGAGAATTTGGCAAGTAGGACGTTTTTTAGAGACAGGGTCTCACTCTGTTGCCCAGGCTGCAGTGCAGTGGTGCAATCATAGCTCACTGTAACCTTGAACTCCTAGACTCAAGCCATCCTCCTGTCTCAGCCTCCCGAGCAGCTGGGAATACAGGCATGCACCACCACATCTGGCCTTTTTTTTTTTTTTTTAAGAAATGGAGTGGGAATCTTTTTTATTATTATTATTTTATTTATTTATTATTATTTTTTTTTGAGACGGAGTCTCATTCTGTTGCCCAGGCTGGAATGCAATGGTGTGATCTCAGCTCACTGCAACCTCTGCCTCCCAAGTTCAAGCGATTCTCCTGCCTCAGCCTCCCACGTAGCTGGGACTACAGACGTGTACCACCATGCCTGACTAATTTTTTGTATTTTTAGTAGAGACGGGGTTTCACCATGTTAGCCGGGATGGTCTCAATCTCCTGACCTTGTGATCGGCCCACCTCAGCCTTCCAAAGTGCTGGGATTACAGGCGTGAGCCACTGTGCCCGGCCTGTAGTGGGAATCTTAATGATTATCATGAGGATGAGAGAGAGAGAAAAGGAATGCCCATCATTCTCAACTTGGAATGGCATGACAGATGAGCAGATTCCCATGGCTCAGAGCAATGGAAAAGGATGGAGAGAAGACCTATTGCATTAAGTTAAGGTGGTCCTGGGTCTCTCTTGGGTAGGGTTCTAATAGAATAATGGGGCTAGAGCCATATTTTGAGAAGTTAAGAAGAGAATAGTAGAGATTTCTATTTTTCTCTCTCTTTTCTTCCCAGGATAAGCATTAAGGTTCCCACACAAGTTGCATTTCTGATACAAATGCCCTACTTGCCATTTAAAACTTAATCCCCATAACTTGCTATAACTTGGGACCAGTACCAAGCTGATATTGTATCGTTAATCCTCCCCTTGGCAACAAAGTTAAAAAAAACAGCAAATTGGCCAGGTGCGGTGGCTCGCACCTGTAGTACCAACACTTTGGGAGGCCAAGGTGGGAGGACCACCTGAGTTCAGGAGTTTAAGACCAGACTGGCCAACATGGTAAAACCCTGTCTCTACTAAAAATATATAAATTAGCTGGGTGTGGTGGCACAAACCTGTGATCTCAGCTACTCAGGAGGCTGAGGCAGGAGAATCCGGGAGGCAGAGGTTGCAGTGAGCCAAGATTGTGCCACTGCACTTCAGCCTGGGCAACAGAGCAAGACTCCATTTCAAAGAAAAAAAGAAAAAGAAAAAGCAAATTGCAAAGCATTGTTTATTGTATGATCCTATTTTTGTTTAAAAGAGTACATGAGGCCGGGCGCAGTGGCTCACACTTGTAATCCCAGCAGTTTGGGAGGCCAAGGCAGGCAGATTACATGAGGCCAGGAGTTAAGAGACCAGCCTGGCCAACATAGTGAAACCCTGTGTCTACTAAAAATACAAAAATTAGCTGGGCATGGTGGCAGGTGACTGTAGTCCCAGCTACTTGGGAGTCTGAGGCAGGAGAATCGCTTGAACCTGGGAGATGGAGGTTTCAGTGAGCTGAGATCGCGCCACTGCACTCCAGCCTGGGTGACAGAGCAAGACTCTGTCTCAGAAAAAAAATAAAAAATAAAAGAAATAAAAGGGTATATGGGGCTGAGTGCAGTGGCTCATGCCTGTAATCCCAGCACTTTGAGAGGCCAAGGCAGGAGGATCACTTGAGCCCAGGAGTTAGAGACCAGCCTGTGCAACATAGTGAGATGCCATCTCTACTAAAAAAAAAAAAAAAAAAAAAAAAAAAAAAAAAAAAAATGCTTTTTAAAGAGTATATATGTGTTTATATGTAGATATGTATCTTTGTATATTATAAACAAAGAAAAGCACCCGGAGGAAGATATATATATCAAATTACAATAGCAGTTTTACTGGTACATGCATATATCACTTTAAATATATGTAGTTTATTATACATTACTCTCCCCCAGCCATAATAAATTATACCAGAGATTATCTCTGATGGTCAGATTATAGTATATTACTTAAAATTCTTTTGGCTGCAAATGACAGAAACTCAGCTGAAACTTCTAAGGCATTAACTGAATTGTCTGGATACTTCTTTAGGCATAGGTGAATCCAGGGACTCAAATTATGTCATTAGGAATCTGCCTCTGCATCTCTTGGATATGCTGGTTTTTTTTATTAGCTTCATTCTCAGGCGGTTCCAGGCCTGCTTCTCATTGGCACAGCATTCAAATGGGAAGAGAGCAGCTCTTTTTCCAAGGGTATCAGCAAAGTCCCGGGGCTGACTCGGGTCATGGTTCACCCCTAAAGTGGTAAATCACTGTGACTGGGGGAAGCCCTATGTTGATTGGCAAGGCCAAGGTCATGTGAACCAAGAGAAGAACAAAGTCACTTTCAAGGTCATCTACGGAAGCCAGTGAACTGCAAGAAGGGGCTGAGCAGTTCCCCAAAGGAAACCCAGGGCCCCTTTGGCAGAAGAGGAGACACAGAACCACAGATGTCCACTCCAAGTGGGCCTCCAGTCTGGGTCATAGATTTCTGTAATGACTGCATTGTTTATAATTAACATACATTTCTCTTGAAATGGCAGGGGGAAAATAAGATTCCCCTCCCCTTTTTGTTCTTTGAGACACTCTGTTGCCCAGGCTGGAGTGCAGTGGCGCAGTCATGGCTCACTGCAGCTTCAACTTCCAAGACTCAGGCAGTCCTCCCCCTTCAGCCCCCGCCAAGTAGCTGGGACCACAGGCATGCACCACCCAGGCCTGGCTAATTTTTAAATTATTTGTAGAGATAAGGTCTCCCTAGGTTACCCAGGTTAGTCTGAAACTCCTGGGCTCAAGCAATCCTCTCGCCTCAGCCTCCCAAAGTGCTAGTTTTACAGGCATGAGCCACTGTGCCCGACCAAGATCCCCTTTTAAACAACTGATTTGGGTTGCCTCTGGTTATGACAATTGAGATAACTAAATAGTGAGTGTTGAGAAAACAGTAGAGCCCAAATCATGTCAGAACCCTTGATCTTAGAGGGCATGGGAGGAACGAACAGTAGCGAGAGGCGGGAATTGACCTTCTCCTTTTCATAGATGATTAAAGGTGTGTATGCCTAAGACCCATGGGGCCATCAGACAGTCTCTGGGGCTCCAGGTCGCTGGAGCAATGCGCCTGGGGTGTTGGGCCTTCGTCAAGGTCAGCCTCCGCCTCTCAGCCTGCTGCGCCGGTGTGTGCTGCACCTGCACTCTCAGTCAGTGCTTCCCTGCATTCCGATATCACACTGCTCTGTTTCTTCATTTCAGGGTTACGCTAAGGACATGGTGACAGACTTTGATGAGAAACATGATGAGTATTTAATATTGCTTCAGCAGAGGAACCGGTAAGAGAAGCCACTCGACGGCAGCCCTTGATATTAGCGAAGTAAAAATCTATTTAGATTTATTAACAGCAGGCAGGCCCTGCCTCACATAGGAATGGGATGCAGAGTCCCCCTCCACTCAGAGGCTTAGAATATTATCTGCAACCCCAGCTCCTATTTCTCCATTCACTGATTTAATTGCATTTTTTGACTGAGCTGTAGCAAACTGCTCGATGTGTAAGTACCGCCTCTTCCCTCCCTGCTCCTATTCTGGGAGAAGATAAGGTTGTCAAAAAAGGCTTGGATTTGGCAGGGCTTGTGCAAGAACCACCTGAAGAGCCCAGTCTGTGATTGTGCAGGCTTTGACAGTCCCTGAAATCTGAGCCTATAATCATGTCGTGTTATGCAAAAATGGAGTCATTTTACATTGGCGTTTGAAGTTGGTCGATAAGTCATTTGAAGTTAAAGTAGGACTGATTTTGTCTCTGGAATGCTTGTTCTTGAAAAAGCTTGCAGTAGGTCCAGTGTGTAGCGATCAAGGTCAAAACATCATGGTCTGGTTTGAAAGAGGCATCATTGCCTTGGTTCCTTTGTAGGGCTGAGGAAGTTCATTTTCAGTTCACCGCAGTTTGTCTTCAGGCCTCAAACTTTGCAATAAGCTGGGGATTTGCAAATTCAGATGCTGGGAGTGGCCAGGCAGTGAGTGGAGCTGGCTCAGTGGAACAGTGGATACCTGAGCTCCTGTCTCCAAGCTGCTCAGCCCAGGCCAGCTGTCTGTGAGACCACAGTTCCCCCAGGTCCTGATCCTCCCAAGTCTGCCAGAGAAGCTGGAGATCTGCATTTGGCCTGTGAAATCTCCTGAGTTTTAAAATGTTGGTAATGAATTCAAGTGAAAGCACAAAGCAAACAGAAAAACAACGCAGGCCCACAGAACTGGTGGGGGGAAGGGGAAGAAAGGGGAATGGGTACGAATGTGGGCCTCTGTGTTATCGGAGTGGGCTTAGGGTCTTGCAGATAACAGAGTCTGGGGTAGGGAGGTGTCATCCTGCATGTGACTTCAGCTCTGGTCTCACTGACTGGACTCAGTGTTATCAACAGGGGCCTTGGTGGCATGTTGCATGGGACAAGTTTTTGTAATCTCACGAATTGCAGGAGTTTAGCATCTCTGCCCACCAGCCCCTTTACTAAATTTCAGTAAGACCCTAAATTCCATCTATGACAGCACCCACCCACTTTCCAGATACCTACCTACTGAGGCAGCACCACCCCTGGTAGAGATCTTCGGAACAGACAATCTCTCCAGGGCCAGCCAGAAACGCCACAACAGTGTCCTCTGTGCCCAGCAGCTCTGTGCTCATCCCCCTCCATCCCCACATCAACCTCAAACTAGAATGGCGAAGGCTTGTGCTGATTAGACCGACGTGGGTTTCCATCATCATTAATGCCACAGAGCAGGATGTTTTTATTCAATCTCTGGCAGACTGGATGGTGCCACTGAACACCTGGGTGATTGTTTAATCATCTGCATGTGACTTGTCTGGGGAGAGGCTGTCACAGTTCCTTATGAACAAATTGTTTCTCATTAATTGGGGGATCAATAAGTGTGCAATCAAAGAGGCACTGGCCAATAGTATAAATGAGAATTTCCAGAGACAAGGTTATAGCACAAAGACAATTAAAAGCTATATCAAAACTGAGTTGCCATAAAATTTGGGGGGACGTGTTGTCACCAAGATGGAGCTGTCGTGATGACAGGAAATTAGAAGGTAGAGCTGGAAAGAAACACCTTCCAGTGGAGACTTGTGAAGAATGGGAATCCCCCTGAGCCATCGTCGGTGAAATCTCAAAGGCACCTTTTGCAGAGTGCCAGCCATATGCCCGGCACCTCAACCCATCATTTTACTTTGTCTGCACACTACCCAATGGGGCAGAGTAACTGCACCCATTTTACAGGCAAGGAAGTGGAGGCTCCGAGCAGTGAGCAACTTGCCCGAGGTCTCACAGCCAGAAAGTGGTGGAGCCGGGCTGGACTCTACGTTTTGCTTGATGTTGTCATAAACAATCAAGAGGAGAAAAAAAAACCTGCCGGATTGCCAGTGGCCCTATGTTAAGTGAGGAGGGGTTTTGTGGGAAGAACTGCAATTTACTTGGAAATCTAGTTATAGGACCAGATAGAAAACTAGCCTCTGAGCTTTACGCTGGACATTGAGGGAGATGAAAACCCAGGCTGCTTATCTGGGTTGTCTGTAACCCGAGAAGGGGGGATGTAATCGTTGGAGTGAGTTCTGAGCAGAGATCTGCCTAGAACACAGCTTCCCATAAGAAGCAGGGCAACATTTTTCTTTTATTCATTTAGCAGGATTTCACTGAGTACCTTCTAAGTGCCTGGCATTGCCATTAATGCAAAGGGAAGCATTGTGATAAGGAAGACACAGACTGTATTAGTATGTTTTGGCTGTAAGAGACAGAAACTCAAAGTAAATGGACTTAAGCAGCTAGGAAACACTGGCTCATGGAATTAAGAAATCCAACATTGAGCTGGGCATGGTGGCTTCTGCTTGTAACCCCAACTATGCAGGAGGCTAAGGCAGGAGGATCGCTTGAGCCCAGAAGTTCAAAACCCCGTCTCTAAAATATTTTTTTTAAATAGCCAGGTGTGGTGGCATCCACCTATAGTTCTAGCTACTCACTACTTAGGAGGCTGAGGTGGGAGGATCACTTGAGTCTAGGAATTCAAGACTGCAGTGAGCTATGATTATGCCACTGCACTCCAGGCTGGGTGATAGAGTGAGACACTGTCTCTAAAAAAAAAAAGAAATTCATCATGATACTCTTGGCCTCAGGCATAGCTACATCCAAGTGTTTAGATTATGTAATCAAAATCGACTATTCTCCATTTTCTATACCCTCGTTTTCCCATATTAGAGCCATTCTCAGGCAGGTACTTCACTTGCAGTGGCCAAGACAGCCAGGAAAAGCCCCTACGTACATCCTACCTAGAAGCATTAGGTATCTTTCCTAATGCTTCCAGCAAAAGTGCTGAGGAAGGTTCCCATTGGCCTGGCATGGGCCCAATTCCATCCCAAGCTACGTTAGGCCATTTTTGCATTACTATAAAGTAACAGCTGAGACTGGGTAATTTATAAAGAGAAAGGTTTCATTGGCTCACGATTCTGCAGGCTGTACAGGAAGCATGGTGCCGCCATCTGCTTGGCTTCTGGGGAGGCCTCAGGGAGCTTGTATTCATGGCTGAAGGCAAAGTGAAAGCAGGCACATCACATGTTGAGAGCAGGAGAGAGAGGGTGGGGGGGAGGTGCCACACACTTGTAAATGGCCAGATCTTGGGAGAACTCACTATCGCAAGGACAACATCAAGGGGATGCTGCTAAACCATTCATGAGAACTCTGCCCCCATGATTCAGTCACCTCCCACCAGGTCCTACCTCGACACTAGGGATTACAATCCAGCATGAGATTTAGAGGGGTCATACATCCTAACTATATACAAGCCAATCACTCCCTGTGTCTGGTGAGATGGCGCAGTCTACTGGCCGTTCCTTGGCCACCCCACTACATTGTGCAGTGGAGTCAGTTTCACCCGGTGGAGTCAGTTTCATGGAGTCAAAGAAGGAATGGTGCTGTACCCAGTGGAGATCTGAGGGGCTCTGTTTGGAAGATGGGGGAGATTCCTGGCCAGGCAGAGAGAGCAGGTGTCCACCACACAGCTCTTACCCTTGAAGAACTCCCCAGTAGTGGCAGGGTGAGCGCAAGGCCACCTATAACTATGACAAAAGAAGCAGAAAGTGATTGTGTGCTCCAGGAGAAGACTGGGGGCAGGGAGTAGGGGGACAGAGTCTGGAGATGTGACAGCCTTGCCTCACTCCTGCAGAAACCCTGCCAGCTGCCTGTCCCAGTGGACTCTGAGTGATTCTTGTCACTCAACCTCATGAAAGAGGTAATCATGCCCGACAAGATTCATAAAAGGGCAGGCGGAGTGATCAAAGGGCTGAGTGATGAAGATCGACTGAGAAGATGAGGGCCCTTGTATCTGAAGAGGTGACAGCAGAGAGGGGCTGTAATATACACCTCTAGACTGCAGGGGGTAGACCCAGATTTGCTCTCCAGGTCCAAGAATCCAGCAATGCTGTGATCATTTGGTCCTTGAGAAAGGTCATTCAAGGGAAACTTACAGGAAAACTTGCCCACAAAAGTGCTGGGCCTGCAGCCCCAGGAGAAGATCCAGGCAGAAAGAAGGAAGGAGAGAACCAGCATCACTGGGGGCCTCACCTGGACCTTTGTCTGAGCCAGCGCTTTAACCCAGTCTATCCTTTTGTCCTCATGGCAGCCCAGGGAGGTGCCGGCATCTTTAGTCTCCTGTTACAGAAGAGGAAACAGACCCCAGGGAGGTTTAGGAACTTGCTCAAGGTCATGCAAGCTGGGGAAATGGTGGAGTCTCTGGCAATGAGCTCCGTCCTCCACACTCACCTCCTCCACCTGCACAGATGCTCTTATGTGCAGCTCTGTGGAGCATCCTAGGTGACCTACAGGTTCTGGGGAGGAATGGCAGGCTTCTTTTTACACCCCTGCCCTCCCTGTCTTCACCCTTCAAGACTGGACTCAAATGCCACCCCCTCCAAGGAGCCCCCAGTTGCGAGCCAGTGCTCTCTCCTCTGACCTCTTCTTGCTCAGAGCCTCTGTGATGCCTGGTGCTAGAGGCAAGAAACAGCAGGAAGGAGCAGGGGAGAGCACAAGCACTGCAGCCCCACGGGCCAGAACTCAAATCCAGGTTGGAGGTTTCCTTGGCTCTCTGGCCTTGGGCAAGTTCATTTCTAAAACAGGCCAACAGAACCTCAGTCCCAGGATCACTGAAGGGTGAAGTGAGACAAGGCCCTTGAAGGCCCATAGCAAGCCCCCTACCCAACCCAGTATTCATCATCATTATCATCATCATCATTATCATCATTCAGTTATTGACTGATTGATTGATTGATTGATTGAGATGGGGGTCTCACTCTGTTGCCTAGGTTGGAGTGCATTGGTGTGATCATAGCTCACTGCACTCTCCAACCCCTGGACTCAAGCGATCCTCTTGCCTCAGATTCCCTAGTAGCTGGGCCTACATGTGCGGGCCACCACATCCAGCTAATTTTTTTAATGTTTATTATTATTATCATCCTTTCGATATAAATGCCTTCTCCCCAAATTGACATCCAGGTAATTCTTGAATGGCTGATCCTTGGGGAAACCCCTCAGGCGACCTGAGATGACCGAGATCTGGAGGAACCATGTGGTTCATCTATAGTGCCATGGCAGCCACACCACTCAGAGACCACTCAGTCATAAGCCTAGTCACAATTAAGCCGCTGCCCTCTGAGAACACAGTGACCTGCCCTTTGTGTTCAAAGGGCCCTTGTGTTCAAAGGGTCCTCATTGCCAGAGGCTCTGCCATTTCCCCAGCTTGCATGACCTTGAGCAAGTCCCTAAACCTCCCTGGGGTCTGTTTCCTCTTCTGTAACAGGAGACTAAAGATGCCGGCACCTCCCTGGGCTGCCATGAGGACAAAAGGATAGACTGGGTTAAAGCTCTGGCTCAGACAAAGGTCCAGGTGAGGCCCCCAGTGATGCTGGTTCTCTCCTTCCTTCTTTCTGCCTGGATCTTCTCCTGGGGCTGCAGGCCCAGCACTTTTGTGGGCAAGTTTTCCTGTAAGTTTCCCTTTGAAACTTTGTGTTCAAAGGGCCCTTGTGTTCACTGGGTCCTCCTTGCCATCTAGGTCCCTGCCCCGGTGGCCCACGAGGAGGAGACTCCTCCCCGAACCACCCCAGCCCCAGCCATGTCAGGTCCCTAGACTGCCTCATCACACCCTGTACTCCCCACTCACTCCTTCACTTCCTCATCTGTGCAGGTGATCCCAAAGGCCAACATGGGCATAAAATGGAAATGATGGGTGTGGTGTGCATCACGTGAATAGTAGCTGTGAGCACTAGGGTATTCATCCATGTCTCCTGCCCCAACTTGAGATCCTTGGGGTCACTTGTTCCAGAAACAGGCATTGAGGCCAGACGCAGTGGCTCATGCCTGTAATCCCAGGACTTTGGGAAGCCAAGGTGGGTGGATCCACTGAGCCTAGGAGTTTGAGACCAGCCTGGACAACACAGGGAGACCCTGTCTCTACAAAAAAAAAATACAAAAATTAGCCGGGTGTGGTGGCACGCACCTGTAGTCCCTGCTACTCGAGAGGCTGAGGTGGGAGGATTGCTTGAGCCCAGGAGATCAAGGCTGCAGTGAGCTGTGATCACACCACTACACTCCAGCCTGGGCACCAGAGCAAGACCCGGGAAAAAAAGAAAAGAAAGAAATAGCCATTGAGAGCTTTCCTCATTCAGCAGGCACCATGGCCCATAGGACAGAGGCTCAGAGTCCAGTGCGGGGGAAGAAGAATAAACAAATACACAGATACATCCATAATATAACATTAGCCAGTGATAGTGTGCCATTGGAAAAAGTTGAACCGGCAAGCCAGTAGAGGGTGGCAGGGCAGCAGGAGGGAAGAGTTCGATTTTAGATAGGGCAGGAGAGGAATCTGATTTATCTGAGTCCCCTCTGCCCAGGACAGCTTTTTATGCAAAGTAGGCTATCAATTTTTAAAAAACACTTTTCTTTGATGCCACCTGGATATTACTGATGCACTCCATTGCAGTAGGGGAGTTCCTTTAGCAATTCCTTTCCAGTCTGAATAATTATCTCCTAATTTATCAGTTTCATAAATCTACATTTTCATAAATCATTCTGCCTAAGGAGGGGCACCCGTGGACTGCCAGTCTCAGATCCTGGATAGCTGGATGCCGTGACTGTTAACGTGGCATCAGAAGGCAGGGAGAGAAGTTGAGGCAGGCTGTCTGCCTGGGTGATCAGATTCCCCACTCTGCCCCGCCACAGGCCTCCCAGGACCTAGGCTCCTGCTCCCTCCCTGGAGACTGACGGTGCCTACATTGTCCCTTGATTGTTTGCTCTTGCAAGCGTAGCTATTGCTGTGTTTGGAAATTGTCTCTTAGTTACTTGTGTTTTTCTTCCGTTTTATGTTGTTGCCCAACAATCAGGCATCTCCCAGGCTTCCAAGGCTGGCAAGAGATAAGCAGCCTGTAATAAATGTTCCTGCCACAATTGGTGAAAAGATGAATGTATCAGCTGCTAAAGAAACATTTAAAAAATAAACAAAGAAATCACCCACAATGCCACCACCTTCCCTCAACAACTCATTTCATGTTACATTTATCACCTTCCACACTGGGTCCACAAACACACAGTTTTCCAACATTACCTTTACTACATATGCCTTTTTCTTTTCATTTCATTTCTTTTCTTTTTTCTTTCTTTCTTTTTTTTTTTGGAGACAAGGTCTCTGTCTGTCACCCGGGCTGGAGTGCAGTGGCATGATCATGTCTCACTACAGCCTCAACCTCCCCAGTTCAAGCCATCCTCCTGCCCCAGCCTCCCAAGTAGCTAGAACCACAGGTGCACGCTACCACGCCCAGTTAATTTTTATATTTTTTATAGAGACGGGGTTTCACCATGTTGCCCAGGCTAATCTCAGAACGCCTGGGCTCAAGCAGTCCAGTCTGCCTGCCCCAGCCTCCCAAAGTGCTGGGATTACAGGCATGAGCCACTGTGCTCTGGCCTCTGTATCATTTTTATTCTGCCTTTTTCATCACCACTCCCCCGCCCCCCACTGAACAGATCACAGTCCCCCATGTTTCTATAGAGTCTTCATAATGATAACATCTGTGTAATAGCAGCTTCCACTTCTCTGGTGTTGGACATTTGGGTTGCTTCCAGAGTTTTGTTATTACTGAACACTGACTATCTTCTTGCCCAGAGTTCATATGCTTAGGAACAATTTGCCGGAATGTGCTTACTGGGCAAAGACCAAACATATGGCATTTTCTATATTTTCATACTACTTCTGAGAAGGTTCTATGAATTACCAGCGATGTCTAAGTTTGCCAGTTTCAACATCATCTTGCTAGCTTTACAAGTTGTCTTCGTTTTGGTGTAGACTCTGGAGCCAAATTGCCTAAGTTTGCATTCTACCCCTGCCACATACTATAATAGCTATGTGACCTTGGGCAAGTTCTTTAACCTTTCTATGCCTTATACTCCTTATCTACTAAATGGAGATAATAAAAGTGATTATGGCCAGGCACAGTGGCTCACGCCTGTAATCCCAACACTCTGGGAGGCCGAAGTGGGCAGATGGTCAGGAGTTTAAGACCAGCCTGGCCAACATGGTGAAACCCTGTCTCTACTAAAAACACACGCAAAAAAAAAAAATTAGCTAGGTGTGGTGGCACATGCCTGTAGTCCAAGCTACCTGGGAGGCTGAGGTAGGAGAATCAGAATCGCTTGAACCCCAGGAGGTGGAGGTTGCAGTGAGCCGAGATCGCACCACTGCACTCCAGCCTGGGTGGCAGTGCGAGACTCCGTCTCAAAAAAAAAAAAAAAAGTGGTTACCCTGTAGGATTATTGTGAAGAGTAACTTCTTCATATCGTTGATCATCATTATTCTCTGACTTTCTGTCTGTGAATTTGTGTCATCATTAAAACTGATCTGTAACCCCACAGTCAATACTTGCTGCATTTTTGCGGTCACTTGCAGACACGTGCAGAGAGGCAACATCTTTAGTCCCCCGATACACACGTTCCCAGCTGATATAGAACAAGGCAATTCTCTGCCTCTCATACTATAAACAAGTGTCCTTTTTGCCTTGTACGTAGTGCCATGTTTTTCACATTTTTGTGCTTTCTGCTGGTGATTTCGTTGCTTAAACTGGCCTTATACATAGTGCAGAAATGCTGTTCAGTGTTCCTAAGCATGAGGCTGTGATATGCCTTATGAAGAAAATACATATGTTAGGAAGCTTTGTTCAGGCATGAGTGATAGTGCTTTTGGCTGTGAGTTTGGTGTGAATGAATCAACGGCGTAATAAGGCATCTTTAAACAGAAACACACATACACAAGGTTCTGTGTTGATTGGTTCATGAAAATGTGAACAAAGACTCACAGGCACCTGACCCTGTATTTCCTCTAGAAGCAGTAGTTCCAAATTCTCTAATTCAGAATTCACGGTGACTTTCTAGACCGCTCGTACTGCGAATAATGAGAATCGACTTTAGGTTTTTAGAACAGAGTTTAGCATACAGTATGCACCTTTTATGTGATTGCTATTATTTTTTAAAATTTAAATTTTGCTAATTTGATTGGCACTTATTTAATTACTGAAGAAGAGGCACACTTGTTGCTAGGTTGGCTGGTTGTCTGTATAAATGTTGTTGATGTAGGAGTGTCTAAAGCTGTGTATAAAATGCAGGCGAGTCTGGCGTCCAATGGAAGCAGTTCTCTGGGGGCTGAAGAAGACACTGTACTCTGCATATGGCAGTGTGACATCAGGATTGGGTAAAGGACCAGGCCCAAGGTGTAAGGATGGGCTTCAGTGAAAGCTAAATTAGGGACCTGGCAACACTCCTGCCTTTTAGCCAAAAGATGTGATAATCCTATTGTTAACCTTGAACCAACGCCTGCATTGATATATTTTTTAACTGCATTAGAATATGACATGATGGCCTTTGAAATATCAGGGGTGAGTGTTTTGAGAACACATCTATTCACTGAAGCAAAACGTTAGCCCACCTGGTCTGACGAAAGCTGTTTTCTGATTTGTAAATGGGTGGTATGAAATCTCTCTCACAAAGCCTGAGAGCCTAAAAACCCCTTTTTGTTACACATCAAACAAAGTTTCACACAAAGTGAAATTGCATAAAATTGGGATCTTTTCAGAAAGCCCAGGCTGTATGATAGCAGTGTGTAAACACACGCCTCCTCTCTGCCTTGGCCAGCACGGGGCATGAACTGGGTGTGTTCTTTTTCGCTAATGTGTATTTGAGCCTCAGAATGAGAGCTGCAGAAACTTCCCTGTAGGGCCCCAAACTGTCTGCCCCTCGTGGCTTCTCTAAGTGGGTAATGGGCCTGTCAGAGGCTGTTTGTAGACAAACAGCTGGGCACACGCCCCCTGGGCTCTGATTAGAGACGCTTCACTGTGGGAACAGCAGTTCACTCCTGGCTTGGGGGTACAGCAGCCCAGACTCTCAAATGATGAGGAGGAACAACCCACCGTTTCTCTTTCAGGATATTAAAGCATTTGAAAAGCAAGGACCCCGTGCAATTGAGGCTGGAGCACTTGGAGCAAGGTTTCTCTGTCTATGTCAACGGTGCCAATTCGGAGCTGAAATCATCACCGCGGAAAGCTATTCACTCTGACTTCTCCAGAAGTGCCTCCCACACGGAGGGGACACACGGTGAGCACAGGCCCTCCAGGCTGAGTCTCAGCTCTGTTAATCAAAATTAATTAGGGGCAGGGTGCAGTGGCTCACACCTGTAATCACATCACTTTGGGAGGCTGAGGCGGGTGGATCACTTGAGGCCAAGAGTTCCAGACCAGCCTGGGCAACATGGTGAAACCCTATCTCTACTAAAAATACGAAAATTAGCCAGGCATGATGGCATGCACCTGTAGTCCCAGCTACTGAGGAGGCCGAGGCACAAGAATCACTTAAACCTGGGAGGCGGAGGTTGCAGTGAGCCGAAATCGCACCACTGCACTCCAGCATGGGTGACAGAGCGAGACTCTGTCAAAAAAAAAAAAAAAAAAATAGGGATTATGGAACCACATCCTGTGCATGTGAACAACGAACACAAGTTAACTACACCCGCATGGCCAGAAAGAGAGCATAAGAATGAGAAAGAGAAATCCTGTTTTATTCCTGTTTAAACTAGTCTTGGCCTCTACTACCCCAGAGCAAAGGCAGCCAAAGCAGTAAATTTCTAGCTTTTACATTTCCTGGGTCTTAAGTCAGTACTTTAAGGAAATGTCTAGGGAAATTTTGGATTATATCTGATTTTTCACTTAGTATGTTTTAACTTTAGTACCTAACCCCTGTGTAATATTTGATTTTACCACTCATTTCTGTATTTAGTTAATCTATACTGTGCATACTTTAAATGGATTTCACGTGCCCTATAAGAAAACCACAGGAAGCTTGTGTGTAATAGAAAAATTCCCAACCCAGCCTAGCATAGACACGGAAAATGATTGGGCAGTTGAATGAATGAAACAGCAGAGCACGTGGAGTCAGGATACCATGGGGAAGCCACTTAGTCTCTCTGTGCCTTTGTTTGCTCATCTTTAAAATGGGACTCAGTTAGACATGGTGGCTCAGGCCTGTAATCCCAGCACTTTGGGAGGCCAAGGTGGGCAGATCGTTTGAGCTCAGGAGTTAGAGGCCAGCCTGGGCAACATAGTGAGACCCTGTATCTGCAAAAAATACAAAAGTAGCTGGGCATGGTGGTGCATGCCTGTAGTCTCACCTACTCAGGAGGCTGAGGCAGGAGGACTGACTGGGCCCGGGAAGTCAAGGTTGCAATGAGCTATGACTATGCCACTGTACTCCAGCCTGGGTGACAGAGCAAGACCCTGTTTCAAAATAAATAAATAAATATTTAAAAAACAATAATAAAATGGGACTGGCGAGACTGCTTATCCCAAGTAGCTGTCAGAATGCCTTTAAGGTAGGCTGCCTTGTTGGAGAGGCCAGTGTGCTACCAAGCAAGTTACAAGAAGATCTGGAATGAGGCAGACTGGATTTGAATGAACCCTGTTCTGCCACTTTCTGGCTTTGAGACCTTAGGCAGTTAGGACCTCTCTGACCCTCAGTTTCCTCTTGCATAAAATGGGAATAATTATGCCCACCTTGCAGGCTTGCTGGGAAGATTAAATGATGTAAGAAATGTAAGCTGTCTGTCACACAGTAACTGATTTGTGTTATTCTAATCTATGGCCTCACAGACATGGTAAGATCCCAAGCCATTAATATATAGTAAAAGTCAAAACAACAACAAAAGGGCAAGAAGAGAAAATGATTCCTGAAATGGTTTCCTAGGAGAGCCACTACAGTTGAACTCAGAGTGTAGCTTGAGCTCCCCAGCCCCCAGGGCAAAGAGGGAAACCAGTGGCTCTCCTAGTTTTCACAGTGGAGGCAGACCTGCTGCTGCTAGTAAGGAGAATTCAGCTTTTCCTGGTCCAGGTTTCAGGGAGGAACAGATAACAGGATTCTGTGTACTTGGAACACCAGCAGTACCTTCATTCATTCATTCATTCATTCAGCAAAGAGATTCACCCTCTACACTCTTTTACACAAATGGTGACCTCTTGTACCTACTGTCCTGAACCTTGTCTCTGTAGCTTAGAGACTCTTCTCTGTATATACAGACCTGCCTGATCCGGCCATATATTATACATATTATTCCATGGCATGGATATATATACTGGAACTTATTTACCCATTCCTTTTTTGCTCAACATTTAGCTTGTTTTCTGATGTCTTGTTGCCACAACCACGCTGTAGTCAATGTCCTCATACACAAGACTTTGGGCACACTGATACGCATTTTAGACATGAGTTACAAACCAACCCAGTACTGTGAGCTTGTCATCAGTGCCTCACCAAGTCTCCTTCCCTCGTCTCTGGTGCAGATTATGGACGAAGAACTCTGTTTCGAGAAGCTGAAGAAGCCTTAAGACGCAGTTCACGGACAGCCCCCAGTAAAGTCCAGCGCCGAGGATGGCACCAGGTCTGGAGACTGTGGCCCCAGCCCACGCTTTAGAATACAGAGTGTGGGTGGCTGTGGGAATAGAAATACAATCAGAGCATTTAAAACCCCCATGGGCCAGGCACAGTGGCTCCTTTATGCAATCCCAGCATTTTGGGAGGGTGAGGTGGGAGGATCACTTTGAGCCCAGAAGTTCGAGACCAGCTTGGGCAACAAAGTGAGACTTCATCTCTACTAAAAATAAAAATAAAAAATTCGCCAGGTGTGGCAGCACGTACCTCTAGTCCCAGCTACTCAGGAGGCTGAGGTGGGAGGATTGCATGAGCCCAGAAGTTTAAGCCCGCAGTGAGCTACAGTTGCACCACTGCACTCCAGCCTGGGCAACAGAGCAAGAGCCTGTCTAAAAAAAAAAAAAAAAACACCCTATGGGGAGTAGGTGGGTCTGGCTGGGCATGGTAGTGTGCCCTTTCTGCATGTGGAACTGACCTTTGGAGAGACCGCTCTGCTGCACGGCCCTCCCCTTTGGATGTGGCCACTCCAGCCCCACTTGGGGGTATAGGAAGGTCAGACTCAGAGTCCCATCATGATGACTCATTCATTCAGCTATTTTTTTATTGAGTACCCACTATGTGCCAGGCACAGTTCTGGATGTCAGGGATACAGTGGGTGCATATGACAAAGCCCCTGCCCCATGGAACTGAGATGCCATTTTGGGTTGCAGCTGGTGTGCTGATGTCAGGAGCTTGCATTTTGGAGCATCTACCCCAGGTACCACACGTAGGCTCAGCTCCCATGTAACTCGTCTCCTTTGCCCTCCCAGCAGAACTGTAGAGTATGTTCCAATATTGTCCCTCTTTATAAGGAGCTGAAGAGATGGAGGTTCAGAAAAGTTCAGTGAGTTTTCCAAGGTCAACAGCTAAGAAGTGGCAGAATCAAGAGTCAGTCTTAGATCTTTTGCCCCAAATTCTGTGTTCTTGCTCATATAGTTCTGGATATTTTACCTCATAGTCACTCATACCTTACCGGGGACCAGCAGGTCCCAGCCCCGTCAAATGAAGAATGACGAGGTTCACACACTTGGAAAGGAAAGCTTTATTTCTCAGAAAGGGTGGCAGCCTCCCTCCCGGGTGGCCATTCCGGCAGGCTAGGAAACACAGCCTCAGGCCAGAAGCCAGAAAACTGCACTTTGAAGTTCAGAGGGATAAGACGGATTTATGCTGAATAGGTGGCGCAATATACATATTCAGTAAGCTGTAGGAGGAGTTATGAATATTTATGAAAGGAGAAATATGCGCATGTGCAGTTGAGCTTCATGCCTCTCCATGGATCCCATCGTCAAAAAATGGCGGCATTAGCAGGATCTGAGGGTGGAGGTTTTGGCCTTCTGATGTCAAAAGGCGAATCGGGAGACACGGAAACCCTCACTGTGCATCCTCTATAGAGGGGTCAGAACCACTCCATGGTCAGTGGTCCCTTACCAGGAAGAAATGCTGGTCAGTTGTGTAGTAACCACAGAAGGGAGGGGCAGCAGGCAGGCTGGTTGGGAGGGGCAGCAGGCTGTTGGTTGATACCAGTGGTGGAGTCTTTGAAAAGGGCTGATTTCTTTCTTTTTTTTTTTTCTTTTTTTGAGACAGAGTCTCGCTCTGTCACCCTGGGTGGAGTGCAGTGGTGTGATCTTGGCTCACTGCAACCTCTGCCTCCCGGTTTCAAGCGATTTTCCTGCCTCAGCCTCCCAAGTAGCTGGGATTACAGGTGCCTGCCACCACACTCGGCTGATTTTGTATTTTTAATAGAGACTGGGTTTCACCATGTTGGCCAGGGTGGTCTCGAACTCCTGACCTCAGGTGATCCGCCCGCCTCAACCTGCCAAAGTGCTGGGATTACAGGCATGAGCCACCGCGCCCGGCCGAAAAGGGCTGGTTTCTTTTTAACCCTTAGAAAAGAAAGCCTCCTGGCGGTTAAGGAGGGAGGGGATATAATGAGGCATGTCTGGCCTCCCGTCCCATCATTGCTGGGAACTCAGTTGTAAGGTTTCTCTGGGGTCCCCTTGGCCAAGAAGGGGTTCATTCAGTTGGCTGGGATCTTGAGATTTTCTTTTTATTTCTCAGCCCTGACTGTACATTTAAATGGCCTAGGGAGGTTTTAAAATATAGATGCTCAGGCCCCACCCCCGGAGATTCTGACTTGCTGAGGCTTAAGCAGTGTTATTTTTTAAATTACTGTAATTTTTTCTCTTTAAAATTTATTTTTGTACTATATTTTTTATTTTTTTATATAAAATAAAAATTTAAATACATTTTTATTTATTTTTATATATTTTTTATTTTTTTTTTACTTATTTTTATTCACTATATTACCCAGGCTAGTCTTGAACTTCTGGCCTCAAGTGATCCTCCTGCCTCGGCCTCCCAAAGTGCTGAGATTTCAGGCATGAGCCTCCACGTCAGGCCTGTTGTTATTTTTTAACTTGTGTTCACCAATATTGGGAACTACTACCACATACGATTTCACACTGTACTAAATGTATGGGTCTATAGTTAAATGCTTTCATACCCTTTATCAGCCCACCCACAATAATCCTGTAGGTCAGAAAATGTCCTCATTGTGCTACTGAAGAAATCAAGGCCAAGAGAGGTAAGGTGACTTCCTTAGAGTTGCATAGCTACTAAGGAAGAGGGCAGGCTGGGATTTGAACTCTGGGCTGTGGTTATAAACCCAGTGATCTTTCTGCCTCCCCACAGGGGCATCTTCAAGTCATTGATTAACTGGGGAAGGGTGTCCCTGCCTGATCTCAGTGCTGAGGAGCAAGGCCTGGAGGACACACAGCCTGGAGGCCTCCTTTTGTCCCCTGCAATGAATATTAATTTGTTGCTAATGAGGCCTTTCTTCACTTCTCACTTAAGACAGTTCTTCTACTTGTTTTGAGAGCCTTCTATTATCAGGAGCCATATTTGTGTCTTAGATTGTGGCTTAATAGCTGGCCCTAGAGTCTGTGCAATTTAAAAAACTTGGCCTAAGATTAATTAGCATCCTCCTCAGTCTCTCCTTGTGGTCCCACACTTCACAGGGCCTAATCATAGCTAATTTCCTGATTTCCTGATGCCTCGAGGGCTGTAATTGTCCTTCTACACTGTATCAGTCAGGGGTCAGTCAGTGCCTAACAGCAGAGACCACTCAGGCTATTTTAAGCAGAAACAAATGCAGTGCAGGGAGTCGGGTGCTTACGAAGTCCTTGGGCTAGCATGAGGAGGGGACTCTGGGCTGGGCCTCTAGGAATGGTGCCTCAAAAGCATGGCCACTTAGCCTGGGCCTGCCAGGAGAGCGGCTGCCTAGGACACCATTGGGAAGGTGGGGTATCAGCATCAGGAAGGTGTCACCTTAGCTGCAATCCAGGAATCAGGGAGTTACTGCCCCAGCTGTTGGCCTCAGAGTGACTCCATGCCTGCTGGGACAGCGCTATGAAGACCCTGCCCCGCAGCCTGGCTAGCCAGTCAGGAACATTATGGAAGAACTCCATGCCCTGTGCTTAGCACTGAAACAGCCAACATCTATCCCCCTCCTCTCCTCACCTCACTTCTGCTTTCCCTGGCTCGTGTGAGGCCATCTGATTGGCTGAACCTAAATCACACCCAGAACCCAAGCCAAAATGTAACCATAATAGGTCCATTGCACGATGCTGGCAAGTCTATACACATAGACCCTGGGTTTCAGCAGAGAGAGAGATTTAATTGTAGGGCCGCCAAACGAGGAGATGGAAGGAAACCTCAAATCTGTCTCCCGGAGGAGTTTGGGGCCAGTGTTTTTAAGGGTTTTGGAGTAGGCTGATGTGTGGAGATCATTGATTGGTGGAAGAGTGCAGGGGGAAGTCACGGGACAGGGAGATGAAGAAGCTGTGTTCTCACGCAGATCCCGTTCTTCTGTGGGGGGCCTTCAAACTGGCTAGCGTGAGTTGTTTTGCTGGAATTTAAGATCTGAAAAACATCTTAAGCAATTCTTAAACAAAAGCCTTAATGATTCTACAGTCAGAAATCTATAAGGAATAATGGGAATGCTAATGGTCAGTATCCAGTGAATTTCAGTTACAAGGAAGTGGGTCAAAGTGCAGTGATTAATGCTGAATTATAACTATATTCTGTGAGAATTCTTGTTAACCCTGTGAGGACAGCTTTAGAAAGGGAGTCTGGGAAATGCAGTATTTGGCTTTCTGGCCTCTACCCCACAGAAAGGCTCCCCAGGAGGAGTGTGGGATGGGTACCGAGAGCCGGCCCCCTCCAGTCTAGAGCATGGACTCTGCTCCACACACCCAGGCTTTTGGGAACCAACCTTAAAGATAGACACAAACCAGGGAGCATTCAAAAGTGGTGAATGAACTACATGTGTCATGAATGAAATCATCTGTTAATTTAACAGACATGTATTGATACCCAGCAGGGCCCAGGCACTGTGCAAGGCTCTAGGGTTCAAAAAAAAAAAAAATTCAAGAAGGCTCAGTTCCTGCCTTTGAAGCTCGGGCTGTGAAGACATGGGGACTGCTTAACTGGGAGGAGGGTGTGACACCTGACTTCAAATACATGGATGGCGGGCCTGGCGGGGTCCAGAAGTTAACCACTTGAAGCCTGTGGGTCAAACTTGCCCCCAGATAATGGTTGTTGGGCTCATACAGCTTTTAAAAGACTTTTCGAAGCTTGCCAACATTTAAATTAACAAGATTTTATATTAAAAATATATCTAGCCAGGTGCAATGGCTCATGCCTCTAATCCTAGCACTTTGGGAGGCCGAGGAAGGAGGATCACCTGAGCTCAGGAGTTCAAGACCACCCCAGGCAACATAGTGAGTCCCATCTCTACTAAAAATAAAAAAATTAGCCAGGCATAGTAGCGCACACCTCTAGTCCCAGCTACTGAGGAGGCTGAGACAGTTAGGATCGCTTGAAGCCAGGAGTTCAAGGGTGCAGTGAGCCATGACCGCACCACTGCACTCTAGCCTGGGGGACAGAGCAAGACCCTATCTCAAAATCAAAAATCTAGATCTCTTCTTCCCTGGAAAAAATGGAAAAGTCTGGCCCCCACGCTGGGCCATCCTCCTCCCCACTAGGCAGCCAGCAGCAGGAGCCAAGTCCAGCTACTGCCTTTGGATAGGGCATGAGCTTTCCTGTTTGCCAAAGTCCCCACCACTCCCCAGAGCTTCAGTGGTGAGGCTGAGTGGTAGCTGTGGTTTATTATCAGATTTAGGCTATGATTTCTCTTATCTCGTGTTTCCATTTCCCGTCTGGTTCTTTGGGGCATTTGAATTTGTAGCCCCTGGAGAGTGGAAGGAGTAGGCTTTGGACTGCTCACTGGCTGTGTGTCCTGGAGCTGGCTGTGTAACCTCTCTGAGCTATGTACGTGTAACCTCTGTGAGCTGTGTGCCCTGGAGCTGGCTGTGTAACCTCTCTGAGCTGTGTGCCCTGGAGCTCTCTGTGTAACCTCTCTGAGCTGTGTGTCTTGGAGCTGGCCATGTGACCTCTCTGAGCTGTGTGCCCCAGAGCTGGCTGAGTAACCTCTCTGAGCTGTGTGTCTCGGAGCTGGCTGTGTAGCCTCTCTGAGCTGTGCACCCCAGACCTGGCCATGTAACCTCTGTGAGCTGTGTGCTCTGGAGCTGGCCGTGTAACCACTCTGAGCTTTGGTTTCATCATCAATGAAACCTCCCAGGGCTGCTGGAGGGGAGCATGTGCAGCGTGCATTACAGGTGGTCTCAGCAGGGGCTGCCTGCTGCTTCAGGTGGGAACAGGTGACAGACAAGTCCAGAGGAATGGCTAAGAGCATAGACCCTGGAACCTTCCAGCAGCCCCAGTGCAAAGCCTTGGCTCCGCCTCCTGCCAGCTGCACAGTGGCTAAGACGCTTAACCCCTTGGTGCCTGCGCTCTCATTTGTCATGTGAGGTTGGTAATGGTAATTAATGAGGGCAATTAATGAGGATCAGTGGGGTCTGTGTTTGGAGAGAAGCTGAAGCAGTGCCTGGCACAGGAGAAATAGTGAATGGTGCTGCCTGTTGTTGTTTTAATCACAGAGGGGCAGATGGGGAGGGCAGCTCAGCCTGGAGGCCTCAGGGCTCTTCACTCTAGTATGTTCCTTTGCTCACTCATACTTTACTTCTTTCATTCCGTGCTCATGTATTGAGCACATACTCAGTTTTGGCACTTACAGATGCCGGGTTCCAAGCAATAAGTGAGGCCAGCCCTGCTCTCCTGGAGCTCATGTTGATGGGGAGCGGGTGGGGAGGTTGGGAAGGCAAAGGACCAAAGGCAAGCAAGGGAGTCGGAAGACAGTGCTACGAAGGAAGGACAGAGGACAGCAGCCTGAAAGAGAAGCTGTCGGGGGAGCGCTCCTTCAGCGAAGGTGGGCAGCACAGCCTCCCAAGGGGCCGCATCGCAGCCAGGGCCTGAGAGTTACCTGGAGCCAGCCCCGGAAAGATCTGTGGCTGGGGGAGGCTTTCAGGTGAGGGGACAGTGAGAGCAGCGGGCACTGGGCACAGGCTGAGAGGAGGCAGGGCGATCAGGACAGGGTGGCAGAAAGGGTGGGGATGAGGGTGTCAGGGTTGCAAGTAGGAAGAACCGGCCATGCAGGGCCTAGAAGACCACAGGAGGAAGTTTGGATTTCAATCTAAATGTGAGAATTTCCAAGAGGGTTGAAACAGTAGAGCGCCACGTTTGGGTTCATATTTTGGGTTCATGTGTGCAGAAAGGACCGCCCATGGGAGCAAGGGGCTACAGGAGGACCAGGAAGCCTTTGAAGCAGGGCTACGTCTCTCTCCACCAACCTTCCCCAGCCCCCGTCCTTGCACTTCTGTTCCCTGTCCCTGAGCTGCCGCCAACTCGTAGCTTCAGTGTTCCCCTGATCCATCGTGCCTTCTCCACACACGGTTTTACACTCCCTCCATATTTGTTAGTTGAAAGTTTCCAAGACAGAGACAGTCTGAATCTCTCAGCTCATCCCTTTCTCAGGGCATGGCCTGGGCTGCTGCTGCTTAGCCTGGATGAGGCACCCCCTCCTACCTCCATCGGCTATGACTAGAGCCCCTCAGAGACCAGTTCATTTGGTGCAAACCCTGCCTGCCCTGGCCACATGAGCAGGAACCATGAGTCCTATAGCTTCTTGTCAAGAAGGCTGGAGGTAGCAGAGTGAATAGACTGGGGGTGCCAGCTATACCATTATTACCGTCATGAGGAAGACAGGCTGGATTGGTTTGCTCTGGCTCCAAGAAGTGGAGTTAAGTCCAAAGTTTCTCCATGGTAGACAGTCCATGGAGACAGAGTCTTGGGTCCATGGGATGGAGAGGAAGACAATCTTTCTATCCTAACCCTTTTGGATGGGCTCCTGCCATGCTTAGGGGCAGCCAAGGTAGGCAGAGTGGTCAAGGCAGCCAAGTCCCCAGTGGCCAGTGGCCAGTTCTCAAAAGCTGCTCCACCAAGAGAGGGACCACAGTCCTCTCCCGGTCTTGGGGTTTCACTTGTAGGGCCATGCCAACCAGGAGGTATCAGTGGGGCCACACGGTCGCCTTGTGTATTCACATTGGTCAGCAGGGGACACCGTGGTGGGATGCAGTGGTCCCAGTGCACAGTGAGCACCTGCAGTCCCAGCCTTATTCACAGTCCACACAGCCCCCTTGCCTCCCCATTCACCCTCTGTACTCTCCTCCTGGCTGTCTTGCTGGATTTTTTTTTTTTTTTTTTTTTGAGACAGGTTCTTGCTATGTAGCCCACACTGGTCTTGAACTCCCGGGCTCATGCGATCCACCCACCTTGGCCTCCTAAAGTGCTGGGATTAACAGACGTGAGCCACTGCGCCCAGCCCTGAAACTCTCTTGAATCACACACCCTGTTTCTACTGACCAAGCCCAATCCATTCACCGCCTCCAGGAGAACAGGTTTCTCTTCTTACGGTCTCACCCAACAATAAGAAAGCACATTTGGGTAGAGCTGCCCTGACAGGAGGGGCTGCGTCAGGTACACTGGCCTCCAGATCCCTTGACCAGAAGGTCACAGAGTCATCCCAACTCTGGCTCCTGGCCAAGAAGCCGATGACTTCCACCTGTAAAACCCTTCCCAAGCCCCTCAGATTCCTGGGGGTTTGGGGAGGATCATGGCGATGGCTGTGTTGGGCTCCCGAGCTGCCACCTTCCCTGTGGAATGGGCTGGTGGTGATGTATGGCCTCTTGTTCATACTGTCCTTTTCCCCCCACCACTTCTGGGCCTTAGATCTTTATGCTGCTATCTGTGGATTAAGATTTATGGCTTCCTCAGCCTTGTAATACTTGGGTGGACAGCGGCCTAATCAACAGAGCCGTCGTTTACCAAAATGCTGTCAGATTTGATGAACGTCATCGGCTCTTAGCATTAAATTGCTAGTGAAGGGATTGGCCTTCCAGCAATTTACTGTGGGGTGGGCGTTCCTTAAAGGTCTCTAAAGCAAGTTCATTGCAATTATTAAAGCAGAGGCTTTGCTCTCACTCAGCCACCATATCCTGTGTCCTGTTGTGGCCTGTGCAGCTTCAGCACCTTCAGAAAATCTCACAAGTAAAAATGGGAAGTGTTGGGGGCCCTGTCTCTTGTTATCTTCCTTCTGAGTTCTGAAACCCTTGCAGTGAGGACGACAAATGAAACAAGCCGTAAAGCATTGGCCTTTCCAGTGACCTTGCACAACACAGACTGTCAGAGTGGGGAGCACTGCTATTTCTAAGAGATCAGACAAATCAGGGATGAACACATCAAGTCAGCCGGACCTCCCAACCCTAGACCTACCTTTGTCAGTGTTTTAGAGCTCTCGTACCTCTAGAGGGAGCCATTTGCATACTGCACAACCCACACAACCATATGGGGCAGCCCCCAGCCTTGCTCTTTTTTTCTACTTGACAATAAGCTTTAATGCACACCTTTTAAAACAGTTTGCGAAGAGGGGTGGCAGATATGAACAAATAACTCTAGGCATGAACTGGGCTGAGTGTGGGCCAGGTATGAAATAAGCTGGCCTTGGGTTGCAAAAAGGAACATGGATTTGGGGATGTCACTGCTTTTAAATCCTCCTCCCCCATATGATTGATACTGCAAGGGTCTACCCAGGTCTGGGTGCTGCAAGTAGGCAAGAAAGAGCAGCCGCTTTGAAACACCCACTCAGGTACAGCAGCGTGCCAAGCGGGGAGCTAGCCAGGTGCACAGTCATCATCCCTTGCAAGGGCGTGGAGGTGGGAGGCAGGGAGCCATGCACGGCCTGGGGGGCTGGGTTGGAACCTGCCAGCCTGGGCTGCTCACTGGAGGTGAGCCTTCCGTGTGGGCAGGGCTGCTTTCAATCTCCTCCCAGTGGTGGCAGAGGAGCCTCCCTGGGGCTGGGGGCGGGAGAGCAGGCCAGATGGAGGGACTATTTATTCCCCTCTCCAGCACCCACTCAACATTAGAAACTCTTTCTGGACCACATTAATTTTGTCACATGTTGCTTCATAAACACATTCTCCCATTATGTGTGCTGTGTGACCTCCTTGAGGGCAGGGCATTGGTTTTTAATTTTTTTTTTTTTTTTTTGTATCTTCCTGTGTTTTCAGAACCTTGTATGCAGTCGGCGCTCAGTAAAAGCTTGCTGATTCAGTGCCTTAATGCCGACTGCAAACCTGGGTCCTGACACCTCTGCGAGGTGAGCAGTAGTGCTAAAGGGAAGACGGGAAAACCACAGACGAGAGAGAGGCCGGGCGCGGAGGCTCACGCATGTAATCCCAGCACTTTGGGGGGCCGAGATGGGTGGATCACCTGAGGTCAGGAGTTCGATACCAGCCTGGCTAACGTGCTGAAACCCTGTCTCTACTAAAAATACAAAAACATTAGCCGGACATGGTGGTGAATGTCTGTAATCCCAGCTACTCGGGAGGCCGAGGCAGGAGAATTGCCTGAACGCGGGAGGCAGAGGTTGCAGTGAGCTGAGATCGCGCCATTGCACTCCAGCCTGGGCGACAGAGTGAGGCTCTGTCTCAAAAAAAAAAAAAAGGAGAGAGAGAGACCTGGGCTTTCCTTGAACATTAGAGCTCTCTTTCATGCTTTCAGTTCAAATCCAAGGCTAGCAGAATTGTTCATCCCGATTCTTGGTTATCTTAAGTTCAGGCACGTTTGGGTCCAGGAGCTCAAACGATATAATGACCTATTCTTCATCTCTCAACCCCCCCTGTGCCCCATGTGGTACCAAGACAAGCCACCAGCAGCTGCCCACTTAGGTTCCGCCACCCTGCTACCACATCTCTTCCATGCCCCAGAACCAGTCACCCAATCACTGGGGGGACAGGGGAATCGCATGCTCTGATTGGCTAGGCCTGGGTCACGTGCTTCCACCCCTTGGGAGGACTCAGTGCCATGTGAACCTCTTAGGGCCCGGGCAGGAAGTGGGGAGCAAGACACCATCTCAAAAAGCGAAAACAGGGTGCTTTTACCAAACACAGGGGAGTATGTGCTGGACAGGCAGAAGCAACGGCTTCCACCACAAAGCCTTGTCGATCTCCTGATCTTATGCTATTGGAAATTGAATGTGCGTGCGTGTAAATGACCTGGGATACTGCTCAGGTTTACATTCTGATTCCCAAGGCAAAGGAGGGGCCTGGAATTCTGCATTTCTCACAAATTCCCAGGAGATACCAATGCTGCTGGTCCGTGGACCACACTTAGAGTAGCAGGGCCCTAGTCCAGGCCCCCTTTTTCTGGACAAAGGACTAGAAACCCATGGGGAGGCCAGGCCGCACCCTAGGCCCTGGCCGGTGCTGGTGAGTCAGGCAGCTCCTCAGGCCTGGGCCCCGTGCCCCGTGGTCCCTCCTCCTTGCCCCTTCTCGAGCCATCTCTTCCCCGGCTAGAAGGCCTCCTGGTATTTGGATGTAAATTGAGTAGTTTCTGGGGAGGAGGGAGGAGCATGCTCTCCTGGGAGGTATGGTAGAAAATTGCGGCACTATTCACAATAGCAAAGACTTGGGACCAACACAGATGTCCAACAATGATAGATTGGATTAACAAAATGTGGCACATATACACCATGGAATACTATGCAGCCATAAAAAATGATGAGTTCATGTCCTTTGTAGGGACATGGATGAAGCTGGAAACTATATGTCCTTTGTAGGGACATGGATGAATGCTGGAATCATTCTCAGCAAACTATCGCAAGAACAAAAAACCAAACACCGCATGTTCTCACTCATAGGTGGGAATTGAACAATGAGAACACATGGACACAGGAAGGGGAACATCACACACCAGAGCCTGTTGTGGGGGGCCTGCTGTGGGGCCTAAAACTTAAAGTATAATAAAAAGAAAAATTCAAATCAATGATGAACTTCAAAGCCGTTACAGCTTCATCCCAGTCGAGGTAGGAAGACCTCCAGGAATCTCCGGGCCTGGAAACCCCCGGTTTTGGTTATATGTTCCGGGTAGTGCTTTCCCTCCACAGCCCTAGCGCCGAGGGTAACACATGTGCTAAGACCGAGTTGATAGGGCCTGGGAGGAAGCTGCGCCATATGTGGAGCTGGAACCCAGGGCAACATGGGACACCAGGGAAGTTCTCTAATCCCAGTCCAAAGGCCTCTATAGCCCAGGCTGGACACATTGTTTTTTAATTTTTAAAAAATTTTTTTTTTTTTTTTTTTGTGGAGACAAGGTCTCACCGTGTTGCCTAGGCTGCTCTCAAAATCCTGGCCTCAAACAATCCTCCCACCTCAGCCTCCTGAAGAGCTGGGATTAGAGGTGTGAGCCACCACACCCAGCCCAGGTGGGACACATTTATTCTTCAACACGCCTGCTGGGGGCAGTACAGCATGGTGATTTAGAACAAGAGTTCATCCACAACTACAGCCCTTGGGCCAAATCTAGCCTCAGCCCGTATTTGTAAATAAAGTGTTACTGGAACACAACCGTGCCCATTTCTTTAGTCATTGCCTGTGGCTGCTTTTGAGCTGCAATAGGATTGCTGAGTATCCTAACAGAGACCATATAGCTTGCAAAGTCTAAAATCCTTCTGGCCCTTTACAGGAAATGTTGGCCCATCTTTGGTTTAGTGTCAGGCCTGTGATTAGGCTGTGCAACTTCCTCGCTGTGTGGCCTTGGGCAAGTGGCCTACACCCTTGTGACTCAGTTTCCCCCTTGGGTTGCTTTGAGAACTAAATGAGCGGCCAGGCACAGTGGCTTACACCTGTAATCCCAACACTTTGGGAGGCCAAGGCAGGTAGATCACCTGATGTCAGGAGTTCAAGACCAGCTTGGCCAACTTGGCAAAGCCCCGTCTCTACTAAAAGTACAAAAATTATCTGGGCCTGGTGGCGGGCACCTGTAGTTCCAGCTACTCAGGAGGCTGAGGCAGGAGAATTGCTTGAACCCAGGAGGCAGAGGTTGCAGTGAGTCGAGATCACCCCGCTGCACTCCAGGCTGGGTAACAGAGTGAGACTCTGTCTCAAAAAAAAAAAAAAAAAAAAAAAAAAAGAACTAAATGAGTGAATGCACCTGAGTGCTTGGAGTGGCACCCAGTGACATGGCACGTAGTGTGAAAGCGTTGATGGGTGAGCGGGGCATTGTGAACTTGGATCAGAAAGGAGTTCTGTCCAAACTACTAGAGTTTGGTAGGTCAGTAAGACTCTGACATCATTTTCTTCATCATCTAGATAATCCTTATGTTTACTAAACCTGCAGGGAATTGAATATTACAAGGGGTGAAAGGTTCTAACCCCAGGGCTTCAAGGGAAATGCATGCCCTAATTACCACCACCACCACCACCCCTTTTTCTTTTTTATTTATTTATTTTTTTGCTGCTTCTAGGACCAGTTCTAGGAAATTGCTTTTTCTAGGGCCAATTCCTCCCTAGTCCATCTTCCAGAGACATAATCTTTTTTTTTTTTTTTTTTTTTAAGCAGGGTCTTACTCTGTTGCCCAGGCTGGAGTGCAGAGGTGCGATCTCGGCTCACTGCAGGCTCCACCTGCCAGGCTCAAGCGATTCTCCTGCCTCAGCCTCCCGAGTACCTGGAACTACAGGCACACACCACCACACCTGGCTAATTTTTGTATTTTTGGTAGAGACAGGGTTTCACCATGCTGGCCAGGCTGGTCTCGAACTCCTGATCTCAACTGATCCGCCCTCCTCAGCCTCTCATAGTGCTGGGATTACAGGCATGAACCACCGCGCCCAGCCAAAGATGTAATCTTGATCATGCCGTCCCCAGCCCCTCTTAGCTCCAGAGCCTCCTATAATAACAGCCCTCGTGGGCATCTGGCTGGGTGCCAGCCCCATTCACAGGCTCCCACGGAGACCTTGTCTCTCAATTTCCTCCTGCATCATTTTTCTTTTAGTCACTTGTCCTTCTCTGAGCCCTTCTTTGCTCACTTTTTCTTTAGAGCCAGGATCTCGCTTTGTCACCCAGGCTGGAGCATAGTGACGTGATCATAGCTCACTGCAGCCTCGAACTCCTAGGCTCAAGTGATCCTCTTGCCTTGCCCTCCCAAGTAGCTGGGACTACAGGCACGTATCACCACGCCCGGCTAATTTATCTATTTATTTTTTTAGAGATGTGGTCTCACTATGTTGCCCAGACTGGTTTCAAACTCCTGGACTCAAGCAGTCCTCCCATCTCAGCCTCCCAAAGTGCTGGGATTACAGGCAAGAGTCACCTTGCCCAGCCCCTAAATACCCTTGAGTACCCCTTTTGTGAGTCTTGGAGTTCATGCACATACTCTGTGTCCTGTTCTATCTTTCAGTAACAGGGCCAGGAGAGGGTGAGGTAAGTAAGGCACCTGGAGCAGAATATTAAAGGAGGCCTCATGCTCAGATTTGTGCATGGACAGGTTGGTGCCTGAGAGTGAGACTCCCTTAAATATCACACCCTGGGCACCTTGCTCCCCTCAAGCCAGCCCTGGCCCTGCTTACTGAGTCCAACACAGCCAGCTTTACCTGTGGCCTTGGAGCAGGTGGCAGTTTCTCTGGTTCACTACCAGAGGACATGGTTGGCTGGCTTTTGGGGGCTATGCCGAATGAAACATACACCTGAGAGGCAGTCTGGTGACCTGTGCAGAGTTGATGCCGTGTAAATAGGTACAGCCCTGTGGTGCTGTGTGCCAAAGCCCCAGCCGAGGGCTCACCTGCGTCACTGCGTGTCATCTTTGTGGCAGCTCTCTGATGAAGATTCATGAGTGGTGTCTTAACAGATTTGGAAACCGGGCTCAGGGAGGCTAGATGACTTGCTCAAGGTCACACAAGGAGTAGGCATCAGAGTTCCAGGAATCACGTAGCATGCCGGAGTCTAGAACCTGGGCCCTTCACCACACAGGAGCCACGGTAACAGAAACACAAAAGTAACAAGTGCCCAGAGTGGGTTAGCAAGTGGGATGGAGTTGAGCTGCTTGCAACAGAAACTAGATTGCTGCATCTTAGAGAACATGGCTCCTGTTTTCCTCATTTGTGAACAGTGCATTTGGAGGCAGGCTGGTGGCATGGGTGGGTGGTGCCACCAGTAACCCAGCTTCTCTGTTGCGCTGGGCCATCTTTGGTGTGTGGCTTTCTTCCTCATTCTCACAAGATGACTGCTGTGTTCCCAAACATCCCATCCACATTCCGGTCAGGAAGAAGGGTAGAAGGGTAAAGGGCAGAAGTCCTGTCTGCACTGAGTCTCTCCTGATTACCAGGAAAACAGAGTTTTCTCTGAAGCTCTGCCTCGTAGACTTCTAACCACTAGCATTGCCACACCTGGATCTCGTGGCCATCCCTAGCTGCAAGGGCCCCCAGCAATGTGACCGTCTTAGTGGGGCACATGGCCACCTCAGTAGAGTCAGGCAGCTGACAGATACCAGGTAGGCAGAGAGCATTGTCTCCAAAGCTAGGTAGGGTTTGGATGCATGGAAAAGATTTGGGAAAATGGCATTCAGATTGGGAGAATAGCATAAGCAGAGGCACAGAGGTGGGAGAGTTCAGGGTACAAGGGAGGGCCAAGACTGTCACAAATAACTTTAATCCTCTTCACACTGGTGTAAGCAAAAAGGAGAATGTTTCAGTGGGGCTCGCTTCAGGTGCAGCTGGATCCAGGGCTTCTAAAACCCATCAGGACTCTGCTTCATCCTCTCAGCTCTCTTTGCTCTTTCTGTTAGGGACAGGATGGTCCCCAGCAGCTCCTGATAGACTTCCCTCTAGCTTCACATCCCTCAAGAAGAGAGCACCTCTTTCCCACGGCTCTAACAGGAATCCAGGGCTGTTCTCATTGCTGCCTTAGGTCCGTTTCTATCCCTGGACTGGCTGGCCATAGCATGTTATAAGGGTGGAATAGGTGGATTGGCCAGGCCTGCCTCAAATCCCCACCATGGGGCCACATGTGGACTGAGAGTTGGGAGGAAATTGGGCCCCAGAGGAAAACAAGGGAGGTGTTTCCTGAAGGACACAGCCTGGATGCTGGACTGATGAAGCTGCAGATCCTCGCAGCCCCAGAAGCCCTTTGTTTGGCCTAATTATCAGGTGTGTGGTTGTCTGTGCAGCAATCAGGGCAAGAAGGTGGGCTGTGGCCACATGGTAGGGAACCTTGCGTGCCAGGTACATCAGTTAAGGTACAGGTTTGGCTGCTCCAGCAGGGAGACACAAGTAACAGTGGCTTCAACAGCATGAAAGCTGTTGTCTCTGACACAACACTGCTTAGATGGGAGCACTCGCCCTTGCTCCATGAGGTCACCCAGGAACCCCTGTTACTCTGACCATCCTCCAGATGTTGCTTTCCTCCCCCCAGCACCAGTCAGCTCACTCCCACCTCCCCATTGCAGCTGGCAGAGGAAGCTGCAGGGCCTGGGGAAGCTGGCCCCTGCCCTTTGAGGAAACACCTAGAAGATGCAATGCACATCCCTCCCTCCCACCCACAGCTTGTGAGTCAGAACGGGTTCACGCGGTTCCTCTTAGCTGCAGGGGAACCTGGGACTCCATGTGCACATCTGGAACTACAGGCAGTAGAAGCAGGGGAAAGTGGACATTGGAGGGGAGTCTGTAATCAGCCACACCAGGCCAATGAGTTTCCTTCCCAAAGAACGATCCAAAGGATACTAGAAGAAAGAGAGGCCCCAGTCCAGAGTGTCTGCAGTCCAGAAAGTTTGGGAAATGTCCCATGCTGTGTTTCATTTTAGGATATCTGCAGTGTGAGTATGTAGGCCAGGGTTTCCCAAACAAGTCTAATCACAAAGCCCCCCCCTTTCTTTTATTTAAAGACAGGGTGTCACATTGTCACCCAGGCTGCAGTGCAGTAGTGTGATCTTGGCTCACTGCAGCCTCGAACTCCTGGGCTCAAGCAATCCCCCCACCTCAGCCTCCCGAGTAGCTGGGACAACAGGCACACACCACCACACCTGGCTAATTTTTTTTTTTTTTTAAATGGAGTTTCGCTCTTGTTGCCCAGGCTGGAGTGCAATGGCATGATCTCGGCTCACTGCAACCTCTGCCTCCCGGGTTCAAGCGATTCTCCTGCCTCAGCCTCCTGAGTAGCTGGGACTACAGGCATGCGCCACCACACCTGACTAATTTTGTGTTTTTAGTAGAGATGGGGTTTCTCCATCTTGGTCAGGCTGGTCTCGAACTCCTGACCTCAGGTGATCCGCCCACCTCGGCCATCCAAAGTGCTGGGATTACAGGTGTGAGGCACCATGCCC
The DNA here is from genome assembly GCF_000001405.40 of Homo sapiens. Classification (NCBI taxonomy): domain Eukaryota; kingdom Metazoa; phylum Chordata; class Mammalia; order Primates; family Hominidae; genus Homo; species Homo sapiens. The sequence continues at coordinate 27,647,801 of NC_000016.10, forward strand.
CGCCACCTGGTTAATTTTTTAAATTTTTTTGTAGAGATGGGGGTCTCACTATGTTGCCTAGGCTGGGCTCCAACTCCTGGCCTCAAGTGATCCTCCTGCCTCGGCCTTCCAAAATCCTGAGATTACAGGTGTGAGCTACCACGCCTTGACCACAAGTCCTTTTTGAGAAGTTTAGCACCTACTAGAAGTCTACTGATAAAGAATTTCCAACCGACTGGGCATAGTGGCTCATGCCTGTAATCTCAGCACTTGGGGAGGACGAGGTGGGTGAATCACTTGAGGCCAGGAGTTGAAGACAAGCCTGGCCAACGTGGCAAAACCCCGTCTCTACTAAAAATACAGAAATTTGCCGCGTGGTGGCAGGTGCCTGTTGTCCCAGCTACTCAGGAGGCTGAGGCAGGAGAATTACTTGAACCTAGGAGGTAGAGGTTGCAGGGATCCAAGATCGCACCATTGCACTCCAGCCTGGGCAACAGAGTGAGATCCTGACTCAAAAAAAAAAAAAAAGAACAGAATTGCCAACCAAAAAGTTATTTTTAAAAATTCTCCTGCACGTTCTTTGGACAGCAAGAAACAGTAGACTCTTGAGCGAGGCGGCATGGCCCATCCAGTGCTGGCCCGGATGAGGAGGAGGCCTGTGGCCCATGCTCATCATGACACCACTGCTGTTGCATGCAGGCACACCACCCCATGGTATCTATGCCCATAGATCCTGGCTGAACCTCTCCAGTGCCAGTCCCTGCCCCGCAGAGGAATGAAGACCTCATTCCACCTTATCTGAAATGGCCTGCATTTTTGTACAGAAATCTGTGCAGATCAGAACAGAAGCTGGCCCACGGCTCCACATCGAACCTCCTGTGGACTATTCTGATGATTTTGAGCTGTGTGGGGATGTGACTCTCCAGGCAAACAACACTTCTGAGGATCGTCCGCAGGTAGGGATGGCCTTGGCCTTGTGCTCGGGACACCTGAAGGACGGCGAGGCTCGGTGCTGCAGTGGCCCCTCGGGGCACTTTCTGACAGTTATTTATTCTGTCCTTCACTCGCCGCTGTGTTCCTTCACTCTTGCGTTCATTTCACACAGTTTGATGAGCAGACCTTGGGCTAGAGGTCAGCATTCAGAGGCACCCGGTGACCAGGGGTCGGTGAGGCTGGGGTCTGACTTCTAAGGGTCACTAGCACATAGTCCCTGTACAGGGAGAGAATGCAGAGAGGTTGGGGCAGAGCATGGCGCAGACAGAGGAGGGAGAGGATCCCGGAAGGCTTCCTAGAGGGAGTGACTTTTGTCCTGGGTCCTAAAAGCTGGGTAAGAGTTTGAGGGGCAAGTTGGTGAGGGCAGGCAGCAATTGCTGATGCTCAGCCTGTCCACACGTGTATACATGCACCTGATAAATATTTCGAATACCACCCGCAGGGCGGCAGGAGCCACATGTTTAAAAGCCTAGAGGCCTATGCAGCTTTGGCTTGGAGTCCATGTCGGTTTAGCAGCTTACAGGGTTGACAACAGGACATTTTACTCCCCATCCTCAGATTGCCATTTCATTCCTGAAGTCCTTTGAACTGCAAAAGTATATCCCAGTCCTTCCTTCCACAAGCATTTGTTAAGCACCTCTCACTGACCATCAGGCTCTGTCCCAGGCACCAGAGATTCAGAAATGAACAAAACTGAAGAGGTGCCTATACTTTTTTATTTTTGTATTATTTTTTAAAGACGGAATTGTGCTCTGTTACCCAGGCTGGAGTGCATTGGTACAATCATAGCTCACTGCAGCCTTGAACTCCTGGGCTCAAGCCATCCTCTCACCCCAGCTTCCTGAGTAGCTGGGATTACAGGCATGGGTCACACCCAGTGAGGTGCCTGTTCTTAAGCAACCTGTGCTCCAAAGGGGAGACAGACAATGAAGAAAAAAGGAAGAAATAAACGATGAGATCATTTCAGGTATCAGTAAGTTCTCTGAAGAAAACAGAAGAGAAAGATGGGATAGCAAGATGGTGTGGGAGAGAAGGCAGTGTTAGCCAGGATAGAGAGAGAAGGAAGGCCTCTTTCCAGCATGACATTTCAGTTGAAACCTGATGGATTAGGAGTGACCTGGGGCCAGGCGCTGTGGCTCACGCCTGTAATCCTAGCACTTTGGGAGGCCAAGGTGGGCAGATCACCTGAGATCAGGAGTTCAAGACCAGCCTGGCCATGTTGAAACCCCATCTTTACTTGTAATACAAAAATTAGCTGGGCGTGGTGGTGTGCGCCTATAATCCCAGCTGCTTGGGAGGCTGAGACAGGAGAACCTCTTGAACCCGGGAGGCAGAGGTTGCAGTGAGCCAAGACTGCACCACTGCATTCCAGCCTGGGCGACAGAGTGAAACTGTGTCTAAAAAAAAAAAGGAGTGGCTTGGCAAGGAGCAATGAGAAAGGCATTCCAGATAGAGGAAGCAGCAAGCGTGCAACGGCATGAGGCCAGGCTTGTTCAAGGAGCAGGATGCAGGCACAGTGTGAACAAGGGGGATAAAGAATGAAGGAAGATTAGGTGCACTGGGGCAGAACAGGCCTGGGCCAGGGTGGAGGTAGGAGTGGATGGTTGGGGTTTACTCCAAGGGCATTATTTTTATAAATAGAATGAGTACATCATCTCCATAGTTATGTAGAAGCAAAATTATCCAGAGGTGGTAGGTCAAAGTCAAGTTGCTAAGCCAGACCCTGCCCCGCTTGCCAGAGTGGCATTTGTTCAACTCTGGGCCCCGGCTGCATATTCAGTGACGTCACCGCAAAGGCAGAGTCTTGCTTCTACGTATCGCTTTTATGAAGTGAGAAGGACTCTTACTGGAGATGGGAATGCTGTCCAGGAAATGTTCCTCCGATTTTGCTTTCATGCTTGTACTTCCTTATTTGCTGATAAAGGAAAGACAGATAAAGAGCAAGGATCACTTTGTTTCACATCTTGGTTGTAAAATACCCGAGTATGTTGGAAATTTTTGTTTCCCTAAAACAGAATATAAAAGTCGTTTTCTATGGAATGATCCAATGACTTTGTTTCTCTGCCCAGTCCATTAAAGTGGGGTTAAACAGTAGGCAAAATTGTGGACTTTATTACCTTTAAAACTCAAATCCCAAACAACACAGACAATTTGCTTTTGAACTAAACAGCCCCCTGCTCAGGATCAGTCTGTGCAAAACAGCCATCAATTTCTCTTAATTGGGAGGCTGGTTTTTAGCCAAGCATAATATGTTACAGTCCCAGCCCCAGATATGTATGTGCCCTTCAAGCAAGAGGCCATGGTAGTTTGCCTTTGGTCAAGCATTGGGCACCTCTCGTTAAATTAACATATAGCCCTTCCTTTGTGAGCTCTCAAGCTCCCTACAACACGGGACAGCAGCATTAAGTCCCATTAGCATCCTTTTGTGCACATACTCCGCATAGGCATGGCTGCTGCTCCGCCAGCACTTAATTTTCTCCACTCTGAGTGCTTGATTATATTTCTCTCTTTTCTTTTTTTTCCCCATCTTGAGGGGGCACTCCATAAGGCTTCACAGTCAATTTCCTCTTGGAGTTATTTTCCTGCAAAGTGTAAGAGTAAAATGGCAATGCCAGTTTTCAGCAAAGGCAGAAGTCTTAAGAGATGCAATCTGAACAGGGAAAAAAAAAAAAGGCACGTGGCTAAATATACTCAGCCACCTCACACTGTTTGCAAGCGCAACCTGAAATGGAGCAAGAGGAAATGCATGTCCGCATATGTACTTTTCATCTGACCTTCACTGTTGAAACACACCAGCCTCTCGCCTTTAATCACATCTTCCGTGAAGTTCAATTTCATAGCTTCTCTGAGTTCACAGACTGGCTTGCTGCAGACATGTTCTGTTGCCCTCCACCCCGTTGACTTGTACATTGCTTTTAAAAGATGTGAATTACTAGCTGACATTTTTATTTATTTATTTATTTTGAGACGTTGTCTCACTCTTGTCACCCAGGCCAGAGTGCAGTGGTGCGATCTCGGCTCACTGCAACCTCTGCCTCCAGGGTTCAAGCGATTCTCCAGCCTCTGCCTCCCGAGTAGTTGAGATTACAGGCGCCAACCAGTACGCCCCACTAATTTTTGTATTTTTAGTAGAGATGGGGTTTCACCATGTTGGCCAGACTGGTCTCGAACTCCTGACCTCAGGTGATTTGCCCGCCTCACCCTCCCAAAGTGCTGGGATTACAGGCGTGAGCCACCATGCCCAGGCAAGGGTTCCACATTCTTATACACTAACAGTGACCAGAGCTGAGGAACAGCTGTCCCCTTACTTAGGTGTGTGTGCTCCAGTGTACCACCATCCTGGGTACCATTCCGGACACTGAGGATAAGGCAGAAGAGAAACAAGTATATAATGTGTCAGGAGACAACAGGGCTGATAAGAAAAATAAAATAGGAAGGGGATAGAGAAAAATGGCCAGGGGCTGCTATTTTATATGGAGGGTGCAGGGGCTTCCCCTTGATGAGGTGATACTTAAGTAGAGGAGAGGTCAGAGAAGCAGCCATGGGTCAGATTGCATGGGGCTTGAGGGCAGAAATAAAGATACGGGATTCTCCTTAAGTTTGAGGGGAAACCATCATACCTGTTTTACATCTCTGGTGAAAGGAAGACACCGCTTTCCAGAGAGTTCTGCCAAAGTGGCAAGTCTTAGTTATGTTGGCTTTCCTGGGCACATGGTTGTATGCTGCAATGGATGATATGTTCACCGTTTAAGTGGTATTGTCTCTTGCTGGGCGCTGTGGCTCACATCTGTAATACCAGCACTTTGGGAGGTGAAGGGTCGCTTAAGATCAGGGGTTCGAGACCAGCCTGACCAACATGGTGAAACCCCATCTCTACTAAAAATATAAAAATTAGCCAGGTGTAGTGGCACACACCTGTAATCCCAGCTACTCAGGAGGCCGAGGCAGGAGAATCACTTGAACCTAGGAGGCAGAAGTTACAGGAGCCGAGATGGAGCCACTGTACTGCAGGGGCAGAGTGAAACTCCATCTCAAAAAAAAAAAAAAAAATTATATTGTCTCTGTTGATGTATCAGGAATGAAACAAAGTTTACGTTTTAAAAAATTATGATACTTATTTTCCTGATAATGCATAATTGATATAAAAAATTCAAATGACAAGGCTACCATAAGCGATGATTATGCCACTGCACTCCAGCCTGGGTGACAGAGCAAGACCCTGTCTCTAAAAGAAAAAAAACAAAAAATCAAATGATACAAAGAAAACAAAAGTCCTTTCATAATCCCACTGCCCCAGAGATAATTATTGTGAGTAGATGGGTAGATAACCATCCGGACTAAAAATGGCATATTTCATTATATCCAAGAAGAGATCATTGATCCAGAATATCCTGGACCTGTCTCGTTCCCAGTGAGTGGTATCTCCCAAGTTTAGTTACCTCTGAAGTCCCTGAGAGCGTGATACGTGACAGGAAGACAGGGCCACCCTGAAGTCTTCTGGAATGCCTTCTGAGTGTTCTTTCCATTGGGTGGATGGTGGCATGGGGTGAGTCTGGTTTTTTCTCACAGTAACAGTTCAGTGTCTTAAAGTGGTTATTGCTGACATTTATAAACGACTAAAGACCACCATCCTTGGCCAGCCCACCCCAACCCTGCCCCCAGCCAGACTCTGCAGCACATCCCTTCAGTCTTCCTTCATTCGTTCCAGTGATGAGACTTAGGGCAGTTTCAATGCGTGGGGTTTACCACAGCAGGAACTTAGGGCAGTTCCTGCTGTTTGGGGTTACCATATAAATGACCTCTGAGTGGGTGCCTTTTTAACATTTTTAATGGTTATTTTCACATAAATGGGATTATACCATCCATGCTATTTGATTTTCCCACTTTTTTTTTTTTTTCTTTTTGAGACAAAGTCTCGCTCTGCCACCCAGGCTGGAGTGCAGTAGCACAATCACAGCTCATTGCAACCTCTACCTCCCAGGATAAAGCAGTCATCCTGCGTCAGCCTCCCGAAGAGCTGAGACAACAGGAACTCACCACCACATCCAGCTAATTGTTGGGGAGTTTTTTGGTAGAGATAGGGTCTCATATCCCACTATGTTGCCCTGGCTGGTCTTGAACTCCTGGGCTCAAGCAATCCTCCTGCCTCAGCCTCCCAAATTTCCAGATATTACAAGGCTAAGCCACCATGGCCAGCCCCATTTACTTATTTATTTATTTAAAGACGGAGTCTTGCTCTGTCACCCTGGCTGGAGTGCAGTGGTGAGATCTTGGCTCACTGCAACCTCTGCCTCCTGGGTTCAAGCAGTTCTTCTGCCTCAGCCTGTCATGTAGCTGGGACTACAGGCACGTGCCAACACACCTGGCTAATTTTTGAATTTTTAGTAGAGATGGGATTTCACCATGTTGGCCAGGCTAGTCTCGAACTCCTGACCTCAGGTGATCTGCCCGCCTCAGCCTCCCAAAGTGCTAGGATTACAGATGTGAGCCACTGTGCCTGGCCTCCCATTTTTTAAAAAAACTCAACAACATACCTTGGCCATCTTTCTACACTGGTACTCACTCAACTGCCATACAGCTCCATGGTTCAGAGCACTGTTTTAGGAGTTGGTGGCCTGAGTTTGGATCCTGGTCCATTGACTGGCTGTGTGCCAGCAATGGTGTTGATGTAGCAGGGATGAGAGTGATCAGATCCACTTTAGGAGCAAGAGCAGAGGGTGATTTAATGAGGAGAAGATGGGAGGCAGGGAGACCAACAGAAGAGCGAGGCCCCAGCATGTCTTCAGGGACAGGAAGTTGTTTTTACCATGCCCAGTTTTCTGTGCTTGTCCCTAGGATACCAAATCTCCCACCAGTACCAAGCCCTGTGGTTTTAACTTCTCCCTTCTGAATGCATGTGGACATTCTGACCCTTCAAGCAGCGTGGACAAAGAAAGGATCCTCTTAACTATTCAGGATGTGATGGTAAGATCAGTTTTCAGCATCCTAACCCCTAAGGGCTGGGGATCTTTTCCGTAGCCAAGCAGCTGTGCCTGCCTTAAGATGGACTCCGTGAGAGAGTCTAGGAAAACCACAGGGCGGGCACGGTGGCTTATACCTGTAATCCCAGCACTTTGGGAGGCTGAGGCAGGAGGATGGCTTGAGCTCAGGAGTTAGAGACCAGCCTGGGAAACAGCAAGACCTTGTCTCAACTAAAAATTTTTAAAATGTGCAGGGTGTGGTGGCATGTGCCTGCAGTCCCAGGTACTTGAGAAACTGAGGCCGGAGGATCACTTGAGTCCAGGAATTCAAGGTTGCAGTGAGCTATGATTGTGCTACTGCATGTCTGCCTGGATGACAAAGAGAGAAGCTGTCTCAAAACAAATATACAAACAAAAACCGCTGGGCTGCTACCCCCTAGAATGGATATATATATATATATATATATATATATATATATATATATATATATATATATTTTGTTTGTTTGTTTGTTTAAAGAGATGGAGTCTTGCTCTGTCTCCCAGGCTAGAATACAGTGGTGCAATCATGGCTCACTGCGGCTTTGAACTCCTGGGCTCTAGTGATCCTCCCACCTCAGCCTCCCAAGTAGCTGGGGTTACAGGTACGCACCACCATGTCCAGCCAATTATTTATTTATTTATTTATTTATTTATTTTTGAGAGACAAGGTCTTGCTTTATTGCCCAGGCTGGTCTCAAACTCCTGGCTCAAGTGATCCTCCTGCCTCAACCTCCCAAAGTGCTGGGATTACAGGCATGAGCCGCTGCGCCTGGCCAGAAGATGTAAAACAATTCACAAGAGATTTGACTTAATGATGTTACATTTAAATAATAAGAGCTCACGTTAAATGAGCACTTACCGAGTGCCAAGCACCATGTTGAGCATGTAACATCCATCACGACGTTAACCCTGTGAGTTAAGTTCTAGGGATTTTCATTCCCATGTTATGGTTTGAGGAAACTGAGGAATAAAGAAATAATGTTGCTCACCCAGGCCTCAGGGAAGCCCCTGCTGGAAGCCCAGGCTCATGACTCCTTGTTCCTTACAATTCACAGTCACAGGCGGGGAATATTGCACTCATCTGGTTTTGCTCAGAATGTGCCACAGTCTGTTGTGAATATTATTGATGTTATACCCAGGAGCAAGGTATTCAGAGGTGACCATCCATCAGTTATGCTTAATAATGTTTTAAACAATGATAGAGAGAACTCTCCTTAGCCAAATATCTCCTCAGTGAATCCATGACTGAAAATGTGGATGAAAAATGTTTTTCAAAAGCGAAATCCAGTGAGGAAACAGCCAGACAAACCCAAATTGAGGGGGATACTCTAAAAACAACTGGCCTGGAGTCTTCAGAAATGTCAGTGGCAGCCAGGTGCGGTAGCTGATACCTATCATCCCAGCCCTTTGGGAGGCCGAGGTGGTAGGAATGCTTGAAGCCAGGAGTTCCAGACCAGCCTGGGCAACATAGGGAGACTCCATCTCTACAAAAAATTAGTTGGGTGTGGTGGTGCATGCCTGTAGTCCCAGCTACTTGGGAGGCTGAGGTGGGAGGATCACTTGAGCCCAGGAGGTTGAGGCTGCAGTGAGCTGTGATCATGGCACTACACTCCAGCCTAGGCAACAGAGTGAGACTCTGTCTCAGAAAAAAAAAAAAAAAAAAAAAGGAAGAAAAAAAAGTCAGTAGCATGAGAGACAAAGGGCACTGTTTCAGATTAAAGGAGAGTAAAGAAATAACACAATAGCAAAGACTTGGAACCAACCCAAATGTCCAACAACGATAGACTGGATTAAGAAAATGTGGCACATATACACCATGGAATACTATGCAGCCATAAAAAATGATGAGTTCATGTCCTTTGTAGGGACATGGATGAAATTGGAAATCATCATTCTCAGTAAACTATCGCAAGAACAAAAAACCAAACACCGCATATTCTCACTCATAGGTGGGAATTGAACAATGAGATCACATGGACACAGGAAGGGGAATATCACACTCTGGGGACTGTGGTGGGGAGGGGAGGGGGGAGGGATAGCATTGGGAGATATACCTAATGCTAGATGACGAGCTAGTGGGTGCAGCGCACCAGCATGGCACATGTATACATATGTAACTAACCTGCACAATGTGCACATGTACCCTAAAACTTAAAGTATAAAAAAAAAAAAATCCTAAAAAAAAACACAATAAAGGCAGTGTGATGAGATCCTAGGGGTGTGAGGGAGAGGAATTGCTACATAAAAGGAGAATTTTGGAAAATGAATGAAATTTGAGATGAACTATATTATATTAGATAATATTGTATTGATGTTAAATTTTCTGAGTTTGATAGTTACATTGTGGCCATGTAAGAGAATGTCCTTGTTCTCTGGAGACACATGCTGAAGTGTGCAGGCATGAGGGGCTGTGCATAAATGGGTCAGGATCAAGAATATGTGTGTACATATTGAGAAGGAAAAAGTGGGAGGGGAGAGAAGGAGAGAAATGTGGCAAAATGTTAACAACTGGTGAATATACGTGAAGGGTATTTGGGTGTTCATTATACTAGCATGATACGTTTTCTGTAGGTTTTACATTTTTTCAAAATAGAAAAAGCTAGCACATTAAAGAGGAGAGGAGCTGCTCCAGTAGAACTAAGCATCACCAAAAGAAGAAATAGAGAAAAATGGCCGGGCACAGTGGCTAACACCTATAATCCTAGCATTTTGGGAGGACGAGGCGGGTGGATCACCAAGGTCAGGAGTTCAAGACCAGCCTGGCCAACATGGCAAAATCCCATCTCTACTAAAGAAAGCATACCTAGTTAAAAAACAAAAAACAAAACAAAACAAAACAAACAAAAAAAAAACAAGGCCAGACGCAGTGGCTTATGTCTGTAATCCCAGCACTTTGGGAGGCCGAGGTGGGTGGATCACGAGGTCAAGAGTTCAAGACCAGTCTGGCCAACACGGTGAAACCCCGTCTCTACTAAAAATACAAAAATTAGCTGGGCGTGGTGGTGTGCACCTGTAATCCCAGCTACTTGGGAGGCTGAGGCAGGAGAATTGCTTGATCCCGGGAGTCGGAGGTTGCAGTGAGCCGAGATCATGCCACGGCACTCCAGCCTGGATGACAGAGCAAGACTCCATCTTGGGAAAAACAAAAACAAAAACAGCATAGTAGGATTGTATCAATGTAGTTTCCCAATTGTGATGTTATGCTGTAGTTATACAAGGTATTACCATTGGGGGAAACTGGGTGAAGGGTACATGGGCTCTCTCTTTATTTTTCCTTACAAATGGCATGGGAAATCTATAATTAGCTCAACATAAAGAGTAAAAATTAAATAAAAACACAAATACCCAGGTCTTACCACTCAGAGGATCTGATTCTGGGTTTGCACTCAGCCATTGTTCCCTTTTTTAACGTCCTTATGTGACTATAATTTGTCGCAATGTTTGAGAACCATAGTTATAAGGAAAAGATAAAGCTGCAGTTCTCAAAGTTGGATATGCATAAGAATCGCTTAGGATATTTGTTTAAGACGCATTTTTTAGGTCTGAACTTTTAAGCTAATAGAATTTGTAGATAGGAGGTAGCACATTTTTAGCAAAAGAACTCCCAGTGATTCTGAACCAGAGACCTGAAGATTAGAGCACACTTCCAATGGAAGGAGCATCTTTTAAGTTACTTTGGACTTTTTGGCTTAGATTTGAGGACTGTAAAAAAGGGATATTTTAAAAAATCAAAATTAAAAGCTTTTCTACATTGTACAAAGTTAAGATGACCAACCAGTTAAAAAGCAACAAAAATACAGAGTTTCACCAAGGTCAGAAAGGTACAGGATGGAAGGTGGGGTCTGCCCTTCTCTTTGGAACCATATTCTGCACTTCTGGAAACCTGGAGGGGAGACGATGTCCCTTAAAAAAATAACAGATGGAAGTACAGAAGCAGATAGCCCCTAAAAATATCTCCTGTACTATAGGTCAATTTGTTTTTTGTTGTTGTTGTTGTTTGTTTGTTTTTTCAGAGTCTGACTCAGCTGCCCAGGCTGGAGTGCAGTGGCATGATCTCAGCTCACTGTGACCTCTGCCTTCCGGGTTCAAGCAGTTCTCATCCCTCAGCTTCCTGAGTAGCTGGGATTACAGATGTGTGCTAGCATGCCCAGCTAATTTTTTTTTTTTTTCCCAGTAGAGACGGGGTTTCACCATGTTGGCCAGGCTAGTCTCAAACTTCTAACCTCAAGTGATACACCTGCCTTGGTCTCCCAAAGTGCTGGGATTACAGGCGTGAGCCACCATGCCTGGCCTGTAGGTCAATTTGTATCCAAAATATTGACCATTAATATCAAAAAAAGACTGAATTATGTTCAGCATAGTCTTTTAAGAAGACAAGGAAGTATTCATATATTTTCAAAATATTTACATACAGAATAATTTGTTTAGGTTTTTTACTATTTAAATGGGTAAATTTGGCTGGGCTCAGTGACTCATGCCTGTAATCCTGGTGCTTGGGAGGCCGAGGCAGGAGGATCACTTGAGGCCAGAAGTTGCAGATTAACCTAGGCAACATAGTGAGAATTCATCTCTATAAAAAATTAAAATTAGCTGGGCATGCTAATCTGCACCTCTAGTCCCAGCTGCTCGGGAGGCTGAGGTGGGAAGATTGCATGACACCAGGAGTTTGAGGCTCCCCTAAGCCATGATCGCACCACTACCCTCCAGCCTGGGGGACAGAGCAAGACCCTGTCTATACAAAAAAAAAAAAAAGTGAATTTTAGATAAATAGAAAATTAATTTTGCATTGTTATTATATTAAGACAGTACTATGTTATGAAAATAAATATGTACCCATCCTATTTGGTTTTTCTAAGTTTGGTTACATTTTAAAATGTGGCTCAAACTTGAGAAAAAACAATGCAGAGAAAATAGAGGCATGTAGGAGAGGCTTTCTGATTAGGTATGACTTGAAAAAATATGCTAAAATGCAGGATAAGGATAGAAATACACTGAGGAATGGGAGGGAGTGTGGCCAAACTGAGGGCTCAGATTCGTGACTAGAAGGGCCAGCTTCAGCTCACAGATGTGTTCTGTTGGCCGGTTTGGTGGCACGCCATGGTTATCATTGTTGCTGTTTGACTTGGACTTAGAAAACTTTTCTTCTGAGCATGCACCCCCAGTTTGGCCTGGTCCCCACTACCTATTGTACAACACTGTGGTTTATTTGATAGTTTATATAACATTACGCCTCCTGAGGATGTCGGAGTTTGCGAGTCTTGTTTTAGGGAGGAGAAATACCAAGTGACAGATTCCGCAAGCCTGGGAAGGTAGCTTGGGTTTTTCCATAAACATTCTGGGGCCTTGGCTAAGTCATACTCCTCTGGGGCCCCCATTTCCTCCTTTAACAAGAAGCGGTGAATTAAATATCTCCTGCACCTGCCAGCTCTGAAATCGTAAATCCTAGGTATGGTTTATAAGAAAATCTTATTCCCATATTACAAAATCCGTGGATTGGCCGGCAGTGGCTCACGCCTGTTATCCCAGCATTTTGGGAGGCCAAGGTGGGCGGATCACCTGAGGTCAGGAGTTTGAGACCAGCCTGGCCAACATGGTGAAACCCCGTCTCTATTAAAAATACAAAAATTAACCAGGCATGGTGGCGCATGCCTGTAATCCCAGCTACTCAGGAGGCTGAGACAGGAGAATCACTTGAACCCGGGAGGTGGAGGTTGCAGTGAGCCGAGATGGCACCACTGCACTCCAGCCTGGGCAACAGAGCAAGACTCCATCTCAAACAGAACAAAACAACAACAACAACAAATCCATCGATGGGAGTAGACGATACATAATAGTTTGTGGAGCTCTGGCTCATATCAGTACTTTTTTTTTTTTTTTTAAGAGATGGGGTCTCACTACATTGCCCAGGCTATAATGCAGTGGCTATTCACAGGTGCAATTATAGTGCACTACAGCCTCAAACACCTGGCCCCAAGCCATCCCCCTCAAGTAGCTCAGGATACAGGCACACACCACCGCATCCAGCTATTGCTCTAGGTCTTTTGCAAGTTCAGTATTTAGGGCCTCAAACACCTTCCCCCATCCCAGATCTAAGCTTCATGATAGCAGAATGTGCTCCGTCTCATTGCCTGCTGTGTCTCTTGTCCCTAGAAAAGTGCCTGGCATAGAGTTGGTCTGCAAATAAATCTTCATTGAGCAAGTGGATTGAATGATTGAATCAATGAGTGAGTGGTATAGCTGTTGATTAGGCACCCTGACCAGCCCACACAAGGGACTTCAGTCATCACATCACTGAGTTATGATTACAGTGAGTGTTTTCCAAACTGTGAATCAGGACACATAATCTAACAAGGAATTTTTGTGTTGCTTGGGGTAGAAGAGTCAGTTTGAGATATGTAGTTTGGATCCTGAAATATTGGGATTTCTGGCACATGTTCTTAATGTGAGAGAATATTTTAAATCACCTGAGTGAGGCAGGTGGGTCAGTCAGGGCATGCAGGGAATGGTGGGGATAGTAGCAGACAATCACAGTGGACTGTCATCGTGTAGAAATATGGGCCTAGTGGTGCCAGGCTTTTTAGGTTTAAGAGAAGCCAGGTATCTGGGTTTCTGGGTTTCTTTCTTTTCTTTTTTTTGAAACAGAGTCTCACTCTGTCGCCCAGGCTGGAGTGCAATGGCATGGTCTCGGCTCACTGCAACCTCCGCCTCCCGGGTTAATGCGATTCTCCTGCCTCAGCCTCCCAAGTAGCTGGGACTACAGGCGTACACCACCATGCCCAGCTAATTTTTGTATTTTTAGTAGAGACGGGGGTTTCACCATGTTGGCCAGGCTGGTCTCGAACTCCTGACCTCAGGTGATCCACCCACCTAGGCCTCCCAAAGTGCTGGGATTACAGGCGTGAGCCACTGCGCCCGGCCTGGGTTTCTTTATGTTTGATTTCCCCCAATTATTTCTATGTTGGCAACTAATTTATAGTTTGTTTGTTTTTCAGACAGGGTATTGCCCTGTCACCTAGGCTGGAGTGCAGTGGCGTAATCATAGCTCACTGCAGCCTCAACCTCCTGAGCTCAAGCTTTCCTACTACCTCAGCCTCCCAGGTAGCTGGGATTACAGGCACAAGCCACTGTGCCTGGCTAATATATATATATATATATATATATATATATATATATATATATATACACATACATATATATATATATATATATATACACATACATATATATATATATATATATATACACATACATATATATATATATATATACACATACATATATATATATATATATATATACACACATATATATATACACATACATATATATATATATATATAGTATAAATGGGGTTTCACTGTGTTGCCCTGGCTGGTCTTGAACTCCTGAGCTCAAGCAGTCCGCCTGCGTAGGCCTCCCAAAGCATTGGGATTACAGGCATGAGCCACCATGCCCAGCCTAATTCACAATTTCCTGTGGACCAAACAAAATATACCTGCTGGCCAGATGTGGCCTTTAGACTACCAACTTGCAACTTCTGGTTTAGATAATGAAAGCTTTGTCAGTTCCTGATGAGACAGGAGGAAGAGCTCTTTCTCCTTGACAGTGGCTCTTGACCTAGCCCGTCTGTTACCCAGAAACATCAAAGGCCCCCAGGGATGACCAACTGGACAGCTCAGACCAAAAGACGGCTGGCTTGTGGCATTAGAAAGGGCCCTGGGCAGGTGGGTCAGACAGCACAGGGCAAGCTGAGCAGGAATAATTTGGTGATGAGCATGAATGATGTGAAATGATGCTGAACAAGCACTAAATGCCCATGAATTACAGGTCCAGAAGTAAGAGATGTAGTGATCCCATCCCTCAGTAGGGTGTTTCTACAAATGAAGGTGCCAGATGAATTGAACTTAATAAAGCATATTTTTCAATCTTAATGAAAATAAAGATTAACTTCTGAATCAATATTAGAATAACTTTAATATCTTGCATTTATAGCCGACCTAGAATTTCTTAGGTATGATGTGAAACAATTTTTACATTATTTTGTATCATTTTATCTAACACCTAATACATGGGTGCCTTCTCATTTAAAAAGATTCAAACAGTTTAGAAGTAAGTTGAGTATAATATGAAAAGCTGTCTATATCTACCCAGCCAAACCATCTCCAGCTTTTACTTTTATTGAGCAAGTATACGTTATTTATTTAGTCATCCATTCATTCATTTACTCATTTATTTATTTTTTTTTCAGCTTATTTCTGCTTTCATCTTAATTCCTCTCTTAAACTTTTTGGTATCACATTGGTTCTCCCTGACCTCCACCACTGTAACCTGACTTAAGTTAAATGTTTAATTTATTTTTTCTTTTTCTTTTCTTCTTCTTTTTTTTTTTTTTTTTTTTTTTTAGGTAGAGAAGATGTCTCACCATGTTGCCCAGGCTGGTCTCAAACTCCTAGGTTCAAGTAATCCTCCCGCTTGGCCTCCCAAAGTGCTAGGATTACAGGTGTGACCCACCACACCTGGCCCATTTAATTTTCATACTATTTTCTAATATATCAATTAGGCTATACATTTTCCTCTGAATATTGCTTTGTATTTACTCTGCAAATTTTACCATATAGTACTATGTAATACTTTCATTGTCATTTATTTATTTATTTATTTGTTTATTTATTTATTTATTTATTTTGAGACAGAGTATTGCTCTGTCGCCCAGGCTGGAGTGCAGTGCAACAGAGTCTTGCTCGGCTCACTGCAACCTCCGTCTCCCAGGCTCAAGTGATTCGCCTGTCTCACCCCGCCAAGTAGCTGGGACTACAGGCATGTGTCACCACACCCGGCTAATTTTTTTTTTTTTTTGTATTTTTTGTAGAGACAGAGATTCACCATGTTGGCCAGGCTGCTCTCGAATTCCTGACCTCAGGTGATCCGCCTGCCTTGGCCTCCTAAAGTGTTGGGATTACAGGCGTGAGCCACTGTACCTGGCCATTTATTTCTAATTGGCTTATTAGTTTAGGGTGTTTTTTTTTTCCCCTCCTATATGTTTATTTTTTCATTTAAGACAGGGTCCTGTTCTGTCACCCAGACTGGAATGCAGAGCATGATCATGGGTCACTGCAGCCTCAATCTTCTGGGGTCAAGTGATGCTCCTGCCTCAACCTCGCAAGCCGCTGGGACTACAGGCATGCGCCACCATGCCTGGCTAATCTTTTAATTTTTTCTTAGAGACAGGGACTTGCTATGTTGCCCAGACTGGTCTTGAACTCCTGGCCTTGAGCAGTCCTCCCACCTCGCCCTCCCAAAGTGCTGTAATTACAGGCATGAGCCACCATGCCCAGCCTCTCTTCTTTATGTAGGAGAGTTTTCCCAAACGTTCTAAGTAAACAGTTTTTTGTTTATCTAGTTTTGTATTTTTGCTATCGTTTTGTATTAGTTTCTAATTTGGCCACATTATGATTTAAAATGGCCTAAAATTAAAGATGGTTTAATTTCTGGGTTTTGAAAGTTACTGAGGTTTTTTGTTTGTGGCCTACCAGATGATTTTTATGAATGTTCTATGATATTTCAAAAGAATAATCATTCTCTTTTTGGTACAAAGTTCTCAATATATCTGTTAAATCACACACGATTAGTTGTAATACTTAACTGGGTGATTCTTAAAGTGTGGTCTCAGACTACCTATATTAGCATCACCTGGGCTGCTTATTAAAGCTGTGAATTCTCACACCACACCCATAGGTATAGAACTGGATTTGGAGGAGGCATGGAGTGCTCAGAGCCTGCATTTTTAATAAGCTTCCCTGGAAACTCTCATACTCATTAGCAAACCACCGCTGTAGGGCTTGACTTACTTTTTGTCTCTTTGATCTGGTTGATATCTGTGAACTTGTCAGTTTTCCCCTGCATTTGTTTTTGCCTTATATATTTCAAATATCTGTCATTCTTTGCATATAGAGTCAAAATGTTTTTTGAGAGAGTGTACCTTTCATCCATATGAATATATCTGTCTCAAAATCTTTGTCCCATTGAAAACACTAAGTGGGCCTTTTCAGCAAAAATTTCAGGGCCGTAAAAACTTCCATAGAAGGAGCAGTGTGTGCATGTGCATGTGTAGGTGAGTTCAGCATCAAGATGTGTGACAGGGAGCCCTGAGGCTAGAGTGGGGGGCCGCTTTTAGGGCTGCAGCCTGTCCCCGGCTATATTAAGTAAGGGGCAGCAGAGAGGCTCACCCGTAGGCTGAAGCCAGGGGCATCTGCACGCTTGTGTCTTTCTTTAGCACTGGAAATTTTTCATTTATTATTACTACTGTTATTATCATTCTCTTTCATTGTTTCTGCTCTGTTCTCCGGAGGTTGTTTTTTTTTTTTTTTCTTGAGACAGGGTCTCACTCTGTCACCCAGGTTGGTATGCAGCAGCGCACCTCCTGGGTTCAAGCAATTCTCCTGCCTCAGCCTCCTGAGTAGCTGGGATTATAGGCATCCACCACCACGCCTGGCTAATTTTTTGTATTTTTAGTAGAGATGGGGTTTCACCATGTTGGCCGTGCTAGTCTCGAACTCCTGACCTCAAACGATCCACCCACCTCAGCCTCCCAAAGTGCTGGGATTATAGGCATGAGCCACTGTGCCCAGCATGCTTCCCCCTTTACTAATTTCTCTCTCCTGCCACCCTGTGAAGAGGTGCTTTCTGCCATGATTGGAAGTTGTCTGCAGCCTCCCCAGCTGTGGAGAACTTTGAGTCAACTAAACCTCTTTTCTTTATAAATTACCTGGTCTCAGGTATTTCTTCATAGCAGGGTGAGAACAGACTAATATACCATGTCTGTGTTTTTATTATTTTTTTTTTTTTTTGAGACAGGACACTCTTTCCCCCAGGCTGGAGTGCACTGGTACGATCTTGGCTCCCTGCAACCTCCACCTCCCAGGTTCAAGCAATTCTTCTGTCTCGGCCTCCCAAGTAGCTGGGACTACAGGCGTGTGCCACCACGCCCGGCTAATTTTTGTATTTTTAGTAGAGATGGGGTTTCACCATGTTGGCCGGGCTGGTCTTGAACTGCTGGCCTCAGGTGATCCACCCACCTCGGCCTGGCAAAGTGCTGGGATTACAGGTATGAGCCACTGTGCCCAACCCACCATGTATGTTTTAATCTGCAGTTTCCTTTTCCTTTAGTTCTTTATGGATGTGATCTCTCCCCTCTATCTTTCAGGAATTCCTGAAATTTTCTAGTCAGCCAGTGGCATTCCTTGATATTTGGTCTTTATCCTGCTATCCCTATCCAATCTCCTTATGGATTGCTCAGCCAGGGTGATGCTGAGGGGTTTGGCCAGGGGCCCACAAACCAGGAAAGCATTGGGCAGTCTCCCAGGCCCATCTACTTCCTGAGTTCATTTTGTCTTCTATCACTCTCTTCCCTAGACAAAGATTGTTTTGGTTTTTCTCCAGTGATGCACTTTAGAGGCTGAACTCCAGGGTACTTTATAAATACACTTAGCTTTGAATTAAAATTCATGGCAGTAAGAAGGTGTCAGAAAACTAAAGATATTGCTCAGGTATTTAAAACACATGTATAATTCAAATTTTCCTAGCCTTAGTTCTATCAAAATTGATGTAGGGGAATGAGTTTTTGTTTTGTTTTGTTTTGTTTTGTTTTGTTTTGTTTTGTTTTTGACAGAGTCTCACTCTGTCACCCAGGCTGAAGTATAGTGGTGCAGTCTTGACTCACTACAACTTCTGCCTCCCGGGTTCAAGCGATTCTCCTGCCTCAGCCTCCTGAGTAACTGGGATTACAGGTGTCCACCACCACACCCGGCTAATTTTTGTATTTTTAGTAGAGATGGGGTTTCACCATGTTGACCAGGCTGGTCTCGAACTCCTGACCTCAAGTGACTTCGGCCTGCCAAAGTGTTGGGATTACAGGTGTGAGCCACCATGCCCAGCCGGTCGGGAATGCGATTTTTAAAATATGCAGAGTTAGGACAGGCATGGTGGTTCACGCCTGTAATCCCAGTACTTTGGGATGCCGAGGTAGGAGGATCACTTGAGTTGACCCTAAAGTTAGGGCACAAGCCACTTTATTATGGACGTGGACTGGCAAGCCCTAAGTTTGGGTTTTTGGCGCTCATTACTCTGGTAATCTGTTATGGATTACATAAGAGATGTTGCCAGATTGTAGATTCCGTAAGTCTGTCTTGTTCATCACTCCATCCCTAGCACCTAGCAGTCACACCTGCTTATGGGGGACACGTATATTCAATAAAAAATATTTGTTGCCATGTGTGGTGGTTTATGCCTATAATCCCAGTACTTTTGGAGGCCGAGGCAGGAGGATCGCTTGAGCCCAGCAGTTCGAGACCAGCCTGGGCAACATGGCAAGACCCCATCTCTACAAAACATACAAAAATTAGCTGAGCATGATGGTGTACACCTGTAGTCCCAGCTAACCAAAAAGTCGGAGAATCTCTTGAACCCAGGAGGTCGAGGTTGCAGTGAGCCATGATCGTGCCACTGCACTCCAGCTTGGGTGATAGAGTGAGACCCTGTTTCAAAAAAAAAAAAAAATGTGTTGAATACATGGATGAATGAGAAAAAAGAACAAATTAATCAACTAACTCTTCAGTGCTGGGTAAAAAGCCTTCATGGTCCAGGCAGATTAATAATATGAATGTGTAAAATGCCTCATATAGTACAAGAGAAGTTAGTGGGAATTATCACAACTAGCAATATATGCCAGACTCAAGACATTCAACTCCCAGTTTTACAAAACTGCCAACCAAATGAGAGACATTATTGGGGTTCCAGGGGCAGGGGGTTGGTTGGGGAGGTCTGGCCTTTCTGCCTGCATGTCAGTGATCTCTACCCCCAAGACTGCTGCTAGCTCTTGAGGACTGTCTTAAAGTTTCCACTGTGGCTTCATGGTCTAAGCATCCAAGCTTCTAATAGGCAGATTCAGTAGCATCTGAGAAATAAAAGATGCCATCATCAAAATTTTAAATTTTCTGTAAAAACTAGAACCCTATTAAAGCAATCACAAAACACTGATTCTTAGCTGTTAATTTCGTTTTGACCCCTCAGCAGCCTTTTTTTTGTGAGCTAATCAGGGCACATTTTCCCATAGCAAAGGTGAGGGCTTGAAGCTCAGCAACTCACCTGGGGACACAGGGTAAACTGAGTGAGGCCCAGAACTTAGACCCAGCTCATTCTCCTTTGTAAGTAGAGTTAGGAGTTTAATGCTTCATCCACTCAAACTTAACACATACATGAACATGTTTAGTGGCCTCAAGGCAGCTTTGTGTCTAAACCTCTTACGGGCAGGTTTATCAATTTTGTGCAAGTCAGTGGACAGTCACTGTGCCCCTGACTTTCATCCCTCTCTGGAGACCAGTTGCTTCCAAGTTGGTACCAGGCAGGGAATAAACATGATCACATGGTTAAGAGTCTGGACTTTAGAGTCTGATATGGTTTGGCTGTGTCCCCACCCAAATCTCATCTTGAATTGTAACTCCCACAATTCCCACATGTGGTGGGTGGATCCAGGTGGGAGGTGATTGAATTATGGGGTGAGTCTTTTCTGTGCTGTTCTTGTGATAGTGAATGAGTCTCAGGAGATCTGATGGTTTTTAAAATGGGAGTTTCCCTGCCCAAGTTCTCTCTCTTTGCCTACTGCCATCCATGTAAGAGGTGACTTGCTCCTCATTGTCTTCTGCCATGATTGTGAGGCCTCCCCAGCCATGTGGAACTGTAAGTCAAGTAAACCTCTTTTTCTTCCCAGTCGTGGGTGCGTCTTTATCAGCAGCGTGAAAACGGACTAATACAGAGTCAGATGGTCATTCCTCCATACCCTGGGTCTGCCATTACTGGCCATGTGACCTTGAACTTGTACTTAAGTCCTCCAGGCCTGTAAGATGAGGAGACCTACTGCACTGGCGTGTTAGGAGGTTGAAATGAAATGAGGTGGCTGGGTGTGGTGGTTCATGCCTACAATCCCAGCACTTTGGGAGTCTGAGGCAGGAGGATTGCTTGAGCCCAAGAGTTTGAGATCAGCTTGGGCAACAGAGTAAGATCTCATCTCTACAAAAAAACTAAAAATTAGCCAGTTGTGGTGATATGCACCTGTAATCCCAGCTGTTCTGGAGGCTAAGGTGGGAGGATCACTTGAACCCAGGAGGTGGAGGTTGCAGTGAGCCAAGGTGGTGTTACTGCACTGCAGCCTGGGTGACAGAGCAAGACCCTTCCTCAAAAAAGAAAAAGAAAAAGAAATGAGATAAGGTACATAGATAAGTCAGCTTAGTGCCTGATAATGTAACAGAAGCTTAGCAAGTAGTAGCTATTGTTTTTGATGTTACAGTTACTGATACTATTATTGCAAAAACTTCATGTTTGATGGTCGCCTGATGTCACTTTTCCTAGTTCAGCAGAAAGAGGAAGCTCAGGCATAGAAGGCATTAATTCACTGACCATCAAACCCCTGCTGCATTTCAGTCAGTGGTTCTTCTAGAAACTACCTTTAAGTCTTTGTATCAGCGTCCGTCCCTCCACCTTCTCCCTGGATCCCCAGTGAGGAGACCCATTTGTGTGCAGTCCCTGTCATCCGATCTCCACCTGCGGTGTTGGCAGCCTGGCCTCCATGCAGAGGGCTTTCTGTTGAAAGGGCTTGAACTTAACATTTTAAACACTGAACACTGAAATCAAATATAACAAGATTTTGAAGCAAAGCTATAAAGTATGTTTTTTCAGAGAAATTTCTGGATGATGGCTTCACAGCACCTGGTAGATCCCACAGCATGGTATCTCTTTGAAGTACAGGCAGATTGGCTTTCAAAGCGACCAGCCCAAGGTCCTCATCTTTCCAGATGGAAAGGTTTTGAACGGCTTCCTCCAGGGAATGTTGCTCCTTAGTTTGTCTCCCCTCTGCCCCTAGGACAGATGGTTTAGATCACGTGAGCATTATAAGGGTCTAGGTTCATCCAGTGTGAGCAAATGCATTTGTTTCCTTTGCGAAGAAGCTGCCAGCCACACCGAATCTAGGCTGCTCTTTTATATATATTTTCTTTGGGGAGAGGGAATTTTTTTTTTGTTTCATTTTTTAAGTTTTTAAAAATAGAGTTGGGGGTCTCACTTTGTTGCCCAGGCTGGTCTCGAATTCCTGGGCTCAAGCAATCTTCCCACCTCCGCTTCCCAAAGTGCCGAGATTACAGGCATGAGCCACTGCGCCTGGCCTATATATATTTTGCAAATACAATCATGGCATTTAAATTTCCATTAATTTAAAAGAAGAAAAAGAAACCAAATTGAAACAGGAGGAATTATTGAAATTCAAATTTCTTTATCACAGGAAATATTATTTCTTAAAATAGCCATCGGTTTAATACATTAGGAAATAAGAGGTTAGAGTTGCCATTTTTAAAAAACTCTAGTTTCCATTTGAGATGCATTTGGGGTTGACTTTCTGGTGTGGAAAATTAGGCCACCCACATTGCCTGCCCTCTCCTGATTTTTGTTAGCTAAGCTAAGGGCTTAGGTTTATAGCATTGCATTCTGGTCCATCTCCCTAATGTGCATAAATGCCTAGTATTTATTCAAACTTTAAGTGGCTACAGCGCTTACCATTAGACCTTTGATCACAGCTTGTCCATGCCTCTATCTTTATTTTGATTTCCTCTTTCATTGGTCTGGATTTTGTCACCTGGGTGATATTTTCTGAGAAGAGCTCATGAATGCCGTCTGTATTCCCTGGGTTTCTGGCTGTTTGAGATGGATGGTGTGTTACTTTCCAGTCTGGACCTCTTGGCTGGATACTTTATTCTCGAGTTAGACAGATGCTCCTCCGTTGTCTTCCAGCATCGAGTGCTGCTGTTTGTCATTGGCTTTTGGGAACCACATGTGTTCCAGGGATAGAGATGATTTTTCCAGGCAGCTGGCTGTCCAGGGTCCTCCACTCCACCATTCCCCGCCACTCCTCTAGGGAATTTATTTATTTGCAAGAAGGAGGGACAAAATTTAAACATAAATGTAAACGTATCATTTTTTTAAATTACAAAATTGGATGCCTGCTAATACTAAATAATTTTTTTAAAAACAAAGAAGAAAAGGAAAGTCCTGGAAAGGCTGTCAGAGAGATCATTGTTAATAGTTGGGTGCTGGCCGGGCGTAGTGGCTCACACCTGTAATCCAAGCACTTTGGGAAGCCACGGCAGGTGGATCACCTGAGGTCAAGAGTTCAAGACCAGCCTAGCCAATGTGGGGAAACTCCATCTCTACTAAAAATACAAAAAATTACTCAGGCATGGTGGTGTGTGCTTGTAAGCCCAGCTACTCGGGAGGCTGAGGCAGGAGAATCGCTTGAACCCAGGAGGCAGAGGTTGCAGTGAGCTGAGATCGCGCCACTGCACTCCAGCCTGGGCGACAGAGCAAGACTCCATCTCAAAAATAAAAATAAAAATAAAAAGTCAGGTGCCTATTTTTCCAGACTTTTTCTATGCATATATGCATACCTACATGTATAGAAATTAACAATGATTTTAAAAATTGAGTTCGTGTTATATGTACATTTTTCAACACGCTTCTTTTTACTTAAATGTATATCTTGATATCTGCCCAAAGAAGTACAAAAGTAGAGCTACCTCATTCTTTGTAAGAGCTGCCTGGGGCTCGGTGAACACCCGCTCTATTAGATATTTAATCCGTCTCTCATTGATAACCATGTGGACCATTCTCTATTATAAAGGATGCCTCAACGATCTTTGTGTACTTAGGACTAAAGGATACATTCCTGGAAGGGCTAGGTCAGAGGGTATGCATATGATTCATTTCTAGTCAGTCATGTCTGTCATCTCTGCCTCCAAAATAGATCTCGAGGCCTCCTCCCTGTCCCCACCTCTGCTGCCACCTTCCTCTTTCACCTGCAACTGCAGCAAAGCTGGTAGCCCTGTTTCCATCCTTGTCCCACCTCCTAAAATCCACTTGGTATCCAAGAGCCATAGAGATCTTTTAAAAGCAGAAATCAGGCCAGGCGCAGTGGCTCGCGCCTGTAATCCCAGCACTTTGGGTGGCTGAGGCGGGTGGATCACCTGAAGTCGGGAGTTCAAGACCAGCCTGGCCAACATGGTAAAACCCCGTCTCTACTAAAAATACAAAAATCAGCCGGGTGTGGTGGCGGGCGCCTGTGATCCCAGCTACTTGGGAAGCTGAGGCAGGAGAATCGCTTGAACCCGGAAGGCGGAGGTTGCAGTGAGCCGAGATCGTGTCACTGCATTCCAGCCTGGGCAACAAGAGCAAAAATCCGTCTCAAAAAAATAAATTAATAAAAAATAAAAGCAGAAATCAGATAACATTGTATCTCTGCCTAGCACCCTTCAGCAGCTTCTCATAGGGCATAGAACAAAATCCACACTCTTCCCTGAGGCCCACAAAGCCCTGTCCCCCGTGACTGCTGCCTCCCTCTAGGGAACACATGCCTTCCAGCCGTTCCTGCCTCCTGGCCTTTGTCTCTGCTGTTCCTACCCCCAAGACAGCCTTGTGCCCCAGACACTACCAGGTAGCTCTTCATCACTCAGCCTTCCCTGACCACCATTCATCAGGGCTTGCTCAGCCAGTCGCCCTGTCACATCATCCAGACAAGGGCTTTCTTCACAGTCCTGGCCACCTCTGAAATGCCCCTGTTTATATTTCTTTATGCATTGCCTGCCTGTCTCCTCCCGCCCCACACTGTATGCTCCTATAAGGCCAGAGGTTTGCCATCTTGCTCTGCACTGCTACCTCTGCCCTTAGCACAGCACCTAAGCACATGAGCATGCATGAAGCCTTAATGAATGGTGGTTGCCTTATTGTCTTCCCCATTGGTTGGGCCATGACAGATGCAAGAGAGTCTGTGTTATGCGTGGATAATCTAGAAGGAGCAAGGAGGAGTGGCGGAGTGCAGAAGTCACAGCTATGCCACTTAATCGCTGTGAGAAGTTGGACCAGCATAAAGGCTGGTCACAGTTCCTCAAATTTGGGGGTATCTCCACAATTCAGTCACTCAGAATGTGGGGCTGCAACATAGTGACGGTCATGAAGAGGCCAGAGGAAGTCTCCTCAACTGACCATGGGTTCAAGGGTCCTAATGCCTCATCCAAATCCTTCCTGAAACTGGCCATGTTTGGTGGCTGCACTCTGCCTTAGACATCAGTTGGGACAATTTGGGGCCCTGGAACTGAGATTTCCTGGACAGTGACAGCAGTCTCCCAGCTAGGAACGTAATCCACAGTGACTGGGCAAGAGTAGGGGCTGCAGAGAGAGGGATGTGCCCATTGTTTTCTCACCCAGCCTTTCCCCCACCCCAGCAGAACAGAACCTAAGTTGACCTTATTTGAGAATTGGGAGTTGGGCCAAGCATAAGAGCCAATAGGCTATCTTGTTTTAACTAAATTCATGTTATCCCAGGGTTTTACTCTACCTATCTGTCTTACAGGGTTTTTCTGAGCATCAAAGGAGAGAAAGGGTTGAAAATGTTTTCTAGAGTACAGAGCATTATTCTACCGTAAAGGATTACTAGTTTTACAGCTGCCGAAATTGTTGTTAAACAGCAGGTCGCCTAGGAACTCATGTTGCCCTGGGAGGAGCAGTGAATCTGTTGCCCCTCCAACTGCCCACCACTGTCAGACTTTGAAGACATAAGCCATGACCTCAGTCTGGTTTGCATGAAGGTTGCGTGAACCAGCTCAATACACTCAATTAGGAGACCTGGTGTTATTTTTTAAAACACCAGTGGTGAACCCGCACTTGCTTTAATCGTTTCTCAGCCTTGACGTTTTGGCTGGATCATTCTTTGTTGTGGGGCTGTCCTGGACATTCTGTTATGTTTAGCAGCATCCCTGGTGTCCATGTAATAGATCCCAATAGGACACCTCTCCCCCAGTTGTGATCAAAAAAATCTCAAGTCATTGCTGGATGTCCCCTGGAGTTGGGTGGGGGGACAAAATTAGTCCCAGTTCAGACCTCTGCTTTAAAGCAATTCTGCAAGGTAGGGATTTGTTCATCTATTTTTATGGAT
The DNA here is from genome assembly GCF_000001405.40 of Homo sapiens. Lineage (NCBI taxonomy): Eukaryota > Metazoa > Chordata > Mammalia > Primates > Hominidae > Homo > Homo sapiens. The sequence goes on from NC_000016.10 coordinate 27,673,802, forward strand.
GTCAAGATGCAAGTCAGAGGAGGTAAGTAACTTGCTAAGGGTCCCATCACCAATGTCACCTCCAAGGTACATGAGGGCACTCTGCATCTGCCCACAGCCACCACCCAGTCATCAATGGAATCTATTCAGTCATTCAGCAGATACTGGTCGAGCACCTACTATGTGCCAGCCAGTGTTCTAGTTGCCCAGTAAATATCTGGGTATCTGGGTGTGGTGGCTCATACCTGTAGTCCCAGCTACACAGGAGGCTGAGGTGGGAGGCTCACTCGAGCCTAGGAGGTCGAGGCTGCAGTGAGCTGTGATCACACCACTGCACTGGGCAACAGAGATAATTAATTAATTTTATTAAATGTGTATCACCAATACTTGGTATCAAGGGATGAAAGGGGGAGAACTCTAAAAAGAGACAGCTGTATTCGTTTCCTATTTGCTGCTGTAACAACTTGCTGCAAACTTGGTGGCTTAGTTCTGGAGGTCAGAAATCCAAAATCAGTTTCACTGGTCTAAAATCAAGGCATTTAGCAAACCTGCACGTTGTGCACATGTATCCTAAAACTTAAAGTATAATAATAAAAAATAAAATCAAGGCATTGGCGGGACTGCATTCCTTCTGGAGGCTCGAGAGGAAAGCTCATTTCCTTGTCTTTTTCAGACTGTAGAGGCCACCTACATTCCTTGGCTTGTGGCCATGTCCTCCTGTTTCAAATCCAGCACTATAGCTCACTCCTCCCTGACCTCTGCTTCCATTCTTACGTATTCTCTATTTGATGTTGATCTTCCTGCTTCTCTCTCATAAGGACGCCTATGATTACACTGGACTCACCTGGATAATCCAGGCTCCTGTCCTCATCTGGAGATTCTTCACCTAATCATATCTTCAAGGTCCCTTTGCCCTGTAAGGCAGCATCTCCTCAGCTCCCAGGGGCTAGGATATGGACATCTTTGGGGGCTATTTATCCAGCCTACCACAGCCCACCCTCTGTCCCCCAAAGATTCACCTCCATACCACATGCAGAATACATCCATCCCATCCCAAGTTTTCCAAAACTCTCAATCCATTACCGTAACAACTCAAGTCCAGAATATCATCTAAGTCTCGTCAGCTCAAAACTCCAAAATCTCATCATCTAAATTGGTTATGGGTAAGACCCTGGGTATGACCTGTCTTGGGGCAAAATTTTTCTCATCTGTAGATGAGTGAAACTAGAAAACAAGTTATCTGTTCCCAAATACAATGGTGGATAGGTGTAGGATAACAGTTAACAACATTCCTGTATTAGTCTGTTCTCACACTGCTAATAAAGACATACCTGAGACTGGGTAATTTATGAAGGAAAGAGGTTTAATGGACTCACAGTTCCACGTAGTTGGGGAGGCCTCACAGTCATGGCAGAAGGCAAAGAAGGAGCAAAGTCACAGCTTACATGGTGGCAGGCAAGAGAGCTTGTGCAGGGGAACTCCCCTTTATAAAATCATCAGATCTTGTGAGACTATTCACTACCACAAGAACAGTATGGGGAAACTGCCCCTATGATTCAGTTATCTCCACCTGGCCCTGCCCTTGACACATGGGGATTATTACAGTTCAAGCTGAGATTTGGGTGGGGACACAGTCAAATCATATCAAAATTCCCATTTAAAAGAAGGGTAAATAAAAGGGAAAAAAGAGGAATCACCAAACCCAAGCAATTTTAAAGCCCAGCTGGGCAAACTGTTAGTTTTCAAGGCCTGGGAATAATTATCTGTGGTTCGGGGCTCTGTTCTCTTGGCCCACAGCTCCATCCTTGGAGTCATTCTTCCTTTTTCAGGAAGAGCAGCCTGTGTTTGTAGATGAGCCATTTCATCAGCCAATTTCCTGCCTGTAGAATTTTGGGGAGTCTGACAACCTTTCGTTTTGTTCTTTCTTTCTCCCATTCAGTCCAAGCTGGCAGTATTTCTCCTGGTATGACATTCTCAAAAGTCATGTGGGACTCCCATGTATGTCTCTAGGATTTGCTCCATTAGACAAGGGACTCCTCTGCAAATCTTTCCTGGAAAATCCCCTCTCTGTCCTGGCTTCTGCTGAAATGTCTAAGGGGATCCATGAGCCACATGTCTAATCTCCTGAAAGAGCCCTCCATACAAATGAATACTTTGCATTTTGCATCTTTCTGAGGTACAAGAAAAAAGGTTGTCCAGCCACACCTTTAGTTTTCTCTCCATAGCATACTTTTCTGACAGTGAATCTCCTAATTTTAGAATCTTCTGCAATCTGGATAGGCTGAAAATCATCCAAATTGCCAAGTCCTGGTTCCCTTTTCCTTAACAATTCTTCCCTCAGTCTGTCTCTTTCCTCTCACATTTTACTTTAAGCAGCAGGAGAAAAACAGACCAAATCTTCAGCACTTTGCTTGGAAATCTCCTGAGTTAAATATCCAAGTTCATGTCTTACATATTCTGCTTTCCACAGCACTGTAGGACACAATTCAGCTAAGATTCTACTGCTACATAACAGGATTCCCTGGGCTCCAGTTTTCAATTACATGTTCATTTCCTGAGTCCTCACCAGTGGTGCCTGTAACATCTATATTTCTATCATCGGTCTGTATAGGATGATTTCTCTAAGATGGTAAAAGTGTTCTATACACTCAAGGTGTTCCTCACTTCCTCCTGAGCCCTCAGGAGTTCACAGGTTCTAGGGATTAGGATGTGGACATCTTTGGGGAGCCCTTATTCAGCCTACTGCAATAACTATTAGGTTTATTGGTCAATTATCAAAGCTTTATTGATTGCTTCCCATTTTCTTAGAACTACATTGGATACTATATAGGCTACAAGGGGTAGTATAGCTAGGCTGACCAAACATACTGGTTTGCCCAAACAGTCCCATCTATATATATGTGTGCATGTGTGTGTGTGTGTGTGTGTATCTCCAGGCTAGAGTACAGTGGCAATCATAGCTCACTGCAGCCTCAACTTCCCAGGCTCAGGTGATCCTCCCACCTCAACCTCCCGAGTAGCTGGGACTACAGGCATGCATCACCATACTCAGCTAATTTTTGTTTATTTTTTGTAGAGACAGGGTCTCACTGTGTTGCCCAGGCTGGTCTTGAACTCCTGTTCTCAACCAGTCCTTTTGCCTCGGCCTCCCAAAGTGATGGGATTACAAACATGAGCCACTGTCCCAGCTCCGTTTATACTTTTTGTCCCAGTGTAAATATAGTAGTGCTCGCTTTCTCTCTGAAATGTCTTGGTTTGGGTGATTCATGTCCTGGTCACTCTAAATATAGATCTTAATGCTTAGCCATAAGGAATCTACAATTTCATGTAGACAAAAGAAACATGAAAAAAATCTTGAAGCAGTTGTAGTTAAGTGCTAAATAGTATGACATTTAGATGCCGCTCAACACCCTGCAATATGCAGGTCAGCCCCTAACAACTACCTGACAGACATTTTACCATCTGGAAGTTTAGGGTCATTTGGAGGCCTTTGGGAGTTCATATTTCAAAGTGTGGTCCCTGGACCAGCAGTGTCAGGATCACCTTATTAGAAATGTAAATCCTCAGGCCCCATCCCAGACCCACTGAATCAGTGGGTGGGACTCCACAATCTGTTTGAACAAGCCCCAGATTTTAACAAACCATATTGTCTGTTTCTCTCTCCCTCTCCTTCACATGTGCACTCCCCCCCACCCCACCTTCCCCCGGCATCTCCGGGATACAAACACCACAGTTAATATTAACAACATTGCTCTGTCCAGGGAGTTACTCATTTTCCCCTGCCCTTTGTTTTCTCGTCTTCAAAGCAGTGACATCACAAGGGTTGAGATAATATTGTTAAATGTTAGTTTGGGGAGAATAATTCTTTGGTTCAAATGATCTATTTTCAAATAAGTTTTTCTCAAGGTACCATATTTATCTCTCATCTCTCTTCTGGGCTTTTTGCAGGAGCTGAGAAGAAGCCTGGAACTTAGTGTAAATCTACAAAGGAAACAAAAGGATTGTTCCAGCGATGAGTATGACTCTATTGAGGAAGACATACTCTCTGAGCCTGAGCCAGAGGACCCGGCACTGGTGGGCCATCCCAGACATGACCGCCCTCCTTCCAGTGGCGACTGGACTCAGAAAGATGTTCACGGGGAACAGGAGACAGAAGGACGCTCTTCTCCAGGCCCAGACACCCTCGTGGTGCTGGAATTTAACCCAGCTTCCAAAAGTGAGCTCTGTCTTGTATATCATTTCTTTGCCATTGGTGTCTCTGCATCTAATAGCAGGACTTAAACTTCCAGTGGTCCTTTGAGTTCCTCTTTGGGTAGAGTGTCTCACAGGCCAGGGAGGTATATCAGTCAGGTCTCTGTTGATTGCAAGACGCAGAGCTTCCCAAAGGCTTCCTCAGGGCCCTGAAATTCCAGATGGTAAATTCCTGGCAGATAGTTGGAGGTGTCTGTTCTGTACACTGTAAGATGTTTTGCAGCATCTACATACCAGTTGGCTAATACAGACTAGCTTAAGCTAAGGGACTATTTATTGACTTGAGTAACTGAAAGGTTCTGAGATGTAGCAAGACTCATTTTCTCCCCTCTCCCTCTTCGTCTTCTTTTCCCTCTCCGTCTCCATCTCTCTCCCATCTCCCCTCTTCCCTCTCCTTTTCCCTTCTGGCCTCTTCCCTCTGTCTTCTCCCATCTCCCTCTCCCTCTTGCTCTCCTCCTTCTCTGCTTTCCTGTGTCTTGCTTCCATTCTTAGTAGACTATCCAACATACAAAGGCAGAATTGCCTTTAAATAAGACACTGACTTTGCAACCCCTCAGAAAGTGAATTTTTCTTTCCCAAAAGGCCCAGCAAAAGTCCCAGACCTGGTTCTCCAACCCACACGGGGTCACATGCTGTCTTGGATTGGATCACCGTGGCTCTGATGGGCCAGGTCCAGCCAATAGGACTAAGGGGTGTGGTTATCACCACCCAGCCACACGATAGTGCGGTAAAGCTCTCATCTCCAAAAGAAACTCAAGGTGAACCTGAAGGAGGGAGGATGCTGGCACGCAGAGACAGCAGTGTCCAATGGAGGAAGTTTGTCAAGAAAGATCTTGGAAAGTAGAACGAGCAAAACGATTGGTGAGGGGCAGGGAGGAGAGAGAAGGACTTGATGGGGAGAGGCCTACTTGCAACAGTCTTCATCCTCTGTTCCTAAGCTTTGACTCGGGCTGGCCTGGCCTCTGCCTGCACCTCTGTATCCTATTCATGTGCACCGTCAAAGCTGGGTGTGCCAAGAGAAGACAAACTTTTCTGAACCATGATGAACCTAAGGAAAGAGAAATGAGGGAATGTTTGGAATCAGACAGTGTGTCAGTTTGCGAGGGTTGTCATGACAAAGTACCACAGACTGGGTGGCTTAAACAGCAGGAATTTACTCTCTCATAGTTCTGGAGACTGGAAGCCTGAGATCAAGAGTCAGTTTCTTCTGAGGCCTTTTCCTTCTTTGTGGCTTGTAGACAGCCATCTTCTCCCTGTGTCTTCCTGTGGTCTTCCCTCTGTGTGTGTCTGTGTCCTAATCTCCTCTTCTTAGGAGAAGTTATATTGGATTAGGGCCCACCTATATGACCTTGTTTTTAGTTAATTACCTCTTTAAAGACCTTGTGCCCAAATACAGTCAGGGGTACTGGCGGCTAGGATTTCAATGTATGAGTTTGGAGGGGGCCAGGCACAGTGGCTCATGTCTGTAATCCCAACAGTTTCGGCAGCCAAGGCGGGAGGATCACTTGAGTTCCAGATCAGCCTGGGAAACATGGCAAGACCCCATCTCTACAAAAAAATGTTTTAAAAAATTAGCCAGACGTAGTAGTGCATACCTTTAGTCCTAGCTACTTGGGAGGCTGAGGCAGGAGGATCACTTAAGTCTGAAAAGTTGAAGCTGCAGTGAGCCGTGATCGTGCCACTGCACTGCAGCCTGGGTGACAGAATGAGACCCTCTCAAAAAAAAAAAAAAAAAAAAAGTTTGAAGAGGACACAGTTCAGCTCTGGAAAATCCACACCCAATAACTGACATCTCCAGAGAAGACATTTGTCCATCAGACATGCTCTCACCATGTTTGTTCTCACCCCAGACACTTGCTTGAGCTGTTCCCTCTGCCCAGATGACCACAGTCCCTTTCCTCTCCACTCAGAACCCTGAAACCTGGCTCTCTGCTTTTCCCTCCAGACCGCACTCAGAAGTTGCTTATTCCACAAAGCCTTCTTCACACTCCCACCACATCCACTTGGGCCAGCCCTCCCCCGTGCTCCCATAGCATCATCATGGCGCTGGGTTCACTGGCCCCAGTTGTCTTTCTCTCCACCCACCACACCTCCCCACCCACCAGCCTGTGGGCACAGGCTGGCTCTTACCCTCCACTTCTCCAGCATGCAGCACACGCCCAGCACATTGCAGCCCCTCAGGGAACCTTTGTCAAATAAACAAAGGTGTTAGGCGCACCTGCGGGAGCAGCAAGTGGTCAGGGCAGTGTTAATAATGGTCCCACGTGGGACCCACTGGGCCTGCAGACAGCATGGCTGCAGGGGAGACGGGGAGGGAGGGGACAGGGCTCTAAAGAGGTGACTGAGTCTCCACCCTGGAAAAGCAGGGGACCTGACAGTCATTCCTGGGTGTGAAGAACCAGGCCACAGAACAGCTGATGCCAGCACAGTTCGAGTGATACTGGGGCATAAAGTGAGAAGAGAGAATTTGAATTTCTTGACATTTTTCATGTTTTGTTTTGTTGGTTTTTTCTGAGATAAGGTCTTGCCCTGTCACCCGGGCTGAAGTGCAGTGGCACTATCATAACTCACTGCAGTCTCAAATTCCTGGGAGGGATCCTCCTGCCACAGCCTCCAGAGTAGCTGGGACTACAAGCACGTGCCAACACATCTGGCTTTTTTTGCAGAGGGAGGGTGGGGCGGGGAACGAAGTCTTGCTCTGCCCCCCAGGCTGGAGTCAGTGGCACAATCTCAGCTCACTGCAACCTCCATCTTCTGGGTTCAAGCAATTCTCATGCCTCAGCCTTCCAAGTAGCTGGGATTACAGGTGCTTGCCACCGTACACAGCTAATTTTTGTATTTTTGGTAAAGACAGAGTTTCACCATGTTGGCCAGGCTGGTCTCAAACTCCTGACTTCAGGTGATCCACCCGTCTTGGCCTCCTAAAGTGCTGGGATTAGAGGCGTGAGCCACTGTACCCAGCCTATTTTGTTCATTTTTTGCTAGAGACAGGGTCTCACTATGTTACCTAGGCTGGTCTTTATCTCCTGGGCTCAAGCAGTTCCCCCACCACAGCCTCCCAAAGCACCGGGATTACAGGTGTGAGCCACCGCCTGGCTGCCTAGCCAGGAAACATTAAAATTTGAAAACCTGTGCATGTCCTAGAATCTTTTATGTACTTACCAAAATGTGGTGCTGGGCACACCATGACTCTCAGCAAACTTGTTTCGTCGCCTGCATTATTCACATCTCTAATCCCAAACTGCACAAAGTAGTTCCGTAGACATTTGTTGAATGAGTAAGTGAATGAATGATGAACAAATGCCTGAACAGAATGCCCAACTTGCTTGCGCTCAGCGTCTTACATGAAACAATTGTTTTCCTACAGGTCATAAAAGGGAAAGGAATTTGTCTGCAAAGCGGAAGGACAATGCTGAGGTTTTCGTTCCCACCAAACCTGAGCCAAACCTGACTCCCCAAGCTCCTGCTGTATTCCCAGACCAGGAGAGGATGTGCTCCAGTAAGAGTTCCGGGGGCCCCTGAGCAGGGGAGCAGGGCTGCGACTGGGTCACTCTCTGGGGTGCCATGATGGGAGGCCGCACTTCATTACCCTCCTTGCAGAGGGCTAGCTGCCCTTTAGCAAATGTATTAGTCAGGGGTCTGCAGAGGAACAGAATGAAAAGGATATGGAGGGAGAGTGAGAGAGAGAGCTTAGGATAAGGAATTGGCTCATGCAGTTGTGGAGGAGCGAGTGCGCTGTGCAGGAAGAGCCTATGTCAGAGGTGAAGTCCAAGGCAGTTGACTGGAGAAGTCACCCTCACTTGGGGGAGGGCTGGTCTTTTTGTTTGATTCAAGCCGTCACCTGATTGGCCGAGGCCCACTCACATGGTGGAGGGCAATCTGCCTTACTCTCCTGATGAATATGTTAATGTCATCCAAAAATGCTCCTTCAGAAACACTCAGAATAATATTTGACCAGATATCTGGGTTTCCTGTGGCCCAGTCAAGCCAACGCATTAAAGTAACCATGAGAGTGATTTTCTGATTCCACCACCAAGGTGTGGTTATCATTGAAAATTTCTTTTATTTTTGTTTTACTCTTAAATGAACTTGCTTACTTCAGATGAGTAATAATATGTGCAAATGGTACACAATTCTGAAAGTACAAAAGAGTCGATGGTGAACAGACCAGCTTTGTCTATGTTCTAATGACATGAGAGGTTACATTTATTCACTACTTAGGATGACCCAGCCACTATCGTAAGCTTTTACTTCTACCATCTCACATAATCCTTATAACTAGACTTTAAGGTAGGTTCTGCAATTGTCCCCATTTCACAGACGAGGAACTGAGGCACACAACGTGCAAGTGGCAGCTGAGGCTTTGTAGCAGGGGCTACCATGTTGGTTTACATTTCAACAAGATTCTTCTGGCTGCCACGTGGAGCCTGGCCTATAGGGAGCTGGGGAGGATGCGAGGTGACCAAGGAAGAGACCAGGTGGTTCAAGATGTAGAGGGTGGGGGCTCAGTCTCGATGTTACCAGGGGATGGATCCAGACAGTAATTGGGCTTGCTAAGGAGCCAGTTGTAGGTATGAGATTAGTTGTGACTTTCTATCCTAAATAACCTAGGGTAAGAACCTGGGCGCTGGGGAGCCTACAGTGATGGGGGGCCATGGCTTATCATGTGGCTGGGTGGCATGGTTTGAATATTTGCCCCCTCCAAGACTCATGTTGAAATTTAATCCCCAATGTGGCAATACTGAGAGGTGGGCCCTTTAAGATGTGAAGAGGTCATGAAGGCTTGTCCAGTGGATTAATGCATTCATGGGTTAATGGATTAAAGGGTTATCATGGGAGTGGGACTGGTGGTTTTATAGGAAGAAGAAGAGAGACCTGAGCTAGCACACTCATCCCCTCACCATGCACTGCCTCGAGACTCTGCAGAGTCCCCACCAGCAAGAAGGCCCTCGTCAGATGCGGCACCCTTGACCTTGGACTTCTCAGCTTCTATAACTATAAGAAATAAATTCCTTTCCTTTTGATATTACCTAGTTTCAGTTATTCTGTTATAAGCAACAGAAAACAAGATTAAGGCACTGGGATAGGATTTGAGTCTGTGTCACTAGCAAAGGAGACTGAGGCAACCCAGGTCCCGGAGTTGGGATCTGTGCATGCACAAGCCATGCAGTACCAAGACCCCTGTCCTAAGTCTCTGATCTGCATCCTGCTTCAGCCTGTAGTGACCAGGAAGAACTGTGGCTAACTGGAGCCTGCATCCCAGTGGGGCCTTCAAAGTACCACAATCAGAGTGGCTTAAACAATGGAAATGTATCATCTCACAGTTCTCGAGGCTGGAAGTCTAAATTCAAGGTGTTGGAGGAGCCAGACTCCAGTGGGGCAGAGCTATCCCCAAACTGGTTCCTGGGGACTTTTTGGTGGGACCCAGAGCCTGGAAAGAGGCCTGCCTGGGGCCCGAGGAAGGTAGGAGTGGGAGGCAACCCCTGTCGGCATGTCAAGGTTCCTGCAGCCAATAGCGTCACAGAGTTGTCACATTGTTAACTAGATAATGGAGAAATGATCTGTAGGGGAAAAGAGCCAAATAGAACATGAAAGATGTCAGAAAAGTCTGGCGAATTTTGATTCTGTCAACTTTGGTGAGATGGGAGCTGGGAAAGGGAGAGAGAGGAGAAGGAGGTATGGGGCGAGATAAAGGCCTGAGTCTGCTTTCGGAGCTCCCTCAGCAGGTGGGGAGTAGGGGTGGCAGTCCCAGGTGCCATTGTTCCTTCTGCATCTCCTAGATTGGCCTCACCGACTGCTGTTCAGGTTGACAAGCCTCCAGTCTATCCTGCTGGTACTGTCTTCACTATCTGAACCAATCTAAATGGCTTTTCAGAAGTTCCTCCAAAACAAGTTGGTAAAAAAGTATGCCACTGCACGAACCCCCCTAGAGCCCCTAGTAGGGCAGGAGTGGCACGGTGGTGGTCGTGTACCTTTCCCAGCATCCTACTGAGCTAACTGGGACTTCCCTCCTTTGTATATGTGCCAAGATTGCTATTTTTTCCATATTCAAGTAACAAAATTAAGGGTCAGTACTTACAAAGCACTGAACTAGCTCCCAAGCTGTGTGTAGGACTACATATGTAATCTTGCATTTAATCATCCACACAGCCCCGTGCAATAGGTACTGCTATTATCAATATTATTGTACAGAGGAGATGGAGGCACAGAGAGGTTAAGGAATCTGTCCAAGATCACACAGCCTGTAAGTGATGAAGCCAGTATTTGAGAACCTGGGCTGCAGAATCTCTGCTCTTAATTACTCCACTATAAGCCCCTCTTGTGCCAACTAAACTATTATTTGCTTAATTACCCACATTAATTACCACTTAATTAATACCCACGTCAGCCTAGTCCTAAGCAGTAACATGCCTGAAAATCAGAGGTTTGAGTCACTTGTTATACTTTTTTCTCATGCTCATCAATATATATATATTAGTATTTTAAAAGTTGAACCATGTATCAACTAAAATCATCTGGCATAGTGCATTAGCTTGCTAGGGCAGCCATAACGAAGTACCACAATCAGAGTGGCTTAAGCAATGGAAACGTATCATCTCACAGTTCTCAAGGCTCCAAGTCTAAATTCAAGGTGTTGGCAAGGGCCATTTTCTGAAGGCACTGGGGGGTAGTCCATTCCAGGCCTCTCTCCTAACTTCTGACAGTTCCTTGGCTTGTGGCAACATAACTCCAATCTGTACATGGTATTCTCCATGTATGTCTCTGTCTCTGTGTCCAAATGTGCCATTTTTATAAAGACAGATGAATGCCCAACCTAATGACTTCATCTTAACTTGATCATCTGCAAACACCCTATTTCCAAATAAGGTCACAGTCACAGGTACTAGGGGTTAGGGCCTCAATGACCTTTTTAGGGGACACAATTCAACCCATAATATATGCTTTCATGTCTAGCACTTTGAGAAATAGAGCTTAATTAATTTATGATCTGCCTTTTTCCAAAAAGTTCTGACATGGACTAACAAAGTTTTATATACAGTGAGTAGTGCAAGACTTTGAAAAGTATTTGAGGAGGCCAGGCGCAGTGGGTCATGCCTGTAATCCCAGCACTTTGGGAGGCCAAGGTGGGTGGATCGCTTGACCCCAGGAGTTCAAGACCAGCCTGGGCAGCATGGCAAAACCCCATCTCTACTAAAACACACACAAAAAATTACCTGGACATGGTGGCACGCACCTGTAATCCCAGCTACTCGGGAAGCTGAGGCAGGAGAATTGCTTGAACCCGAGGGGCAGAGGTTGCAGTGAGCTGAGATTGGACCACTGTACTCCAGCCTGGGCAACAGATCGAGACTCTGTCCAAAAATAAATAAATAAAAAATTTAAGAAAATGAAACTAGAGAGAAAACAAGAGTAGAAAAATAAGATGAAACCAGGGGGTGAACAAATGAATGCCTAAAGTAGTCACAGCTGTAACACTGAGCTTCCTGGCCACCATGGCAAAGAAGCATGCGTTCATACAAAAAATGCATGTCACTGGGTCCATTTAATAAAGATCAGATTACCAGCTATTCCTGGTATTTAGTTCTTAGGGTAGTTTGTTCCATCAGTACTCCTAAAGAGGACACTATTTGAGGTAGTGGAATTCTTATTTTGAACAGGTTTGGAGCTCAGCCTTTGCTTATTCAATATACTTGGCTCTAACATAAGTCAAATTTGAAGAAAGAGTTCTGTGGCTAAGAGGAAAGCTGAAAAGCCTGGCATTGTCACTGCTCTCACACTGAAATGGGATTATGGTAGAGCCACATCTCACCTAGATATTAGGCTGTAAAGGAAGTAAAAAGTGCAGGAGACCAGAGTTACCGTTAGAAATCCCTCAAATTGATGATTAAGTGCAGCATGTATTGGTTTATACAGATGACCTCATACAGATACATGAACTCTCAGTAAGCCCAAGACAGTCTGTCTCTCCTCCAGTGTGGGAAAAATCACAGCTTCTTGGCTGAGCCCCAGAAGAAGCAGCTGGCCTTGTTTAGGGTCAGGGTTGTAGGGGAAATGTGTGTTTTTAGACACTGGCATCATGCTCAGAACACTGGGATGTTCACACCACCAGAGACACAAGGAACCTGAAACTTCCTAAAAGTGCAGCAGAATCACAAACCAACTCACTCTCCTCAAGGCAACATCTGGAGGGTGGGCTGCTTGTATGCTTTACTCTGTATCTGGGGTCGGGGAGGGATGTCTTTTTTGGTACATACAGAATTTGACTTTTTATATCTTCTAAGGGAATTGAACCTTTTATCATTATGTGTTGTTTCTCACTCTAGTAATGCTTTTTGCCTTAAAGTCTACTTTGTCTGATATAAAGCTACTCCGGCTTTCTTTTGGTTAGTATTTGTATGGTGTACTGTTTTTTATCCTTTCAGTTTCAAACTTTCTGTATCTTTATATTAAGGTTTGTCTCTTATAAGCAGCACGTAATTGGTTTTTAGTTTTATCCTCTAACAATCTATGCGTTTTAATGGGAGCATTCAGTCCATTTATGTTTAATGTAATTGCTGATATATGTGAGTTTACATCTACTATCTTATTGTTTGCTTTTTATTTGTTTTTCCTGTTTTATGTTTCTCTTTCTCTCCTTTCTTGCCTTCCTTTGAACTGATTGCTTTGTATTATTTCTCTTTTTTCCTGTCTATTAGCTTGTTAGTTATACATTCTTTTTTTATTATTATTCTAGTCATTACCAGAGATTACAACATGCATTCTTGACTTACTAGGGTTTACTTTAAATTAGCAAGTTTACCACTTCTCATTTATTGGAAGTATCTTACAAACTCTAACTCTATTTTTTCCTTTCCCAACTTAAATACTGTTGTATGCATTTTAATTCTCTCTAGCTTTTAAACACCACTAGACATTATTTCTAGTGATTATTACTACTGATTATTATTAGTAGTAGACATTATTACTACTGATTATTATTTTATATAATCAGCAGTAATTTGGATTCGCCCACATTGTTAACCTTTCTGTGCCCTTCACTCCTGGCTACTTCCAGGTCACCCTCACTCCCAGACTGTAGCCTCTGAACCTGTTGCCAGCTCTGCTCAGCTTCCCAGCCTTGTGGCAGCTCTCATCAGAATCAGTAGCACCTTAAGAGGAAAGGCCTCCAAGACGTTGGGTCTACATCTCTGAGTTTCTTTCTCCAGTCTACTATATCCCTGTAATTCTTCACAGCCCTGTTCATTCTCCATGCCTTCAAACGATCTCTTTTTTTTTTCAAATAGATTTTTTAAATATTTAAAAATATTTTCTAGGTTTCCTAGTTGTGTTCCAGCAAGAGGTTGGTCTGAATTAGATAGTCTGCTATTCCAGAAGTGTAACCTTTTGCTTGTACCCCATAAAGAGTTATTTCTCCCCTTGCCCCTTTTTCTTAGACTAAGCCCATAAAATTGAATTTGTGTCAATTAAATGTGTGTGTGATGCAACTCCAAGAGAGCTTCATTCCTTTCTATCACTGCAACTGTCCCTAGTTCTAATGAAAGGGCCTCATGTCCTCTATTGCTCCAACCTCAATCCGTAAGCCTTCCAGAAAAGCTAATATAATCTCCTTCTAGAAACCTGTTGTCTTCTTGAGGGTGAAAGAACATTAGTCTTTAATGCAGAAAGTTTACTGTCCAAGTTGTCACAGTGCTCTAGGGAAGTGATATATCTGAACCACTTTTCCCAGACAAGCTGCCAACCACAGAAATAAAGCAACACCCCTCAGTGTGAGTGAATTAGAGGAATTTGACAGCCCTGTACTTAGTGTTCCTGTCAGGAAAACCTGCAACAGCAAGACCATTCTGCCAAAGTCCAGAGACTCTTAATATATTAGCCAGCGTTCATTAACAGTAAGTGACAGAAACCCTAATCAGCCCAAGCAACAAAGGAGAATGTCTTGCTCACAGACCTAAAAATTCCAGAATAGTAGAATTGGCCTCAGGGATGGTGGGATCCTGGTGCTCAGATGGTCTCTCGGGAAGCTGTTTCATCACTTAGCTTTACACTTCTCTAGCCCAGTGGTTCTCAAACTTGGACATGCATCAGAATTACTTGCAAAGCCAATTAAAACACAGATTGTTGGCCAAGCATGGTGGCTCACACCTGTAATCCTAGCGCTTTGGGAGGCTGAGGCAGGAGACTCATTTGAACCCAGGAGTTCAAGACCAGCCTGGGCGGTGTAGTGAGACCTTGTCTCTATTTTGTTCTTAAATAAAATAATAATTAAAATAATCAGATTGGCCGGACATGGTGACTCACACCTGTAATCCCAGCACTTTGGGAGGCTGAGGAGGGTGGATCTCCTGAGGTCAGGAGTTCAAGATCAGCCTGACCAGTACGGTGAAACCCCATCTCTACTAAAAATACAAGTTAGCCGGACATGGTGGCGGTCACCTGTGGTCCCAGCTACTCAGGAGGCTGAGACAGGAGAATTGCTTGAACCCGGGAGGCAGAGGTTGCAGTGACCCAAGATCGCACCACTGCACTCCAGCCTGGGCAACAGAGTGAGACTCCGTCTCAATAAGTAAAATAAAATAAATCAGATTATTGGGCCCCAATCCCAGAATTTCTGCTTCAGTGTGTCTGAGGTAGAGGTAAGTGTTTTAATTCCTAGCAAGTTCCCAGGCGATCCTGACATTACTGGTTTAGAGAACACACTTTGAGACCCATGTCTCTAGTTACTACCAGGCAGGCATTTCATTGATGGCCTAGAGATGGCCCCCAGTGGCTCCAGGCTTCCTTTACTATCTGCTTTGCAATCCCCAGGTGAGAGAGACAGTTCTTTTCTTAGTTCAAGAACCAGCTCTCTCCTGAACCAGCCTCCCTCCTCCATGGTCAGGGAGAGGTAGTCTGGCATGGCCCAGGCTGAGCCAGAAGTGGAGTCAGATCTGCAAAGATCCACTACAGCCAGGGCCAGGAGTGGGGTCATAGCCACCCAAAAGGCTGAGAAAGGTGAGGAAAGAATGGTTCCCTGAAGGAAACCATAGGTGCTGTGAAGATCATAGTGCCAGGTAGACAAAAGCCACTGCTATCCATTTCATATAAAAATGAACCACATAGGTGGCCAGGCGTAGTAGATCATGCCTGTAATGCCAGCATTTTGGGAGGCCAAGGCAGGTGGATCACTTGAGGTCAGGAGTTTGAGACCAGCCTGGCCAACATGTCAGAACCCCATCTCTACTAAAAATATGAAAATTAGCTGGGTGTGGTGGCATGTGCCTGTAGTCCCAGCTACTCAGGAGGCTGAGGTTGGAGAATCACTTGAACCTAGGAGGTGGAGGTTGCAGTGAGATCACGCCACTGGACTCCAGCCTGGATGACAGAGTGAGACTCCGTCTAAAAAAAAAAAAAAGTCAACCACATAGGACATTTTGCCACAGATTCTACGGAGGCAGTGTAGAGCAATGGACTGTAACATCCAAGAGTAGAAGTCATTTAGTCTGGGGGCCTTGATTGCTGTCCTTGAAAATCACCCGCACTCCTGGGCTCAGGGAGAGACAGTGGCAGAATGATGACAGGGCTGCAGACAGCACCTGCCATCAAGAAAAGTCCCAAAAGCAGCTTTAGAGATGAGAAGAACACAGGCCTTAACAAGCCAGGTCTGTCGGCTAACTATTACTGCCTGACAACCCACCCCAAAATGTAGTGGCTTAAAACAGCAACCGTTTTATGATTGCTCATGAGTCTGTGGGTGGACTGGGCTGTTCTGTAGTGAGCTAGCAGGTGGCTGGGCCAGATGGTCTAGGACAGCCTTACTCACATGTCTGGCAGTTTTGTTTGTCCTGAGGACCTTGGCTAGGACAGCCCATCTTGGCCCCATAGAGTCTTATTCTCTAGCACTGGTGATTTCAGGGCAGCAAGAGAGGACAAGCCCATGCCTGGGTGCTTTTTAAAGACTGCTTGGTCATGATTGCTAATGTCCTGTTAGCCAAAGAAAGTCACCAGGCAGGGCCGGCTGCAGTGCCTCATGCGTGTAAGCCTAGCACTTTGGGAGTCCGAGGCGAGAGGATCACTTGAGCCTGGGAGTTCAAGACCAGCCTGGGCAACAAAGTGATACCTCATCTCTACAAATAATAATAATAATAATAATAAAACTAGCTGGGTGATGTGGTGCATGCCTGTGGTCCCAGCTACACAGGAGGCTGAGGCAAGAGGATGACTTGAGCACAGGGAAGTCAAGGCTGCAGTGAGCCATACTCATTCCATGGCACTCCAGCCCGGGTGACAGAGTGAGACCCCATCTCAGATAGATAGATAGATAGATAGATAGATAGATAGATAGATAGATAGATGATAGATAGATAGATAGATAGATAGAAAAATAAATAAAAATAAAATGAAAGCCACCAGGCCAAGCCCAGCTAGAGAAACAGACACTAGCTCCTAATGGAAAATGCTGCAAAACCACATTGCAGCGGTCCACATACAGGGGTGGGAGGAATTCGTGGCCACTTGTTGCAGTTCCCGATGCCATAGGAAGCAGGTAGCCTGATGACGTTGGCCCATTTGGAAATGCATGGAGGCTTTGGAGCACTCAGGCCTAGAACATTGTCCCAGGGCACACTCTCCCTTCCCCACCTCCCTCTTGGCTTTTAGAAGTGAGTGTGGACATCTGAAGACAAAACAAGGCTATGTCTACCATTTCCCTGGACTTTTTGCCACACAACATAGTGTACAGTTTCAAGGCCTACCAGGCATGTGACCACAGGGAGTGGGGTGCACTGTGGAAACTGGAGCATTTCAGCCCTGTCGAAAGGGGGCGCCATCACCTAGCTCCAGCCGATGGTTCCCACATATGAATACTGTTCCAGGGTTGCCAGATGGTATTACTTTTCAGGAGATGCCAGGAATCCCAATTTTCAGGTGGATTTCCTTTTTTTTTGAGCTTGGCATCTATTTTCAATTTTTCTAAAAAAGTGAAAGTGACACAATACATCTCTGTAGGCAGGTTATGCCTGTGGGCTGCCGGTTTATGATTGCTATAATAGACCCTTGTTGTCCTTAAATTTCATATTCGCCATTTCGGTGGCTTCCCAGGTGACCTCCAAGGCCCCTTGCATGTAGAAAGGGGTAATTTTGCTGAGACTCTGAATTTGAGCTTTTCAAGTCACAGCTGGTGGCTGGTGAGCCGACCGGCAGCCTCGTGCCCTCACGTCTTCTGTGTGACATGTGTTGCATTCATGGTAAATTTCCTGAATTGATACACCTTTTGTTTCTCTGTGAGAGAGAAGAAAGCCAAACACTGGTGAAGTGAAGATAAAGCAAAGTTATCGGAAGAGGGATGGTTCTCAACCAGAAAAGAGCAGTTTGGGAGAAGTTAAAATGTGCAATTTGGCTTTTGCTGGTGGCACAAATGGACTGTGTGAATAGATCCACCATCCTCTAGGTCTGTGATGGGAATAAATCCACCATCATGGGGTATTCAGGCTAGCATTCGCCCAAGTGAGCGATGAGAGCATCAAAAAGAATTAAAAGGTGGTTACCTCGTGTGCACGTGTGTGCGGTGTGAGGGAGTGCACAGAGGGAACGTGATTTTGGAGAACTGGGGCGCCATGTAGGACGGTTCTGGAAAGCCAGGATGGGAAAAGCTCTGGTAGTGGAGCTGCAGCATTGACCTTCACTTGGAGAAAGGGTGATTTAATTTTTAAAAGCATGTTCTTAGCATAATATGACTCAAAGGGCACAGACAGCACCTGATGATCATGTTGCTGGAGGAGCATTTCCTCCCAAATGAAAGACGCTCAGGGGCAAAAGGGTCTGTGCAGATAAAACTGGTCTCTACTGGAGAAAGATGCCTTTGTGACTCTCCTTGTCCAAGAGGAAGTGAGCATAGGGCTGCAGCAGCCAAGGACAGATCATCCCGCCTGCTCACAGGTCATGAGACGAGCTTCCAAGCTATCTCAGAGGCCTCTTGTTCCATCCCAGCCCCAGACTGATGAGGCATAAGAGGAACAGGCTCTTGCCCAAAGATTGGCAGTAAAAAGATAAGGGTCACCACATGGTTCTTTTTAGACAAATTTTATAAGTGCTTCATGCGGGAAATGGTGAATGAGCTTGTGAATTTCAGGTTCTACTTGTCCTGGTGCTGCCCAAGCCTTCTACCAATGCTGGTGTTTGCACCCCACGTGTCAGGTGCTGGTGCATTTGTTTAGCTTTGACACAATCTTGGTCCCTTATTTATGGAATTGTCTATAGGGTCTAAAGGGAGCTTGATTTTTTCAACTGTGCTTTACTACAGATGATGGAGAGAACCATGTGGTTGGGTGATATTCACAAATACTTAGATTTACAAGGTTTGGGGTTTAAGTCATTTTTCATCCATCCATTTAGCAAAAATTATAATGCCAGGTGTCAGGGATACAACAGTAAACAAGATGGGTATGACCTCATGAAGTAGCTGAGGCTCTACAAGAACTGAGCCCGCAACCTCTCCACCCTCGTTGCTAACCATCCTTCCCCTTGCCCCCCATTCCAGCCCCCTTGCCACTCCTCAGTGTGCTGAGCTTGACCTACCAGGGCCTGGCACCTGCTGTTCCAGGCGAAGGGAAGAGCAGGGTATTCCCAGGGCTCACCGCCTTCGTGTCCCCACTCAGATATCCTCTTCCCAGATGGTACATCTCAAATGACAGTGCGTCCCCTCCCATCATGAGCAGCCCCTTACCCTCTGCATGTACCTGACCCATGTCTGTCTCTGCTTTGTGACTACAAGGTCAATGAGGGCAGAAAGTGTGCCCGTTCCTCCGACCCCTGTACTCCCACACCAAGAGCAGCATCTCACTCAACCAAAGAAGCTCACAGCATAGTGCAGGTCGTAAGCCTGGTAACGAAGTACCTTTGACTTTGTGGATAACTCATTTCTGCGTTAGGGGCGAGGGTGTGTCTATACTTTGGGGTGTTTTGGCTTCAGCTCCAGTATAGCTCAAAACCACATCCTTCAGCTTCCTTCACTCCTTTTGTGGTCCTCCTGGCTATTTCAGGACCTGATCCTTTTTGCACTGAGTAAGGAAGATACTGGTGAGATCTTCCCCATCCTTTTACCTGTTGCTTGTTTCCATAACAATAAGAATCTGCAACATAGCTTGCTAAACAGAGTTTCTTCCAAACCTCATTCTCAGCCCATGTTTGCTTTACTTTCTCATCTCTCCTGTTGCCCAGCAGGCCAAGTGACAGATGAGAAGGGCAAAGCAGCCTCCAGTGGGCGAGCAGAATCCCTGGCTCACATGTCTGGCAGCTCCTTACCTCTCTGTCCTCAGGAGCAGCATCAGGGATGATGACAAGAGACAGTACATCAAAGTCTGAAAATGGCCCACTTGATTTTTTCTTTTCTTTTTTTTTGAGATGGAGTCTCGCTCTGTGGCCCAGGCTGGAGTGCCGTGGCATGATCTCGACTTACTGCAACTTCTGCCTCCCGGGTTCAAGCGATTCTCCTGCCTCAGCCTCCCAAGTAGCTGGGATTACAGGCGCCCGCCACCATGCCTGGCTAATTTTTGTATTTTTAGTAGAGATGGGGTTTTACCATGTTGGCCAGGCTGGTCTTGAACTCCTGACCTCAGGTGATCCACCTGCCTCAGCCTCCCAAGGTGCTGGGATTACAGACGTGAGCCACTGCGCCTGGCCCCACTTGATGTTTATTGCTCAGAGCAGCCATCCACAGGTGCTGTGAAGGTTCCTCTAGGTGCCTTGACCCTTCTCAGGGAGCAGCTGGGACGTGCCCTGGCCTGTACTAGAACAGCCAGTGGGTTCTGTTGGCCCTTACAACATTTCTTAGAAACTGGAAGACATTATGAACAAATAAAATTCAGGGGATTTCACATATATTTCAGATGGTAGCTTTTCTTGGGGGAAAAAAAAGCATTTGGTAACACTAGGAGCACAGTCCCATAAGGCAAGGATTGTCTGGAGCTGGGAGGTAGGTGGCTTCTATTCAGTGGCACTCGGCCCCTGGCATTCAGTGACACTGAGATGGTTCTTGGGGCATTTGCACTCACAGCCCCTTTCTTGGGTGCCTGGCAGAACTTGCTATTCCTTCATTTTAGCTTAGCATTCCCATAAAAACCTACCATCATCCCCATCAGCCCAGTGCCTGGCTGTCCTGGAAAGCAGCCCAGTAGAGCCTCCAGGTGTCTCCTGCCTTCTCCTGCCAGTGACATTCTTGATGTTGCTACCTGAACATTCAGACACAGCATTCTAATGGGGCGTAGCAAGAGAGTCAAGTGCTTCGACAGGAGCCCTTAATAATCAACAGCTGATGGTTTGCTAAGGTCCTGAGAATGGAAGCATGCTGTTTTTCAGAAAGCCTTGTACCAGGTCACAAGTATACATAGATCCCCCAAGATGTCATACCTGTAAATTTCATTAGTTTGTTTTAGGCCAACATTAATACCAATCTTTGATACCCTTAAATGATCCAATCCAGTTGCCTATGTAAAATTTACATCTCCAGGCCAGGCACGGTGGCTCATGCCTGTAATCCCAGCACTTTGGGAGGCCGAGGTGGGTGGATCACTTGAGTCCAGGAGTTTGAGACCAGCCTGGGCAACATGGTGAAACCCCGTCTCTACAAAAAATACAAAAATTAGCTGGGCATGGTGGCGCATGCTTGTAGTCCCAGCTACTCAGGAGGCTGAGGCTCAAGAATTGCTTGAACCCCAGAGGTAGAGGTTGCAGTGAGCCGAGATTGTGCCACTGCACTCCAGCCTGGACAAGGGAGACCCTACCACAATAAATAAATAAATAAATAAATAAATAAATTTACATATCCAGCCTAGACTCTCTCAAACTCTGGATTCCTGCGTGCACAGGTCAACTCAGCAGCTCTGTTCTGATGCCACACTCACATCTTGAACCCAGCTTGTCCCAAATTGAGCCCTCTGCTCCTCCCAAACTTCCTCTACCCACAGCCTTCCACAGCTCAGCTGAAAGCAACCCCGTCTTCTACTTCAAGCCATCACTCGTGGAGTCACCTGTAACTCCTCTCTTCCTATCCCATCCACAGCTGGACTGTTAGGAAGTCCTATTGGCTCTGTCTCTGGCAGATGCCTGTAATCTGACCACATTCTGTGTCCCCTCCTCCACCGCTGTTGCCTCCTGTCTCCTGGACAACTAGTAGCCCCTGGCCATCTCCCTGCTTTCACCTCCTTTCAGTCTCTTCTCCACTCTGCACCTACATCAGATCTGGTCTTCTGCTCTGAATTCCTCAGTGGCTCCCCATTTCCCGCAGAGCATGGGCCCTACAGTGCCCTGCAAGGCCCTGCATGACCTGCGCTCCCCCAATCCCTTTCAGGCCTTCTGTCAACCTATACCCCTGCTGGCTCCGCTCCAGCCCCATGGGTACCTAGCTGCTCAGAGAACACATCACACGCCTCCCATCTTTGCGCTGGTGCCTGGAGCACACTTCCCTGGTCCTCTGCGAGGCTCTCTCTGCCCCTGATATCCACACTCCAGATCTCCCTTACCCCGATCTGCTTTGCATGGTTTTTCATGTCAGTTTCCACATCAAACTCTGTGTTTTAAATTTATTATTTCTCCAGCTTATGGTCTCTCACCATGTGAGTGGGGGACTTGGTATCTCTGGTCACTGCTGTGTCGCCAGTGCCAAGAACAGAGCCTGGCACAGATAAATATTTCCCCAAGGGTTGAGATTCAGTAGGTAAACTCTTTAAGCACCCCAAAGAAATATTTGGAGCAGCTCTATATTTTAATGGAGTATGTTTTAATATGAAAAAAATCCAAACATAAATAATTGAGAGGATGTTACACTGACCTCCCCTCCCCGCCCCAATGTATCCATCCATTACCCATCCTTGGCAATAATCAATTTACAGGCAATTTCATCTCGTCATCACCCCTACCCATTCCCCAGATTTTTAGGAAGCAAATGGAAGCCTTCATATAATTTTACCTGCAGATATTTTAGTATTCTTTTCTTTTTAGAGCGTCATTGTACTCTGTTGGGTGGGTGTACCATAATTTATTAGATGCTTAGTTTTATTAGGTGCTTCTTTTATATCACTGTATATTTTATAAAACCATCTTTCCATTCATGGGAACTTCCAGAATCAACTGCAACTTTGCAATACTTGTTTTCTTAAATTGGGGTGTTATTACTTTGTAATTCTTGTTACCCGTGCAAAAGTAAAACAAAAAAGCAATAATATTGCAAAATACCCATCCTTCTTCCTAACATTATATATTATTCTTTACAGGTATTCTGTAAGAAAGTTAATTTTTTAAATAAGTTTTTGTTTTGATGCAATTTTATTTTTTATTTTTATTTTTTTAACTTTGAGTTTCAGGAATACATGTGCAGGTTTGTTACATAGGTCAACTGCATGTCACAGGGATTTGGTATACAGATAATTTCATCACCCAGGTAATAAGCATAGTACCTGATAGGTATTTTTTCTGGTCCTCTCCTTCCTCCCACCTTCTGCCCTCAATAGACCTCAGTGTCTGTTGTTCCCCTGCTAGTATCCGTGTGTTCTCATTGTTTAGCTTATAAGTGAGAGCATGCAATATTTGGTTTTCTGTTCCCATGTTAGTTTGCTCAGGATAATGGCCTTCAGTTTCATCCATGTTGCTGCAGAGAACACGATCTCATTCTTTTTTATGGCTGTATAGTATTCCGTGGTGTATTCTATAGTATTCCACATTTTTTTTCTTTTTTTTTTTTTTGAGACAGAGTTTCACTCTTGTTGCCCTGGCCGGAGTGCAATGGTGCGATCTCGGCTCACTACAACCTCTGCCTCCTGGGTTCAAACGATTCTCCTGCCTCAGCCTCCCAAGTAGCTGGGATTACAGGTGCCTGCCACTACACCCAGCTAATTTTTGTATTTTTATTAGAGACAGGGTTTCACCATGTTGACCAGGCTGATCTCGAACTCCTGACTTCAGGTGATCCACCCACCTCGACCTCCCAAAGCGCTGAGATTACAGGCGTGAGCCACCACACCCGGCCTCCACATTTTCTTTATCCAGTCTACTGTTGATGGGCATTTAGGTTGATTCCATGTCTTTGCTATTGTGAATAGTGCTAGATGAACAGACATGTGCATGTGTCTTTATGGTAGGATGATTTATATTCCTTTGGGTATATACCTAGTAATGAGATTGCTGGGTCAAATGGTAATTCTGTTTTTAGTTCTTTGAGGAATCGCCATGCTGCTTTCCACAATGGCTGAACTAATTTACACTCCCACCAGCAGTGTATAAGCATTCCCTTTAATCCCCAACCTCGCCAGCATCTATCTGTTAGATTTTTACTTTTCAATAGCCATTCTGATTGGTGTGAGATGGTATCTCCTTGTGATTTTGATTTGCTTTTCTCTAATGATTAGTGATGTCAAGCATTTTTTCATATGCTTGTTGGATGCATGTCTTGATAAAATTTTAAACTTAAAGTAACATTGTAAGGATAGTACACTGACGCTTCCACCCTTCACCCACATACCCAGATTCACCAGTTAACGTTTTACTCCAATTGCTTTTGCTTTATATTCTATGTATATATATAATTATATAAAAATTATATATAATTATACAAAAATTATATATACAGAAATATTATGCACACACATATGTGTATGCCTGCTATCATGTATTGATCTGTAAATTAAATTATATAACTGCAGATAAATTGATCGATAGAGGGTGTGTGTGTGTGTGTAAATATTTGAGATGAAGTTGCAGACATCATTCCCCTTTACCCCTGAACTGTGTTTGTGCATGTGCATATGTGTGTGTGCATGTATGTGTGTAAACTATTTGAGATGAAGTTGCAGACGTCATTCCCCTTTACTCCTGAACTGTGTGTGTGTGTTTGTAAGCTATTTGAAATTAAGTGGCAGACATCATTCCCCTTTACCCCGAACACTGCTATATATATCTCCTAAAAACAAGGGCATTCATTTTACATAACCACAGTACACTAACAAAATTCAGGATATTTAGCATTACTAGAATACCACTGTCTAAGCCATAGACTGTATTTGAATTTTCCCAGTTGCCACAATAATGTTCTTTACAGCACTGCTCCCTCCCCAGGACCAAGTCCCCCCAGGGCCACCACTGCATTCAGCCGTGTCTGCCTAGTCTCCTGTAATCTGGAACCGTTTTCTTTGTCTTTTACCGCCTTGACATTTTTGGAGAGTATGGGCCAGTTGTTTTATAGAATGTTCCTCAATTGGGGTCTAATGGGTTGTGAGCTGCACTCCGAGAATATAATCTAAAAGAACGTCCCCCTGTCTTCTGCCCTCAGGACCTGGAAGCCGGCGAGAGAGACCCCTGTCTGCAACCCGCAAAACTCTTTGCGAGGCTGAGTACCCAGAGGAAGATGCCTCTGCTGTGCTCCAAGCCATCCAGGTGGAGAACGCAGCCCTGCAGAGGGCGCTCCTCAGCAGAAAGGCCGAGCAGCCAGCCAGCCCACTGCAGGTGCGCTCCGGGCTGGGAGAGGAACCGGGGGATGCTCCCTGGACTGGGCAGTGTCTGAGCTGCAGTTGAGAAGAGCAAGTGTGCAGAAGAGAGAGGTGTAGTGGGCATCGCTGACCCCAGACTCATCCGTGTTTCCACTGTTCAGACAGTCACCCACTGACCTGCTAAGGCTCCCTTTTCTTCCGCCTTCTTTTAGCTCTTTATTTCACAAAGCCTAAGCTGGGTGCTAATCTGCCTCCAGTCCTCATCCTCACTGATTTCCCTGCAAACCCTGGATACCTTAGACCAGGGTTGCAAACTGGTGGGTCAGTGAAGAATGGAGTCAACAACAAGCTCTGGCTTCCCAGCAAAGGTCTCATTCCCGAGCGTGGGCCCTTCAGGCCTCCGCAGTCGTCACTGCTCCCTATTGTCCTGCCCCTGGCCCACTTCACTTGTTCACAAAACCTCTCTGGGCCTACAGGGGTTTGAGCTTCCGCCTGCTGCCTTCAGCTTTGAGCAGCCAACAGGAGGATAAATGGTGGGTAGATCAGGGACCTTGGGGAGCTGGAGGCATTGGGTATAGCTTGGTGTGCACGTCCTTTCTCAGAAGCTTGGTCTGTGAGTCGCCTGTTGAAACCCTTTTTCTTAGCTTGTCCCCCCGATGCTCAGAGTAGCCCTTAAATAGGCAGGGTTGGTTTCATTGCCTCACTTCACAGATATGGCCACTGGTACCCAGAGAAGCAAGGTGGCCTGCTTCTCTCAAGGACAAGGTGATCACATCTTTGCAAGTGGCCGAGATCTGCCCGCCTGCAAGCCCAGGGCCCTGTCACCAGCACCGGTTGTTCCCCAGGCTCTATCTTGGGGTTGATCTTTGGGGCATCCATCGAGCAGCAACTATTGTCTGTGTTCCCAGACCTCTGACCTTGCCCCTGAACTTTATATCTATGGTAGCTTGAGAAGGTCCCTGCCCTTTTCTGTGCCCTCATCTTTCTGTGAACAGCATGGAGTGAATGGCTTTGTTCCAACATCACATCATGTGATCACATCCTTCCAGGATGCAGAAGGACCACCAGCAAAACCATGGACCAGTCTGCTGGAGGAGAAGGAAGAGACCCTTGAGGTCAGTGCTAGGCAGAGATGAATGACAAAGCCCCACGCATGTGCGTAGCTCCCGATGGTGCCAGGCAGAGATGAATGACAAAGCCCTATGCATGTGCATAGCACCTGATGGCCTCCAGGGCGCTTTCCTTCACACTGTCCTACCAGGTCCTCACTGTGTGCCCTGAGCACTGGTGTCATGCTGCCCATTTCACAGATCGGGAGACCAGGAATGGCGTGGCTTACCCAAGGTCACGAGTTGAAGCTAGAACTCACCCAGGCCTGCTGACTCAAACTGTTGTAATTATTTCTATTTATTTATTTTTTTATTTTATTTATTTTTTTTTTTTTGAGACAGAATCTCACTCTGTTGCCCAGGCAGGAGTGCAATGGTGCAATCTCGGCTCACTACAACCTCTGCCTCCCGGGTTCAAGTGATTCTCCCACCTCAGCCTCCCAAGTAGCTGGGATTACAGGCGCACAGCCACCACGCCTGGCTAATTTTTGTATTTTTACTAGAGACAAGGTTTCATCATGTTAGTCAGGCTGGTCTCGAACTCCTGACCTCAAGTGATCCACCCGCCTCAGCCTCCCAAAGTGCTGGGATTACAGGTGTTAGCCACCACGCCTGACCTATATTTCTATTTATTGACAAGACAATGCAAAAACAGATCTTAGTACCTTGAATAAATAAATTTTTTTATCTGTATCTATCTAGGTCAATTAAGTATATCTCAGCAAATTTGGTCCCAGAAAATAAGGAAGTGACTTAATAAAATGCCCAGGACCATCTTTGCTTGGTTATACACAGGTCTGTGCTGTGTGCTCAGAATGCAGAGGCAGCTGAGACAGATGAGCCCCAGCCCCATGCAGCTTACAGGCAACAGCAAATAAAACCATACATAAACAGGGTGATATCAGAGAGCGATGACAATCACAGCTGCTAATATGTGAGAGAATGACAGGGTGTGGGGTGGTGGCTGCTGCTCACAGGGTGGTCCTGGGTGCCCCTTGGAAGGCATGTCCCATCTGAGCTGAGCCCTGCCTGTTCGGAAGGCACCAGCAACAGGGAACGGCATTCCAGGTGGAAGGAACGGGGAAAAGCTTTGAGGTGGGAATGAGCCCAGCCTGATCAAGGAGCAGGAAGAAGCCCTTTGTGAGGCGGCGAAGTGGGGACGGGAGAAGCAGAGGGAGACAGAGCCCAAGTGGGACAGGGTGTGCATGTGACACCCCAGAGCACTGGAGCTGTTTGCTGTTTGCATTGCTGCCACTTGTCCTGCCAGTTCCCATCATCCTCGTCTGCCACTAGCCTGTGTTTCTGACAGGCCTGCAGTAACTGCCCAGGTCCGGAATTTCTGAATGACCTAATTCCTGACCCACAGAGATTCCAGGGACTAAAATCGTCTGCAGATGGACAGCAGGGCACATTTTTAGCGTCGATGACAAATGAAAAAGAAGGGGAAAAGGCTCAGAGAATTAAAAATGAAAGGGCCTAATGCTGTTACTGGAATTCTTCATAGAGTCTGCTTACTTTGTACAAAGCAGAACAGGGGCTTGGTTGAGATGGTGAGAGGATTTTTTTTTATTTTTTATTTTTTGAGACAGTGTCTCACTCTGTCACCCAGGCTGGAGTGCAGTGGCATGACCATAGCTTACTGCAGCCTCAAACTCCTGGGCTCAAGTGATCCTCCTGCCACAGCCTCCCAAAATGCTACAGTTACAAGCATGAACCATTGCGTCTGGCCAGTGAAGCATTTTGATAAGAGAAAGTTTACAGTCACTCATCGAAGTGGATTGTTTCCTAGGAGCGCCCTGGTCCTCGGAAGCTGAGATGGTGTGAGGGGTTCTAGATAGAAGCTCCAGGCAGTTGCTGTCACCCTCACATTCCTGTTCCTGTTTTCTACAAAGGGACTGTCAGCCTGAGCATGCCTGCCCTTGACCGTGACCCTGCTGTGTCTTAGGCCAGGAGTGTTGCCTGAGACATCTGTTTAATAAGCCTTTCCATCCTCAGCTGCTTCCCATCACCACGGCGACTACTACTCAGGAGCCGGCCGGGGCAGCAGGAGGAGCCAGGGCCATCAACCAGGCCATGGACAGAATTGGGCTTCTGGGAAGCAGGTACTACTAAGGCTGAGGCCAAACCCGAAACCCCTTAGCAGTGCAGCCATGGGGATCTTCTTCATGAGGGTTCTTTGCTTTTCCTACGTTTTTTTCAGACCCCTTATTTCTTTCTTTAAGATGGAATCTTGCTCTGTTGCCCAGGCTGGAGTGCAGTGGCACAAACAGCTCACTGCAGCCTCAAACTCCTGGGTTAAAATGATCCTCCAGCCTCAGCCTCCTGAGTATCTGGGATCACAGGTGTGTGCCACCGCACCCAGCTAATTTGTGTACTTTTTTGTAGAGGGGGTCTCACAACGTTGCCCAGGTTGGTCTCCAGCTCCTGGGCTCAAGCAGTCCACCCACCTCGGCCTCTCAAACAGGCGTAAGCCACTACACCTGACCCCAAACTCTGTTAAACTATTCCTTTAGACTATACTCTGTCTCCCCCACCAGCCCTAAAGCTCTCAAATTGACTTGATTTCTTTTAGGCATATGGCTCTTATCTTGGTCAGTTTGGCCCCAACCTGTGTAGAACTTGAACCTTCTCCAGGTTTCCAGTAGAATACCCCATGCAGCACAGGGTGTTAAACTTGTTCCCCAGCTGGTCTAGGGGGCGAGGTTGGCCCACAGCAGCGTCCTTCGAAGCTCCTTTTCTCTATTAAAAGTTTGTTCAAACTCAGCATTCTGTTCCATTAACGTGTAGCAGCAGTTATTGGAACTGTCAGGTTTTATTATCAAAATAAAGCCTTCCCTCTAGTCTTCAGACAAAATAGATCTTCAGAAAGATGCGTCAGGCTGAGAGCCTGTAGTTTCTAGCATGCCATGGCACACAGACACACTCTGAGGGCCACTGCACAGCTGTGCATGTTGTGCACTGTGCAAAGTGCCTGGCTGAGAGGCGAGAAGGGGCTGAAATCCAGCCTGTGTGCTGGTTACTAAGCTGAGGGTCTGGCCTGGGGCTGCATCAGCCCAGAAAGGGGGTGGTCGTTTTTCTGCATGAAGAAGGAATTCACTAGCCAAGCTGTGTGCCCTCCAGGTCTGTGTCTACCTAGAGGGAGCCCTTTGTTATAACTTAAAGGAAAACTGAATAGGCTAAAGGCAGCGCCATCCATTCCTTTAAGACTCTCCAGGCCCCAGGTGGAAATCAGGGCTGTGTACCATTGTGGCCATAATAAGAACTCGCAGATTCCCCTGCATGTGAAAAGGCCGCCCGGTGCAGTGGCTCATGCCTGTAATCCCAGCACTTACGGAGGCCCAGGTGGGCAAATCACCTGAGGTCAGGAGGTCGACACCAGCCTGGCCAACATGGCGAAAACCCATCTCTACTAAAAATACAAAAATTAGCTGGGCATGGTGGCGAGCCCCTGTAATCCCTGCTACTCAGGAAGCTGAGGAAGGAGAATTGCTTGAACCCCAGAGGCAGAGGTTGTAGTGAGCCGAGACTGTGCCATTGCACTCCAGCCTGGGCAACAAGAGCAAAACTCCATCTCAAAAAAAAAAAAAGAAAGAAAGAAAAGGCTGGGCCATGAGGATATTTTACATCTGATGCAGTTTTATTACAAGCAGCATGCACTCCGCCAAATGCTTGGTTCCTCGGCATCGAGATCCTTTGTGCTTCAGGGCCTTGGGGGTACCCAGCCTTAAACTGCACACGTGGGCATGTTTGCAAATGATGAAGGCACGCTCTGCTGGGTTTAGAATGCCATGTCCTCAGAAACAAGAGGAGCAGAGCAGATCTCCAGCCCAGGAGTCAGCAAATTGTTGCTATAAAGGGCCAGATAGTAAATATGCTTTGCGGTTGGTTTTGTTGTTGTTATTGTTGTTGTTATAGTTTGTTTCTTTGTACAACCTTTTAAAAACATAAACCATTCTTAGCTCACAGGCTATACAAAAACAGGTCACGGGCTGGATTTGACCCGTAGGCCTTAGTTCAGCTGACCTCTGCTCTTGACTCTCAAGTTCTAAGCTTAGGGAGGTCAGCTGGCCACCTTGCCCCAAGCAGTGTTTCCCCAGCTGGGCTCTGATTCCATCACTAATTGTGTAGCCATTTATAAAGGGAGAAAAACAGCAAGCCTGCCCTTGCCTTTGAACTGGATACAGAGTGCATACTTCCCCTTCAAATCATTTCCTATCCCCGAGTGCAGCACTTTTGATTGGAATGTTCTCTTTTGTGTATCATTTACTACTTCCTGTTTGCTAAAACCAAATCCCATTTCAGACAACAGCAGAAGCTTCTGAAAGTCCTCCAGGCCGTCGAAAGTGACTCTGCCCATCTCGGCAGGGTGGTTTCACCAACCAAGGAGCAAGTATCAGACACAGAGGTGAGAGCCTTGACTTGATTTTCAGTTGTACATTCAGGAAGTTCCCTCAGAACAGGCATTTCGCATCAGTGAGGATTGCTCTGACAGTGGTTAAATGAGCATCTCTCTGCCTGTGTTTCCACCGCCCCCCCCCTCCCTGGCACACAGAGGTATATATGATGAAGAGCAGGGGTAGAGAAAGGAAGATGTAGGCCAGAAGTTTCAGCAGAGAGAAGCCTGTCTGCACAAGAGGAAATATAAATAGCGTGGAAGCCCATAGGAAAATGTCCAACATCGCTGGCAATCAAGAAATGCAAATTACAGCAACCTAAATGTCCCATTTGAGCTCTGAATTGACAAATTATTTCTGATGATAACCTCTAGTGCTAGCAAGGTTACAATAAAGCTGCGGCAGTCCCACATACGTGGCAGGCAGCTGTATAAACAGGTGAAATCCTCTTGGAAAACAGAATGCTTGACCTTAGGAAGAGCCTGAGAAACACTTATGTCTTTCCGCCCCACAATCCCACTTCCTTATCTAAGGAAATCACCCCACAGAACTAAAAAGCTAGAGGCAGGAAGATGTCTGTTATAGAATTATTGGAAGTAGGGAAGACATTTTTTTTTAAAACCTAAATGTCTCATAACAATGGAGTTAATCAGGAAAGTATAATACATCAGCACGATGCAGTAGTATAAAAGGATGGAAGCTATCATTACGAGACGATGCAGACAGGAAACGTTAGAGATATCAGCCTGACTGTAAAAGGTGATGTTAATCTTCAAGTCCAAAATGATTGTGACAACCACACAAAGATGTGGCCATATGAGTGTGTTGATGGAGCTAGGACACAAAATACAAAAGGGAACTGTGGCATCAGAGTGGTAGGATTAACGGTGATTCGATTTTCGTTCTTTTCTTTTTTTTCTTTTTTTTTTTTTTTTTTTTCTTAGACAGAGCCTTGTTCTGTCGCCCAGGCTGGAGTGCAGTGGCACCATCTTGGCTCATGGCAACCTCTGCCTCCCAGGTTCAAACTATTCTCCTGCCTCAGCCGACTGAGTAGCTGGGATTACAGGCACGCATCACCATGCCCAGCTAATTTTTGTATTTTTAGTAGAGATGGGTTTTTGCCATGTTGGCCAGGCTGGTCTCTAATTCCTGGCCTCAAGTGATCCACCCACCTCGGCCTCCCAAAGTGCTGGGATTATAGGCGTGAGCCACCACACCCAGCCTCCATTTTCTTTTGTGCTAAAAGGTGTGTGTCCCAGCACTCCCTTCTGCCCCTACCTTCACTCAAGCCATTCTTAGTATTATTTGGTATGGTGGTCACCAATCTTACTACTGGCCGGTGAGGACTTAATGCAAAGTCCTCCCAAAGCCACATATAAAATCCTATGAGAGCAGAAAGGCCCCTGAGCTGGCCTGGCCTGGACTAGAGTTCCAGCTTTGAATCTGGCACCATCATTGAGAGATTGTGTGACCTTAGACAAGCCTCTTAAGCTGTCTGGTCCTGGCTCTCAGATAGGGTCAATAATCCATGCCCCACAGGCCACTGTGAGGATGAAACAGGAAAGGTCTCTGAAAGCATGCAGCTCAGTGCAGGGAGAAACCAGCAAATATCTGCTGCAAGTTCACCGAGAAAAATCAAAGCTGTGCTCCCCACTGCATGGAATAGTTTCTTTATTTTTATTGTTTTAATTAATTAATTAATTTTAGAGACAGGGCCTTGCTCTTTCTTCTAAGCTGGAGTGCAGTGGGTGTGATCACAGCTCACTGCAGCCTTGAACTCCTTGCTCACTCGATCCTCCCACCTTGGCCTCCTGAGTAGCTGGGACTACAGGGGCCCCCCAGCACACCTGGCTGTTTTTTAAAAAAATTTTGTAGAGATGAATCCTTGCTGTGGTGCCCAGGCTGGTCTTGAACTTCTGGGCTCAAGCAATCCTCCCGCCTCAGCATCCCAAAATGCTGGGATTACAGCTGTGAGTCACCACACCTGACCAAGTCTCCTTATATTACGGGAGACAGAAAATCCAGGGCAAACTGACTTATACAACAAAGAGCAGAAAAATGACAGACTCTTCTCATTGAAAATGACACAGGGAGGGCCAGGTGGAGCCTGGTCCAGCAGCTCGCACTGTGTCTTTCCCCTCTGTCTGCACAGTGGAAAGCTCAGTCCCACCCCCTGGAGCTCAGTCCCATCTCTGCTCCCTCCTCATGGTCCCCAAATAGCTAGAATGGTTCTACCTTGCACCCCTGTATCATCAGACTCCACTGTCAGGAGAGAAGCCTGTTTCTCCCCATGTAAATCTGTGACTGGTGTGCTTGCACCGACCTGTGCTGGGGTGCTTGCCTGTCACTGAGCTGCTCCCTTCTGGCAGCCGAGGGGACAGGACACATTGCTTCCTTGGACCAGTCAGGCACCTCCCTGGAGTGGGAAAGGGTCAGTTCCCCTATGCTTTATGGCTGAGAAAAGAGACGCCGTGGCTTTCCCCCAAGGAAAATCAAGTGGTCTCAGCAAGAGCGGGGACAATGAATGACAGGGGCCAGGAACTTCCCAGCCAGTGTCCCCCTCCCACCGCCAAGTGGGATCCCAAATTGGGCAGTGCAGAAGCAGGAGGAGCCACTGAGTAGCAACAGACGAGTTGTGACACTTGCTTAGTTAACAGATCCTTCAGCTTTTTCATTTACGAACGCAGCTGAGGAATTTGCACATTTCAGATTGCACTGGGTGGGAGTTCTAGCAGCCCCTCTGAAAGGCAGCCTGCCTCCCATCTGGTCCTCCTGCCTCCCACCAACAAGCAAGGTGAACGGTGCCACTTCTTCAGCAATCCCCAGACTGACCACTCACCTGGCCCTGGATTGCTCCACACTATCACAAGCTCATTAACTCCCAGTCCCCTGGAGTCAACTAGGCCAGTTTAGCTTTATCACTGTCCTGCATGCCTGGGACTCAGACCCAGGGCAGCAGAGGCTTGGCCAGGACCCCACATGGCTGTGGAGCAGGAGGAAGCTGTGGGTTTCGAGGGCCCAGCTGATCAAAACAGGCCCTATCTTTTATCCAGGAGCTGTGAGCTGACCTCTCTCCCTCCTCCCTATCCGCGTTCCCACCGTGTGGCAATCAAGGCCCCTCCAAACACACACTGAGAGCAATAGCACGTCTCGCTGGCTATTAATTAAAAAAATAAGTGGGGAACAGTTGCTGTTCATTTGCTTGGCTCCCTGCTCACAGAACCATTGCAGATTACCCATGCTAATTAACAGAGGGCATGTGCACATGGGGAATGCACCATTTTGTGAGTGACTGATCCGTGGCGACCAGTGCTGCAATCAGCCCTGGAGGGCCTCAGGAAGCCATTCCGAACGGTGGCCATTTATTGATGGCATTCACGCAGGCTCTCAGAGCAGACAGCCGACGCAGGAAGGAGGCAGGCATTAAAACCAATGAAGGAGAGAAACAGAAAGAAACAGACACTTACAGAGCGCACCCAGGGCCGAGGCTCATGATAGGGCCTTCTTAGGTATTGATATCTTGTTTAACATCTGTGACAGGATTATCACATAGATGGTGTCATGTCCTCTTCCCCAACCAGGCCGAGGGATGTCAAGTGACTTGTCCAAGGCCAGGGGGCCATGTTACCTACTATATCAGTCCACCAGGGCTGCCATAACAAAATACCACACATGGGGTGGCTTCAACAACAGAGATTTGTTTTCTCACAATTCCGAAGGCTGGAAGTCCAAGATCAAGGTGTTGGCAGGTTTGGTTTGTTCTGAGGCCTCTCTCTGGCTTGCAGATAGCTGCCTTCTTGCTTTGCCCTCATATGGCCTTTTTCTGTGTGTGCATCCTTGGTGTGTCTCTCTGTGTGTCCAACTTTCCTCTTATAAGGACACCAGTTAGATTGGATTAGTGCCCCCCTCCCCCACAGCCTCATTTTAACTTAATCACCTATTTAAAGGCCTTATCTCCAAATACAGTCATATTCTGAGGTACTGGGGATTAGAGTTTCATCAGATTAATTTGGAAGGGATAAATTCAGCCCGTAACCTTTTTTTTTTTTTTTTGAGACTGGGTCTTTCACCCAGGCTGGAATGCAGTGGTGTGAACACAGCTCACTGCAGCCTCAACCACCTGGGCTCCAGCAATCCTCCTGCCTCAGCCTCCTGCGTAGCTGGGACTACAGGCATGTGCCGCTGTGCCAAGCTCTTTTTTTTTTTTAATTTTTTTGTAAAGACAGGATCTCACTTTGTTGCTTAGGCTGATCTTGAACTCCTGGCCTCGAGGAATCCTCCGAGCTTGGCCTCTCAAAGTGTTGGGATTACAGGCGTGAGCCACCGTGCCCGGCCTTAGCACGTAACACCTACTCAATTCAGCAGATGTCGTGACAAGCTTCTGGGTACCGAACACTGAGTAGTGGGGGAGAGACGTGCATGTTCAGGCAGAATTCAATGCTTTTTAGACATTTTTATTTATTTGTAAACTTTCAAACAGAATGCTCACAGAGTGCCAGTTACACAGGGCCTCTATTTTGAATGCTTTACAGTATGAATTCATTTAATCATTGTAATAACCATAGGTAGTGGGTGCTATTCTTATCCTCATTGTACAGATGGAGAGACTGAGACCCTGAAGGTTAACTAACTTTTTGAAGGCAGTGGTGGCAGAGGCAGAGCCGAATTCAAGCCTGTCATGACTTAATCCTTTGGTGTTATTTTTCTCTTCTTTAAGGACAAACAGAGAATGAGGGCAGACGAGATCAAAGATGCCATCTACGTGACCATGGAGATCCTGTCCAACTGGGGCAACTCGTGGTGGGTGGGTCTCACAGAAGTCGAGTTCTTTGACTTGAATGACACAAAGCTTTATGTGTCGCCCCACGATGTGGATATCCGGAACACAGCCACGCCTGGGGAGCTGGGCCGCCTCGTCAACAGGAACTTAGCTGTGAGTGGAAGGGGCACTGGATTGCTTCTTGGCTGTGTATTCCCATGCATTTTCTCTGCCCTTGGTAAATCTGTGTTAAGGGTATGAGTGGAGGGAGGGGAAGAACAACAAAATCTGGCCAGGTACAGAGGCTCACACCTGTAATCCCAGCACTTTGGGAGGCTGAGGCAGGCGGATCATTTGAGGTCAGGAGTTCAAGACCAGCCTGGGCAACAAGGCAAAACCCTGTCTCTACAAAAAACACAAAAAATTAGCCAGGCATCATGGCTTGTGCCTGTAGTCCCAGCTACTTGGAAAGCTGAGGTGGGAGGATCTCCTGAGCCTAAGGAGATTGAGGCTGCAGTGAGCTGTGACTGTACCACTGTACTCCAGTCGGAGCAACAGAGTAAGACCCTGTCTCTAAAAAAAAAAAAAAAATAGGCCGGGTATGGTGGCTCACACCTGTAATCCCAGCACTTTGAGAGGCCGAGGCGAGTGGATCACTTGAAGTCAGGAGTTCAATACCAGCCTGGCCAACATGGTGAAACCCCATCTCTACTAATAATACAAAAATTAGCCAGGCGTGGTGGCACATGCCTGTAATCCCAGCTACTTCTGGAGGCTGAGGCAGGAGAATCACTTGAACCCAGGAGGCAGAGGTTACAGTAAGCCGAGATTGCAGTAAGCCAAGATTGTGCCACTGCATTCCAGCCTGGGTGACAGAATGAGACTCTGTCTCAAAAAAAATAAATAAGATAAAATCTACCAGGGTTATTCATTTGGGCAAAGTTGGGGAGGAACCTGAGGGAGTGGTGCTGGCAGAGGCCCCAGACACTCTCTCCCTAAGCTGTTTCCCAGCCCCTGCTCTGTGGGTTTTTCTTGGGGGAGCCAATTCACCTGCTTTTATCCACCTTGCAGTTTTCCACAGTCACCATCAAACACTGGACCTCAGGGGTCATTAAGGTTAATGGATGTTCTTTGTAGTTGAAGAAACTACAGCTTGGAGAAGGGCATTGACTTGGCCAAGGTCATGCAGCTGGAAGGTAGTGGAGCCAAGTTCATATCGGGCAGCCTGGGCCAGGACCCTTGCCCACACCCCCTCAGGACCCTGCTGCCCTAGGTCGTGAGGTGCACACTCCACAAACGTTGAATGTTTCTTTCCTTTAAATATCCAACAGAGCCAGGTACAGTGGCTGACACCTGTAATCCCAGCGCTTTGGGAGGCCGAGGTGGGCGGATCACCTGAGGCCTGGAGTTCAAGACCAGCCTGGCCAACATGGCGAAATCCTGTCTCTACCAAAAATACAAAAATTAGCCAGGCGTTGGGGCACACACCTGTAGTCCCACCTACTTGAGGCTGAGCCAGGAGAGTCGCTTGAACCTGGGAGGGGAGGTTGCAGTGAGCCAAGATCGTGCCACTACACTCCAGCCTGAACGATGGAGCAGGACTCCGTCTCAACAAATAAACAAACAAACAACAGAATTTACAAAAAAAAGATCGGGGAGGGTACTGGCATTTTTTCCTTCCTGCTACTTGCAAGTTGCACACAAGAGACTGTGAGCTAAACTGAGCCAGAGTAGCAGCCACGTCATCTTTGCTATGTTGGGCCTCAGCTTCATTCACAATTATCTCCTCGGAGACCTGGGAAGATGTTGTTATTGCGTGATCATAGCTCACTGCAGCCTCAAACTCCTGGGCTCAAGCTGTCCTCCTGCCTCAGCCTCCTAAATAGTTGGGACTACAGGCACACAACACCACATCTGGCTAATTTTGTAAAATTTTTTATAGAGACGGGGTCTCACTATGTTACCTGGGATGGTTTCTCTGGCCTCAAGTGATCCTCCCACCTTGGCCTCCCAAAGTGCTGGAATTACGGGCATAAGCCAGCATGCCCAGCCTTTGCTGTTATTGTTATTATTATTAATAGTATTAATACCACTGGGAAAAGTAGTTAGTGTTATTCCCATTTTAAAGAAGAGGAAACAAGAAAAGGGGTTTTTGAAATCTCTGGTTCTAGAGACCCAGATTCTGGTCTTGACTCTGGCCTCAGCAACTTGCCTGCCTTCTCTGAGAGTGGGTTTTTCTGCAAGCTGAAAAATGGGAGATTGGGTCAATCATCTGTTCAGATTCTTAGATTTCCAGCAGCAGAAACTGAGTCCAGCTCAGTTAGCACATGTTTAAAAAGTAAATGTGTTTCAAGTCTTTTGAGTAGCTAGTGTACTCACTGCCACGCAGGCCAGGAGAGGATGGGCCTTGGGGGAAAGTTGGGGTTTTAGGGAGCATCCTGGAATGCTGGCCACCACGGGTGTGGTCTTTTGGGGGTGGGAGATGAACAGGAGGATGTGAGATTCTTCTGGAAAGATTCTTTTCTCAGACTTGAGGTTCTGGGGGAGATCGTGCTGTCCTACTTAGTTGACTGTTTTGGCCTTTGTGTGAGTGGTCACTTCCATGGCATCCGAAACCATCACTAACTTACGTCTTAAACTGGGTCATGACTCAAGGTTGGGGGCTACTTTCAGAGAAGGGAACAAAATGAGAAGGGGAGATGGAGAAAAGGATAAAGCTTCATTCCCTTAGTTCATACAGCAACCATTTATTGAGATGCCTCGGCAGTGTCGGTTAGCTGGTTGGTTTGTCCTCGCAACTCTCTGCTGGAAATAGTCTCAGGAGAGGAATGCTGATGGACCAGACTGAATAGGGCAGGACATCTTGATGCCAGTTCCACCAAGATGCCCCAGCAGGGCAGGAAAAGATTCTCCCTGAAGGTATTCAAGATTGCTTAGAAAAGGTGTAATATATGTCACAAGTAAAAACAAAAATTAAGAAATTCAAGATTGCCACTCAAACGGCGGGCTGGATGCTAGATAGCTAAGAAGCAACAACTGTCCCCAGGGTTGGACTGGGTGGGTCTGAGTCCCCTTCTAGATCAGTAGCTCTGTGATCTCAGCCCTCAAAAGACACAGTCCCTGAGCTGTGGATGATGGCTGCCTGGGTGCTGTGGCCTGGCCTATCCCTGCTTTGCCTCCAGATTCAAGTCTATAGGCTCCCATGCTTGCTGCTGGGACTTGGCCCAGCCTTCGCCACCCCTCCCCTGCCCCACTCTTGCAGAAAGCAGTGGCATTTTGGAAGCCTGCTCTCCAGAACAGAGCACACTAGAGACAATAAAAAGCATCACTGGATTTGATGGGGACCAATTCTGATGATTGCTCTCCCTTTCTTCTGTTTAGCAGAGACTGGGGCGCTTTGCCATGTGATGGTCCACGGTTTTGGTGGATTTGAGGTTTTTATTTTTTGGCCCTGCGATTGGGACATGAGGCAGCTGTGTCACCCTGGGCTGCTGGGTCTCTGGGCTCATCCACAGGAAGGCTGGATTCCCCCTTCTTCCCTGACGTGGGGCTTCCCTG
This sequence comes from Homo sapiens, assembly GCF_000001405.40. Taxonomy (NCBI): domain Eukaryota; kingdom Metazoa; phylum Chordata; class Mammalia; order Primates; family Hominidae; genus Homo; species Homo sapiens. The sequence continues at coordinate 27,712,305 of NC_000016.10, forward strand.
CATCCTGGGTCCCAGGCCCGGGGCTACCGGAACACACTGCCTCTCAGAACCATCTAATTGCACCAGCGTGTGGCAGCCACAGCCTGGTGCATCGCCTCGTTTAACCCTCACATGAACCTTGGGATGACTCTCCTCATTTTACCAATGAGAGAAAACAAGATGCAGTGAGGAAGAGGCACTTGCCCCAGGCCATGCGCATGGCTGATAGAGCTCACCCGACAGCTGAGGTACCTAGAAGCGGAGGCTGGGTTTGAAAGAGAAAATGCTTCAGTGGAAGTGAATTGGAGCATTCAAAAGATGTGGGAGTGCCCCAGCCTCTATGGAAACTCCACCCTTCTGTGCCCGCACCATGTCTCTCATTGGCTGCATCCCAGCACAAGGCCTCAAGATGACTCCAGATTTATACACCCAGCCCTGCCTGCCCCTCTGAGTTACTGACATGAATGTCAACTTCCTGCTTGACATCTCTTGGATCTCTCCTGGCCATCTCAGACTTCATTATTATTATTATTATTTTTAGAGACAGGGTCTTGCTCTGTTGCCCAGGCTGGAGAGCAGTGGTGCAGTCATTGTTCACTGCAGCCTCGACCTCCTGGGCTCAAGCCACCCCCCAACCTCAGCCTCTCAAGAAGCTGGAACTACAGGCACACACTACCACACTTGGTTAATTTGTTTTTATTTTTTGTAGAGATAGGGTCTCACTGTGTGTCCCAGGCTAATCTCGATCTCCTGGCCTCAAGCAATCCTCCTGCCTTGGCCTCCCAAAGCACTGGGATTACAGGCATCAGCCACCATACCCAGCCCATTTCAGACCTCAGAGATTTAAAACTTAAGTTTTGATTCCCCTGCCCTCTTCCCCACATCACTTCTTCCTCCAGTATTTTTTGTTCAGTAACTGGCATTGCTGTCGGCTCAGATGTACCACCTAGAGTCTTCCTTAATTGCCCTAGGAAATTATGGATTTCCTATGAGTCTAGAATTATTTCCAAATAAAAAGTAAAATATATATGTATGTATGTATTGCACACTTACATGTATTGGGGATTGATACGGTTTGACTGTGTCCCCACCCAAATCTCATCTTGAATTGTAAAAATATCCACATGTCAAAGGCAGAGCCAAGTGGAGATAATTGAATCATGGGGACAGTACATTTGGGCACAGTGGTTCACACCTATAATCCCAGCACACTTTGGGAGATCGAGGCAGGAGGATCACTTGAGGCCAGGAGTTTGACACCAGCCTGGGCAACATAGTGAGACCCTGTCTCCATAAAAAAAATTAATTAAAAAATATTAATATGTGTGTGTATGTATATTTATGTGTGTATTTATATTTATGTGTGTGTATATATATACACATACATATTATATATATGTGTGTGTATATATATACACATACATATTATATATATGTGTGTGTATTATATACACATACATATTATATATATGTGTGTGTATATGTATATATACACATATTATATATGTGTGTGTGTGTGTATATACATATATATATATATATATATATATATATATATATATATATATATATATCTATCTCAGATTGTGCCCTTCCCCTACTTGAAACATGTTCACTGTGACTTCTGGTTACCCTTGGAAATAAAGCCCTGGTGTTTCCCCATGGCCTGGAGGCTCTCTGTGAACAGGCCTCCGCCCCAACTCTGTCTGCTTCACACACCCCCGCCTCACACCCAGGCTCCAGCAGCCTTGGGCCTGCCCTCTCCTTCCAATCCACCAACCTCATTCCTACCTCTCCAAAACCCTCTTCCTCCAGTTTTTCACATTGCTTCTCCACATTCAGATTTCAGCCCTAATGTCACTTTCTCAGCAAGACTTTCCCTCACCCAACAATCTGGAGGAGGCCTGTTCCCTCCCACCCCAGTCACTATCACATCATCCTTTTTCATTTCTTCAGAGCACATCTCACTGTAAGAAATGATCTTGTTTACATGTATATTATGTCTCCCCAGTTTATCTGAAAATTCTTATCTGTCCTGTTTACACTATATCCCCAGTACATAAAAATGTGCCATATATATTTTTTTGTTTTTTTAAACAGAAACATAGCTTACAGTTTTTTTGTTTTGTTGTTTAAGCTTACAGTTTTTAAACTTTTTATTTGGAGATAATTATAGACTCACAGGAATTTGTAAAATAGTACAGAAAACAGAAGAACAATAGAGAAAGTCAATGAAATCAAAAGTTGGTTCTTTGAGAGGATTAACACATTGGCAAACCTTTAGCTAAACTAACCAAAAAAAGATGGGGGAGAAGATTAAAATTACTAAAATCAAGAATGATAGAGAGAACATTGCTATTGACCTTACAGAAATAAAAAGGATTACAAGAGAAAATGAAATTAAGAAACAATTATGTTTACAGTAGCATCAAAAGAATAAAATACTTAGAAATATATTTAACAAAAGAAGTACAAAATGTTTACTCTGAAAACTACAAAACATTGTTGAAAGAAACCTAAGATCTAAGAAACTGGAAAAGCATCCCCTGTTCATGGATCAGAAGACAACATTGTCGAGATGGTAATACTTCCCCAAACTGACCTACAGATTCAGCAAAATCACTATCAGAATCTCTGCTGATTTCTTTGTACAAGTTGACAAGCTGATTCTTCAATTTATAGGGAATTTCAAGGGACTTGGAAAGCTAAAACATTATTGAAAAAGAATAAAGTAGAACTCACACTTCAATTTCAAAACATACGCCAACTCTGCAGTAATAAAGACTGCATGGTACTGGCATAGGATAGACATATAGATCAATGAAATAGAATTGAGCATCCATAAGTAAACCCATGGATTTATAGTCAATTGATTCCAACAAGGATACCACAACTGTTCAATGGGAGAAGCATAGTCATTCAAAAAATGGCCTTGGGACAAATGCGTTTCCACATGCGAGAAAATGAAGGTGGACTTCCACCATATGCCTTATGCAAAACTAACTCAATGGATCAAAGACCTAAATGTAAGAGCTAAAACTTTCAAACTCTTAGAAGAAGACAAAGGTGTAAATCTTGATAGCCTTGAATTTGTCAATGAAGTCTTAGCTATGACATCCAAAGCACAAACAACCAAAAACAAGAAAAAACGGATAAGTCAGACTTCATCAAAATTAAAAACATTTTTGCTTCAGATGACACTGTCAAGAAAGTAAAAATACAACCTACAAAAGGGAGAAAATATCTGCACATCATATATCTGATAAGGGTCTAATATTCAGAATATACAAAGAAAAAAACCGTAATGACAAAAAGATGAACAACCCAATTAAAATATGGCCAAAGGACTTTGAATAGACATTTCTCCAAGAAAATGTACAAATGGCTAATGAGCACATTAAAGATACTTAACATCATAAGTTGTTAGGGAAATGCAAATCAAAACCGCAATGAGATATCACTTCACACCCACTAGGACAGCTGTAATTTTAAAAAAGAAAAGAGAAAATAAGTATTGGTGAGCATGTGGAGAAATTGGAACCTTCATTCTTTGCTTGTGGAAATGTAAAATGGTGCAGCCCCTGTGGAAAACAGCTTAGCAATTTCTCAAAAAGGTAAATGTAGGGTTACCCATGACCTAGCAATTCCATTCCTAGGTGCATACCCAGGATAACTAAAAACATACATTTATTTAAAAAAAAAAAAAACTTGTACATGCATGTTCATAGCAGCATTATTCAGAATAGCCAAAAAGTAGTAGAAACAGCCAGATGTCCATCAATGGATGAATAAAGAAAATGTAGTATTTCCACAAAATGGAATATTATTCAGCCCTAAAAAGGAAAGAACTATTGCTACATGCTACAACCTGGATGAACCTTGAAAACATTATGCCAAGTGAAGGAAGCCAGACACAGAAGGCTATATGTTGTATAATTTCATTTCATTTATATGAAATGTCCCGAATAGGCAAATCTGAAGGCAGAAAGTAGATTAGTCATTGCCAGGGGCTGGGAGGAAGCAGGAATGGGGAGAGACTGCTAATGAATGTGGTTATCTTTTGGAGGGTGGTGAAAATGTACTGGAAGAAGATAATGGTAATGGTTGAAAAACCTTGTGAATATACTAAAACACCAGTGAACTGAACGCTTTAAAATGGCGAACTTTATGCTATATGAATTATATCTCAATTAAAAAAAAAAAGGACAGAGAAATCTTACACACCTTTACCCAGCTTTCCCCAGTGGTAAATTCTATGTAACTGTAGTACATAATCAAAACCAGGACCTTGACATTGGTATAATGTACAGACCTTCATACATTCACTTGTGTGTACATGTATATATTTCTATGCAGTGTTATCACATATGTAGATTTCTTTCTAAAGATACAGACATTTGAGATACAGAGCAGTTCCATCACCACCAAGGAGTTCCCTTGGGCTCCTCTTGTACAGCCACACTTCCCCATGCCCAGTCCTGACAATGGAAACCACTGATCTGTTCCTCTACCTACATTTTGTCGTTTCAAGAATGCTACGTAAATGGAATCATACCATTTACGTAGCATTTTTTTTTTTGAGACGAAGTCTCACACTGTCGCCCAGGCTGGTGTGCGGTGGGGCGATCTCGGCTCACTGCAACCTCCACCTCCCGGGTTCGAGCGATTCTTCTGCCTCATCCTCCCAAGTGGCTGGGACTACGGGCGGCGCCACCACACCCGGCTAATTTTTGTATTTTTAGTAGAGACAGGGTTTCACTATGTTGGCCCGGCTGGTCTCGAACTCCTGACCTCGTGATCCGCCCACCTCAGCCTCTCAAAGTGCTGGGATTACAGGTGTGAGCCACTGCGCCCAGCCAATTTATGTAGCATTTATGTCATTACCAGAGTTGGTAACCTTTCTGAGACTCGCTTTTTTCACTCAGCGTAATGCCCTTGACATCCTTCCAAATTGTTGTGTGTGTCAATAGTTTGTTCCTTTTTAATGCAATAATTTATTAAATTGGAGCTACTTCTGAGGGCAGCGCAGTATCTCCCTGCAGGTTGCTATTCAGTGTTATGTTAATACTGGAGTTAAAAAGCCACCTTTGGTTTAGGAGTTAGAAAGTTACCTGCTCAGAGAAGCCTGCTTTAACCATTCATTCTAAAATAGCTGTTCCATGGGCCATTAATAATTCTCTCTTATTTTTTTCCTAGAATGTGTCCCTACTTGATTTTTTTTTTCTTGGAAACATTACCTGTTTGCCTTCCCTCATAGCACAGAGCTGCTAGGACCTGGTGGGTCAGGTTCCCTTGCACATGCCCCGGGTCTGGCTCAGCATCAGTCTCCTAGGAGGGACCCTGTACAGTGTTTGTTGGGCAAGTTATGGAGTAGATATGTCAGTGCCTGCTTCCACCCTTTTGCCCTAGCACTTCAGGGCATGCTGACTGCTTTTCTGAATGGCAGCACTGAGATTTCTTTCCTGGAGGATTCTTTTTGTGGCCTCCAGGGCCCGCTTTACCTTCCATACAGAGAGAAATAGAAGCCCCCCAGGAGCAGCACTCAACCAACATTGGGAGTTGGTATTTATACCCCAACTCCCGGGCCCCATTGGTGCAGTCACTCTGAGGCCTGTTCCACCCTGGCTCCCAGATTCCCTGGGGGGATTAAGCTCCAGTTGCCCACAGGAGCAGCTGTCTTGAAAACATACCCTTTATGAGCCACCTTCCCTGCCTTGTCTCACTTCTTCACTCTCCCATTGATATTTTCTGCTCTGTCTAAATAAGCTACTTACATGTGGATCCTTGCCTCAGGGTCTGCTTCTAGGGGAATCCAGAGACAGAATGAATTAATGCATGAAAGATGGAGGCTCGGATCCTCACTCCACCACGTAGGTGCTGCACAACCTTAGGTGATCCCACCCCTCGCTGAGCTTTGGCCTGTTTTGGTCAGTAGCACATGCGGTACAGCAATGCCCACCTCCTGGGGTTTCCAAGTGAAAGAAGCCATGAACCAAGGGCGGTAACAGCAGCATGAAGGCGCCCGATTCCCGTTCTGCTGTATTCCTTACCCCCTGTGTTGGGGAGGGAGGAGCTGCAGACGCTCTGCCTCCTGCCCTGGCACCGAGGGGTTTTCCCAGCATGTGCCAGGTCAGCCCTGGGCAGCTTCCCATCAGCCTTTCTCTCTGAGATCCTGTGTGTGGAGAGAAAACATCAGAAGGCTGGGTTGCTAATGAGGCCCAGAGTTATCCGCAGGTTAATGTTCTTTGACTTTGAACACCACAATTCCCGCTTAGCCCTCCTGTTATTCCTCCTGCTGACAGAAATGTGAAGGGAAATCAATTACAGTCCCCTAGCCCACATCTAAGGGTCAGCCATCAGTCTCTTCCTTTGTCAGGCAGCCACAGTGCCCCATTTTAGGCCCCCACTCAGCAAAGGAATGAGACTCACCCGCTGGATTTGGGGATGTGGTTTCTTGACCCCTCGCAGCTGCCCAGAGCACTAGAAGTTCTTGTAGAGCTGGAGAAACTTGCCAGAATAAGTCAGAACCCCTTGAACTCATCGTTCCCCCTTAACAAAAGCCACCTCCTCCCTCCTGAAAGGCACCATTGTCACCAAAACAAGTCCCCTTTGTCCTCCACCGCAGCTGGAGCCTGGGCCTTCCATCTCCTGGGGGCCAATAAAACCCCAGATCAGCCAATCCTCCCTCCCTGGCTCTGTCAAGTAGCAGGCACGTTCCTGGTGACGGGGAGTCTGTTGAGATGTTCTCAAATGCAGGGTGATGCCCCTTTGAGATAAAAGGGACAACTCAGCCAGTGTCAGGCCTGCAGAGGTTGCTTATTGGCAGATGGGACTTGCTGCTGCTGCTCAGCCCCTAAACAAGGACTGCAGACTCAATGCCTACAGGGGCCAGGCCAAGGCAGAAGAGGGAAGCAAGGTGGATATGAAGCAGTAGGGAGTGGTGGGGACCCTGGAGCCCTGGGAAATGGCGGGCTTCAAGGGCTGCACACTCTTGGCTCCAGGAAACGGCCATCAGGGCTCCTGAGCTGCCATGTCTTCCGAGTCTGCAGAGGGGTCAGAAATCTGGCTGTTTGGAGAAATCTCCCCCCTCCACCACCACCTTTTTTTGAGACAGAGTCTCACTTCATCACCCAGGCTGGAGTGCAGTGGTGCCATCTTGGCTCACTGCAGCCTCCACCTTCTGGGTTCAAGCGATTCTCCTGCCTCAGCCTCCCCAGTAGCTGGAATTAGAGGCCCGCCACCATGCCCAACTAAATTTTGTATTTTTTTTTTCTTTTAGTAGAGACGGGGTTTCACTACGTTGGCCAGGCTGGTCTCGAACTCCTGACCTCAAATGATCCACCCGCCTCAGCCTCTCAAAGTGCTGGGATTACAGGTATGAGCCACTGCACCCAGCCCTTATTTCTTTTTTTTTTTTTTTTCTTAGAGACAGGGTCTCACTGTGTTGCCCAGGCTGGAGTGCAGTGGTACCAAACTCCTGGGCTCAAGCAATCCTACCACTTCAGCCTCCTGAGTAGCCAGAACTATAGGCAAACACTGCCACATCCTGCTAATTTTTAAAATTTTTTTGTAGAGACAAGGTCTCTCTATATTACTTAGGCTGGTCTCTAACTCCTGGCCTCAAGTGATCCTCCTGCCTCAGCCTCCCAAGTCACTGGGATTAAAGGCATGAGCCACTGCACCTGTCTGAATCTCCCCATTTTTAAATGTTGGCAATGAATTTGTGTTTGCTTTGTTGTTGTTGTTGTTGTTGTTTACACTGGATGAACCAAACAAATACCTGTGTAAGCCAGACCCAGCTTACAGTCTCTTCTCTGTTTGTTTGTTTGTTTGTTTTTTCCTGGAGACGGAGTTTGGAGTTCAATGGCACGATCTCAGCCCACTGCAACATCCACCTCACGAGTTCAAGCTATTCTCCTGCCTCCGCCTCCTGAGTAGCTGGGATTACAGGCATGCACCACCACGCCCAGCTAATTTTTGCATTATTAGTAGAGACAGGGTTTCTCTGTGTTGGCCAGGCTGGTCTCGAGCTCCTGACCTCAGGTGATCCACCTGCCTCCACCTCCCAAAGTGCTGGGATTACAGACATAAGCCACAGCACCTGGCCTACAGTCTCCTCCCTAAAGCTTTAATGAAAGGGCAGACATTAGGAGGCACACTCCATGTGTGTGCATTCATGTAGTCATTTATTTATTACACAAAGGGTTTTGTTCTTTTTTTTTTTTTTTTTTTGGCATCTTCCATGTGCCAAGGAACTATGCTAAAAGCCTAGGATTCTGGAATAACCAGACACAACCCCTTCCCTTGAGCTCACGGCTGAATGGGGGCCTGACATGGACGTGAAAAGAGATGATCGTGGGACACCGAGGTAGGCACCAAGCTTGGGGACTGCAAGTAGCTGAGGGCACTTGGATTTAACTGAATTCCCCAGATTGAGAAGGTTAAGAAGAGAATTGCAAGCAAGCAGAGGCCCAGCCTGTGCCAAGGCACTGGGTCGAGCCAGCGTGGACGCGTTTGGGAGCAGCTGTGAGTTTTGTCCCACTGGAGAGTGAATAGGTATTGTAGAAAGCCAAGAGGAGGCGGCTGGGGCTGAGAAAAGTCCCCTGGTTTGGGTTTTTCCATCTGTACCCAAAGCACTCATGACATGCAATTTTGTCCGTGTGAATGAGAATGACAGCAAGGCGTCTCTGTTCACCTGCCCCTGGGGCCTCCATCAGGGGGAGTCTGCAAACTGAAGCCTCCAAGCTTGGAAACCCTGAAAGGAACAGAATAAATCCCAGGGCTCAGTGCCCTGGCCCTGGCCCAACCAACGACTGAGCTAGTAGCTTTCTTTCTTTTCTATTTTAAAATTTTAAAAATTCATCAGGGTTTTACAAAAGAAAATCAAAGGCTCTGTTTGCCAGGTTAATCAAATAGCGTCCCATCCTTCTCTCTAGCGTCTTTCCCCTCCCCCAGCGCTCTCCTCAAAGCCGATTAAGTTGATGAAAATAAAGCCCGCTGCATTTTAAATTCCGTCTGGTTGGCAGATCAGAGGGGTCCGTGTGGCAGCTTTGTGCAGGGGGTGGGATGGGGTCAGTAGCCTGCTGTGAAGTGCCGTCCAGACGGGGTGATCTGAGTCCCCAGCCTGGGTGATGGCAACGGGGTGGCCTGGCTGTCTGCCCTGAGCCCTCACCAGGCCTCTCCTGGTTTTCGTGAGCCAAAGAGCCGCTGCCATTTTACTTTGGGGAGAGGCAGAAATGTGCCTAATGATTTCCTTCTCTTGCTGGCCTTCTAGGGCAAGAAAGACTCCTCCCCGTGGACCTGCCCCTTCCACCCACCACTCCAGCTGTTTTTTGTTATTCGAAACACAAGACAGCTGGGGGACTTCCATCTGGCCAAGATCAAGGTTCGGAATTACTGGACAGCTGATGGCGTAAGTAACAGGCGCTGGTTCCCCACTGGGCACTGGGTTGATGGAAGCACTTAGCAGTTTGCCAATAGCCTGATTCCTAAAGTTGCAAAATGGATACACGGAAGCCCTGCTGGCCTCGTGTGTGCAGCAAGAGCCTGCTGGTAGGTTCACACTGCATTCTCATAGCCCCCAGGGACAGAGCTTCCGGCTGCTGGTGTTGGGAGGTGGTATCAGGCCACCCTTGGGGGAACTGGAAAAATGTAAGCTGAGACTCAGTTTTACAGATAAGGAAACAGACACAGAGAGGTTATGTAACTTGCCCCAAGTCACAGCCAGTCAGTGTCAGAATGAGAATGTGAACGCCTGCATTTGGACTCCAGGCCCTTTCTCTTAGCCTTCACTTCTCAAATGTTAACTTGCACTGACTCATCTGCGGGATCTTGCTAAAATGCAGGTTCTAATTCAGCAGGTCTGGAGCAGGGCCTGAGATTCTGTAGGTCTAGCCAGCTCCCAGGCATCCCAATCTTCCTGTTCTGTGGACCTCACTGTGTCTAGCCAGGCTCTTAACCTCTGACTATTGTGCCCCTCTGGTTCTATTTTTTATTTTTTAAAAGACTAGTCAAGTACAGTAATGAGAAGGGGTGATAGAATGGAAAAAGGAGTTAGATCTGTAACTGACTGTGATCAATTGAGATAACTTGCTACCTTTGGACCCACCACCTCCGGTTGCAGGATCCACACCCTCCTTTCTAACCTCACACTATCTACCCTCATGCTGCTGCCTGTGCCCACACCCTTTCCTTCCTTCTCTGGGCTGTTTTTCATGCACTCATAGTTCTATCAGGGAACTAAATAGTGAGGAAGGACAGGAATTCACTTGGCCTATCTGCCCCTCTTATGGTAGACATAGGGGCAAGAGTTGTACTTTCCTTTCAAATCTGTAAGGGAAGCGATCGTTCAAGTGAGATTATAAATAGGAATGGAGCCTCACCTTCAGTCTTGCTAGAGACATTAGGGAGTGGTGGGGACTATGGCAGACTGGCAAGCCCATGCCTCAGGGAAAAGGAAGGCCACTTTTCAGCTTCAACTAAGGGTTGCTTTGTAGAATACCAGCCAGTTCTGCTAGATCTTCCCAACATGCCCAGTGAGCTGGATATCTGAGTTTTGACATGAGCCTTCCTTATGTGTAAATGTCAGTAGCTAATTTAAGTTCTTTTTAAACCACCATACAATTCAAACAAAACTCTTCTTTGGGCTGGAACTAGCCTGCCCTAGACTGCGTGGAGTGTGGAGAAAGGAGCCCGCCTCAGGCTGGGAGAGATCAGGGAAGGTTCTTGAAGGAACACACACCTAAGCTGTGATGGCAAAGGACAATGGCAGTCAGCCAAGGCAGGAAAGGAGAAAGTGTATCCTGGGTGGAGGGCCCTGCGTGTTCACAGGCATGGAGGTGTGAAAGAACACAGCCTCCTAATCGCTCCCTTCAGTCTGTCTCCAGCAGCCACCAGGGCGATCCAATCACACATCTCTGCTGCTTCAAACCCTCAGAGCTTCCCCTTGGCCCAGAGGATCAAGGTCAACCCCCTGAGTGTGACATCAGAGCCTCCTAATCCCCTCATGCCAGGCCTTGCCTCTCTCTTGTCAGAATGCAGGCTGCCCTGGCTTTCCATCCCGTGAACATAGCAGTGATCCCTTTATCCCTGTCCCCCCTCCACCCCCATCTCACTCAACTCAGAATGCCCATCTCTGCCTGATATTCCTGGAAACACAGACGTCACTTTCTCCAGGAAGCCAACCCTGCCCCCTGCCCCCTGCCCCTTGCGCTTCTCTGGGACCTCATGAACATGTTCCACCATCTCCTGACCAGAATTTATGGCTACTTTCCCAGGCCGCCATGGACCTCTTAAGAGTCATCTCCACCCCTGCCCTAGTGAAAGGAGAAATACGTGGTTGATGAATGAATGAATGAATGAATGAGCTCATGTTCCTAATAATCCATAAGCAGTTGTGTTATCCTTACTGATATCCAGATGAGAGGATAGGAGAGGCTAGGTGGCTTGCACGAGACCACATGGCAGGTTGGAGGCAGAGCGGGGAACCTAGTCCCAGAGAGGCAGTCCTCCCTTCCTCCCTTCCTCCCTCCCTCCCTCCTTCCCATCCTCCCTTCCTGAGCTGCTTCTTGCTAGTTCTGCCACCCACCAGCTGTCCATCCACCTAGTGATCACGTCGTGAGCACCTGTCAGTTGCGAGGCACCTCGAGTCAGGAAACTAACAGGACAGGCAGCCCCGGCCAGCTGTGTGTACGCACAGTGCTGCCCAGAGCTTTCTCTGATTTCTGATCGTTGAGGTTGTTTGTTTGCTTGTTTGTTTTTAAACAAACATCTGAAGTTTAAACTTGAGAAAAAGAAGGCCAAGCCACTGGGAACTTGCGGAAATTTCTCTGGGCATGTCTCTGCTTGCCAGCCCTGGCCTCTTGTGTGCTCAGAGGCTGACCCTCAGACCCCGGAATGCAGCCCCAGCCCACATAGCCATGGCACACTAAGAGCTTCTGGGGTCGGGTCCTCTCATTCCAAGTCCCACTCAGTGCTTCCTGGCAGGTGGCCATCGTCACCCTCTTCTGGAATGGGCAATGGAACAATGCCAGCAGCCCGTGGCTGTGCCCTGCAGCTCGGCCCTGTCATTGAATATATATCTCAGGGCAAGGAAAGCAGATTTTATGTGCAGGATTACAACAAAGATAAGCTTCATCCCTTTTGGCCAGGGCCTGCCTTTCTTCTTTAACCTATGCTCAGCCTTCCTTGTGCTTATAGAATGGTTTAAAAAGGCACAGGGTCTTAAGAGTCCCTCAGGAGCATGGGGTGTCATCATGGGTGCTTGGGGGAGCTGTTGGCTGCAGGGATTTGAGAGCCGAGGTCTTTCCACACCCAGGGTGGAGTGTGGAGGACTGCGGTTCCTGCCAGGGCACCGCTTATGTAACACAAACCCAATCTGTTGCCAGAATTTACCAGGAGCAGAAAAGCGCAAACAAATGCAGCTGCAGGTTGGTTTGATTTAATATTCTCCAGAGGATGCTATTACTGTGTGTTTTAGAGGAGATAAAATGAGAGTTTATAGGAAATATAGCTCGGCCTGGTAGACAAGGCTTGTTAATAGTGTTTTGTGTATGGGAATCTGAAGAAGAAAAGTTAAATGTGGGCAGCTAATCCAACCAGGGCTTATTTAGAACAGAAGAAAGGAAGGGACTAGAAAAAGGGGAGTCTCTTTTATTGGGCAATGTGCTGCCTGTGAAATCCTCATGCTAGCATTTATGGGCTCCTTTCCCCCTAACTTGGTGATTCTGTAAGTGTCAGCTGGGCCAGAGGAGAGGGATGGGAGAGGTGAAGTGAGGACGTGGAGGCTGCACCACCACTACAGCAGTGCACAGAAGGCAGCACACAGATGCCTCTACTTGTGACAGCTGCCATTTATTGAATGCCGCAGGTATCAGGCACGTATAGGCACCCTGTGGGCACTCAGTAAATATTCAATGCATGAATGAATAACTGAACAAATGAATCATCTCAATTAACCCCCAGTGATCCTATGAGGCAGGTGGTGGTATTTCCCATCTTATAGACGAAGAAGCCAGAACTTAGGACAGTGAGATCCCAGATGGCAAATCGGCTGTGTCTCTTTTGCCAACTCGGATGGGAAACAGCTTGCTGGAGTGCCGTCCTGAGAAAGATCTGGAACCTTCTTTCTGGTTCATCGAGGAAAGGGTGTGATGATTGATCAGCCACGTCTGCCGTGGGCTCAGGAGGATGTGATAACATGTGTGTCGTATCTTTTGGTGTTCCCCAGATTAAGTGACTTGCCCAGCTAGCAGGTGGTAAGAGACAAAGCCGGGAAGGGAAATTTGAGGTCCGCTTGTCTTTCTCTGGTTTTTCACAGCACTGCTTCTCCTGCAGAGTGGCATCTGTTGGGAGGAAGAAACCGATAGTCTCCCTTCTATAGTAGGTAATAACTCATCCAAAAAGTGGGCTTCCAGCAGCTCCCCATGGTCCATCTGTTTGCCTTTATAATAGTCATGTTAGTTATGTGTGACAGTACAGATAAGCACACCATCCCCATCATCCACAGCGTCACCACGCAAGTGCCGCCTCCAGCCTGGTCACACCAGGAAGTGGGACAGCAGTGAGCATCCAGGCAGGACAGGCACCCAGGGTATATTTTATATACAGAAAGGCACTCGTTAAATTGTTTTTGATAAATGAATGCTACATTTCCCCAGGGGCATGTTTCTGTGACATGTCATGTGGTCTAGGCCAGGGGTCCCCAGCCCCCAGGCCACAGACCAGTACCAGTCTGTGGCCTGTTAGGAACCAGACTGCACAGTAGGAGGTGAGCACCAGATGAGCCAGCATGACCGCCTGAGCTCTGCCCTCCTGTCAGATCAGCAGCGGCATGAGATTCTCATAGGCATGGGAACCCTACTGGGAATTGCACATGCGAAGGATCTAGGCTGCACGCTCCTTATGAGAATCTAATGCCTGATGATCTGAGATGAAACAGTTTCATCCCAAAACCATCCCCACCCCTGCCACCATCCATGGGAAAATTATCTTCCACAAAACCAGTCCCTGGTGCCCAAAAGGTTGGGGACCGCTGGTGTAGGCCACCGCTGCTTGCTAGAACTTTCTGTGATGGTAGACATGTCCTGTATCTGCCCTGTTTGGTACAGTAATCACTAGACACAGGTGGCTGTTGAGAATTTCACAAGCAGCTAGTGCCACTGAGACACTGACTGCACTTTACATTGTAATTAATTAATTTTAGTTTTAAGTAGCCACACGTGGCTGGTGACTACATAGGGGACCACATGAGTCTCAGTGCTGAGGGTACAGTGGTGAACAAATAGACAAGGCCCTGTCCCCTCTGTTGGGGAAGGGACAATAAACAAGGATACAACGAATAATGTGATTTCAGGTCACACTAAGTGTTCCGAAGACAATAACACAGGACAGTGAACGAGGGCCACAGGGAGGAGGAGGCTGGGCTGCTTGGAGCCAGGTGGCCAGAGGCCTTCCCCGAGCTCAGTGATGACCAGGAGCAGCCATGGGGCATCTGTGGGAAGGGCATTCCCCACAGGGCACAGCAGGAGCAAAGGCCCTGCGGCAGGAGTTTGAGGACTGTGGTTTCGCCAAGTGGCTGGAGCATGGGGAACAAGGAGTGTCATGAGAGGTCCCAGAGGGAGGTGGGGACCAGATCCTGTGGGCCAGCAGGTTTGGATCTGATTCGGAGACAGGCAGAATATAGTATGGTCAGAGCCAGCCCATCTGAGACCATGTGGCCTGGGGCAGGTTACATCACATCTGTATACCTCAGCTTTATCTGAAAAATGGGATATTGTCCAGTGAATGCGTGTAAAGTGCTCTGAATCATTCCTTGGCCTCCTGCCCTCTGTACGAGGGTCAGCTATTAGTGTCATCGCCGGAGGCTTGTTAGCAGGGTGATGTGATCTGATGGAGGATGTTTGTTTGTTTGTTTGTTTGTTTTTCTAGACAGTCTCTCTCTGCTGCCCAGGCTGGAGTGCAGTGGCGTGATCATGGCTCACTGTAGCCTCGACCTCCTGGGCTCAAGCGTTCCTCCCACCTCAGCCTCCCAAGTAGCTGGGACTCCAGGTGTGCACACCACACACAGCTAGTTTTTTTATTTTTTGTAGAGATAGGCTGGTCTCAAACTCTTGACCTCAAGTCATCCTCCCGCCTCAGCTTCCCAAAGTGCTGGGATTACAGGCGTGAGCCACCACGCCCGGTCCTGATTGAGGAATTTAAAAGACTACTCTGGTTGATTTGGAGAATGGATCAGGGGGCAGAGGGAGCCCCGAGAGAGGAGGCTCAAGGCATAGAACAGCCTAAGAACAGCCTCGCTGAAGATGGTGGTGGCCTGGATGAGGGTGTCAGTGCTCTTGGGGTGCACTTTAGGTGGGCTCAACTCATCCTATGACCATTTGCATTTTCAGCAATGCCTTTTTCTGGAAAGAAGTTTTCAAATGAATGCAAAAGTGAAGAGATTAGTTCAGTAATGAGGCGTGTATCCATCACCTGCTTCAATAATTACAAACATTCTGCTATTGTTGTTTCACGTATCCCCTTAACATTTGAAAGTAAATTGTAGCTATCACACTATTTCACTCATAAATCCTTCAGTATACATCTCTAACAAAAAAAGTTTGTTTGTTTATTTTTCTGTAACCTTGATGGCACTATCGTGCATGGCCATAATTAATTATCATGCTCTGATACCCACTTCATATTTAAACATTCCTAATTCTCTCAAAATTGTTTCTTTTACACTTGGTTTGTTTGGATCTGATACAAACCAAGACCAAACATGTCAATGACTTGGAAGTCAAAGATGCAACCTTCATTTGGTCACCCGAGTCAGTGCGGCCTGATGGCTCTGCCCCATGGCAGGGTCTGGGCGCTGTGGGGGCCCGGGAAGTATGACGGGCATCTTAGCAGGGCAACTGGTGGAAAGGGGACTGACCCCATTGCATGGGAAGCTTCCTGAACTGTGGGCCTCAGGCTTGGTCTAGGCCACTGCCAATGGCCAGAGGGCACTTTCCGTTGGGTGGGATGCAGTGAGTATAGTCTGTGGGCAGAGTCCTCACTCAGGTAGGTACAGGCACGGTAGCCATGAGAGTTCCAAGAGGGTCAGCTTTAAAGCGGGTCCCCAGCCAGCAGGGGAAGGAGAGGTGAACAGAGAATTCAGCCTTTATTTATTTGTTTATTTATTTAGAGACAGTCTCGCTTTGTCACCCAGGCTGGAGTGCAGTGGCCTGATCTCAGCTCACGGCAAACTCTACCCCCTGGGTTCAAGCAGTTCTCCTGCCTCAACCTCCTGAGTTGCTGGGACTACAGGCACGCACCACCATGCCCAGCTAATTTTCGTATTTTCAGTAGAGATGGGTTTTGCCATGTTGGCCAGGCTGGTCTCAAACTCCTGACCTCAAGTGATCCACTTGCCTCAGCCTCCCAAAGTGCTGGGATTTACAGGCATGAACCGCTCGGCCCAGCCACATTCAGCCTTTAAAGAGAGCAGCCCCACAAGAACACTGGGATTCAGAGCCAGGCTCTACTCCTAAAGAGAATGAAAGTGGACTCAGAGCCAGCATGGAAGCTGAGACCCATGTCCTGTGCTGTGCAGAGCAAGTGGGCGGGCTGCAGCTGGAAGTAGGCAGAGGCCTGGGCAGGGGAGGGCTGCTCACCCAGGTGTAAGTGCTGACTGGTGCAGCAGGAGAAATCACAGATTGTCTGGAGGGTGGAGCTTCCCACCTGCCTCCTGCCAGGACTGACTCAGTAGCTGAGCCTGTTGATTGGAGTTCTCAGTAGCAGGGCTATTTTATCAGCCAGGATTCTCTTGGTACCAAAGGACAGAAAACCCAATTAAAACTGGGTTAATCACACAATAGAAGTCTTTGGCTCATGTAAGAGAAGACGCTGGGTGGCTGGCTTTAGGTATGGTGGCATCCAGGAGTTCACATGATGTCATCAGGAATCTGCCTCCCTCCATCACTTAGCTCTCTTCTCCTCTGTGCTGGCCTCATCCTCAGTTTCCACGTGGTAGCCCCCAATGGCATCAGGTTCATGCTTATTTCAGCAGCCCCCGCAGAAAGAGACTGTCCTCGTGAAAGCTGCAATCTAGCGCCCATTATTGGTCAGACCTGCATTGCTACCTGGGGTGGGCCCACATTATCCACATGAGGTGAAATTAAGAGAAGGTTGGATTTTCAATGGGAAATTGAAGTGCTGCCTCTAAAAGGAGGAAAAATCATCAGGGAAGATAGAAAATCATACCCACCCTAAGTCCTTTTTCTTTTTCTCTTAGAACATAGGAGTCACATGCTGTTGAATTTATTCATCAGCTTCCAAACTTAAACCTTCCTTGACACTTAACCACATATCAAAGCTGCAGGCCTAACCACTGGATCGCTATTTCTGGCCTTTCTTACTGCGAATGCACACTACTCCCACTTGGCACACCCAAACCCTGCCTGTCTGTCCACCCACACCAGGCTTCCTTCTCCACTTCCTTTTTCTGTCCGCGCCAGCTCCTGGCTCACAACTTTGATCCTCTGACTTCCCTTTGCCCCTCACTGTCAGGCATCTCTGAGTCCTACCAGTTCTATTTCCAAAACTAGTCTCCTTCCCAATCCAGCTCGTCCCTCCCCTTCTGCCTGTTGCTGCATGATACCTCATTCCCGTGTATCCCCATCCTTCCCTCCACTGCTCATGGGCTCAGCCCCTCCTCTCATCAGCAGAGGTTTGTCAGTTGCCCCAAGCCCAGGCGTTGTGCTGGGAATCAGCACTGATACGCTGCCTGCCCCTGCAAGCTCATGCCCAGGCAGGGGAGGCCCAGGGGCCCTGCAGTGAAGGCGATGAGCCCAGGGCCTCCCAGCTGCAGAATGCTTCAGGGGAGCAGCCATGACTCACAGCTGTCACAGCCTCCCAGAGCATCCTGAGAAGAAGGCTGAACACAGGCTGTGCACTGGTTACCAGATGCAGTTCACAGGTAGACTTCCGCTGGATCACATGATGTTTTCAAAATTATTTGAATTAATAGCCAACATTTTAAAATTGGGAGGTTTTGCATGAAAATATGAATTTTTTTGCTTTTTTTTTGAGAAACTAGAGGATCCCACATTTACACCTGGAAACTTGAGTGGAACTGAGTCACAGCGACACCATTGTCCTTTCACTCCATTGCCTGTCTCATTTGCAGTACTTGTCTGGACCCTGAATGTGTTTGCATTGGTGACTTCCACCACTCCCTGACCCCAAAATCTGGCTCTCTGGCTCTTTCGTGCTTATACAGCTTTGACCTCCCACTGGCCCCCATAAAACTCTTCTCTCCTCTCTGCCTTAGCTCCTGCCATCCCCAGAGCCTGGAATACCTGACCCGTCTTGTTACAAACCTGCCTTTCAAAACATTGAGGTTCAGCTTAAACCTGACTTCACAAACAAGCCTCCCCATACCCCTAGCCTGCCTTAGGCCCCTTGTGGGGGTCTCCAGTGACACCCTTCCTGGCATCAAGTCCCTGCTTCCTGAGGGTGTTCTTAGGGTTCTGAGCTTCTGATGTACAAACAGGCACCCCCGGCCAAGTCTGCCCTGCAATGTGTTCGGTTTTGGTCCTCACAGTGTTTACAGCTTCTGAATTGTTTAATGACAACATTTGGAAATTGGCTTTTGATGACCTGGCAAATATTCCCTCTCTTTCATCCACTGGCTGGAGCTGAATGCTCCCTGCTTCCTCTGGACTTGAGAGTATACATCTTTCAGCTCACAGACCCCCCGTGGCTGCGGTGCCACTAGCATTTGAGCATGTGACCCCTTCACCTACAGCTGGTTGTGAACTCTTCAAGGCGAGGACCCTGGCTTGCTTCCTTTGCATCCCACACAGGCCAGGACCCCCCCGTCCCCCACCAAAAGACCCCCATACAGTATGGGCTGCATTGAATAAAGTTGCAAGAATTGCATGCCAGGGCCTCAACCCAAACTTAGCAGAGTTTTGACCTCAGTATGCATGGGGCTCCTCCTATGGCTGCTGCCAACCTCTGGCAGAAACAGGGGGATTGCCGCACTGGGCCCTGCAGCGCAGTGTCTCTGAGCCAGGCCAACCTTGAGCAGCCAGCCTCGACGGGTCTATATACATTTAGGTGCAGTACATTAGGTACAAGACATGAGGGTGGCTCCTGTTTCTTGCATATGTGGCAAGCGGTATTTAAAGCACTTTACATAAATCAGCTCATTTATTCTGCACAGCAGTCCTATGAGACAGGTACTGCAGTTACCAGCTCCATTTTACAGATGGGGAAACTGAGATACAGAAAGGCAGAGCAACTTGCTGACGATCACATGACTACCAGGCAGTCTGGTGCCCATTTCACGGCCCTGTCTTTCTTTTTCTTTTCTTTTTTTTTTTTTGAGACAGAGTCTTGCTCTGTTCCCCAGCTGGAGTACAGTGGAGTGATCTCGGCCCACTGCAACCTCCACCTCCTGGGTTCAAGCGATTCTCCTGCCTCAGCCTCCCAAGTAGCTGGGATTACATGTGTGTGCCCCTACACAGGGCTAATTTTTTTGTATTTTTAGTAGAGATGGGATTTCACCATGTTGGCCAGGCTGGTCTCAAACTCCTGACCTCAGGTTATCCACCCACCTTGGCCTCCCAAAGTGCTGGGATTACAGGCATGAGTTACTGCGCCTGGCACAGCCCTGCCTTTCTATAGAGCGACCGTTGTCACTGGAGAGCCAGGCCCTGCAGGAGGGCAGCCATTACTCCACATGTTAGCGCCGACCCGGTATTGCCACACAGCCTAAATTTTTCAACAGAGGCCAGAAATGCACTTTGTTATGTGAAAGCTCCCAATTTGTAAATATTACTAATAATTCTAAAATTCTTAAATGCTTGGTGAGCTAAACGAGCATGGTTTCAGCCAGAGGACCACCAGTGTGTGAACTAATCAGATCCCATCCACGTTTGTCATCCTGAGTCTGTGATGCTGGGTGGGACACGGCATGGTCTTCCCAGAGTGTGGCTTATAGTAGGTGTTTGTTAAATGTCTCAGTGTCTTACCATCTTCTTCTGTCCCTTCGAGGAAATTAAATTGCATATCACAGAGAATGGTGTTCATTGGCCTTCCTCCCAAGGGACACGTAAAAGACCATGAATGAAGGTCACTTCCCAATGAAACCAGAACTCCCTGTAAGTTTAGTCCCCAGAGCAAGACCTCAAGACAGATAGGAATAGCCCTTTCCCCTGTCCTTGAAGGTCTTGCCTCCTGGGGAGGACAAGCATGTGTCTGTGGACACTTGGCTAAGCAGTAGGTGCAGAGAACCAGGTTGCAAGCCCAACCCCGAAACCTCAGAAGAAGACTCAAGTCAACCAGAGTCAGGGAGGAGGGGGAGACAGGGAGGGCCAGGGGCTCCCTGGAGGAGTCAGCCCTTGAGCCAGGTCCTAAAGTGTGTGTGGCAGCACTCTGGGTGACAGCACCTCACTCCCCCATAGCCCTCCATATCTCGATAGACCTACAGTTAGGATAAAAGCAGTGAGTCCGGGAGACAAACCCTAAACCCCTGGCCCAGAACCCCTGGCTCCTTCCCGTGCTGGAGCCAGCACTTCCGGGCAAAGAGCTAGGAAGGACAGCAACCCACGCTTTTGCTCTGCAGAGGTGCCAGTAAATGTTCCCAGCCAATGACACAACTCCCAGAGTGTGGGATGCCTGCAGTATGGGCTCCCTGGGCTGTGCCTGAAGTCCAGCCAGTGCACATCTGGGCCGACTCCAGTTGTGTCGCCATGCCAAGGCTCCATTTGCCTTAACGGACCCACCTTGGCATGTGGTTTTTGGGCCTAGCCAGTGCTTCATTCCAGATGTTTGTTCTCAGGTTGTATTGGCTGTGCCAAAGGCAGGTGCTCATCTCTGGGGAAAGTGGCTTAAGATGCTAAAGCCCACAGCTCTGCTTCACTGTTGCCACAGTGGAACCGTGCCGCCATGAATCTTTGTTGGGCAGTTGTGTGTTCATTGCAAGAGACCTGCCATTCTACACTGGGGCCAGGGATGAAAGTGGCCTTGCTGAGTTAATTAATCACTTAGATTGAAATAATATTAATATTGTATTAAAAATGCATTACAGTTTCAGCACAGTTGATTCTCACCAACTGTAAAGAAGGAAGATAAGGGCAAAATGTGGGCCAGGAAAGGTGTTCCCATTAACTACAAACCAGCCACAGAGTTTCAAACTGTCCTTTTCAAAATCCATTGCAAAGGGTGTTTGAGGCAGCATGAACAAAAGGCATAAAAATAACTCTAGTTAAAGAAGGAAAAAAAATATTCACACCAAGGAAACAAGAAGGACACACACACACACACACACACACACACACACACACACATATGCAGAGAGAGAGACAGGGTTCTAAAGGTTAAGGTTAAGACATTCGGCAGGAAGGAATTTCATGGTGCACTTCATGGAAGAAGACAGAAGAAGGGAGAAAGAGCCTGGGGTTAAAGCCCTGACGACTGGAGGGGGAGGAAGCAGGCTGGTTCTTGAGGAGAGAAAGGATTTTCCCCCTGGATCCTTTCGTAAAGATGTCCTTTATACAGAGCTGCACTGAGGGGGCGCAGAGGAATCCAGACTCGCAGAATCTTCCATCCTGCTTTCCTCATGGGGCAGATGTGACTCTCATACAGCCTCTAAGCACACCCTTGTGGTATAATGACACTTATGCGGTATATACGTAAATATGTAGAAAAATGTCTTGAAGAACTGGAACCCACACACATACGCACACCCACCACCCAGTGGAGGTGGAGGTGGGGGCTGGGGTGGGGTAGGAGACAGTTAGTCTATAAGGACTTATTTATTATTATTATTATTATTTTCTTTTTTGAGACAGAGTTTCCCTCTTTTGCCCAGGCTGGAGTACAGTGGCACAATCTCGGCTCACTGCCACCTCTGCCTTCTAGTTTCAAGTAATTCTCCCGCCTCAGCCTCTCCAGTAGCTGAGATTATAGGTGCCTGCCACCACGCCTGGCTAATTTTTGTATTTTTAATAGAGACAGCGTTTCTGGCACCTCTGCAGAGCGGTCTCAAATTCCTGACCTCGTGATCCACCTGCCTCAGCCTCCCAAAGTGTTGGGATTACAGGTGTGAGCCACTGCGCCTGGCCCATAGGGACTTATTTAAAAAAAAAAAAAAAAAAAAAGGCCAGGTGCAGTGGTTCATGCCTGTAATCCCAGCACTTTGGGAGGGCGAGGTGGACGGATCACCTGAGGTCAGGAGTTTGAGACCAGTCTGGCCAACATGGTGAAACCCCATCTCTACTAAAAATACAAAAAATAGCCGGGCGTAGTGGCGTGCCTGTAATCCCAGCTACTCGGGAGGCTGAGGCACGAGAATCGCTTGAACCTGGGAGGCAAAGATTGCAGTAAGCTGAGATCACACCACTGCACTCCAGCCTGGGTGACAGAGAGAGACGTCTCAAAAAATAAAAATAAAAATTTAAAAAAGGGTAGGGGCTCAGAGCTCCACCGGTACAGGTGCTCCTAACAGTGGCTAGGCTAGCATGGGCCAGGACTGTGGCTTTCTTGGAATCTAGCTTGACCCACAGAAAGATGGTGGTTAAGACCTTAGCATGCCAGCCATAGTGGCTTACCACATACCAGCTGTGTGACCTTGGGGAAGGCATGTGCCTCAGTTTCTCCATCCATAAGATGGGGCCCTAATGCTTCCCTTGCAGGATTGTTCTGAGGATGACATAGGACAAGGCAGTCTGTTATCCTTTAAACAGAATATCCAGAGAAGTGACTAATATTCCCTATGGGGACCCCACTCTGGTGATCCTTGGGCCACATCTGCCCATGAATGTGGCTTGTTTGGCCTGCAGAGTGCTGGAAACCTTTCAGAGCTCAGAGCTGCCAGGCAGGGTACGACCCTCCCACCTCCCTGTGACCCCTGCATACCACTGATTTCCACCTGAGCCCACTCCTCTCTTACAAGCCTGACCCCTGCCTCCGCCTGCTTCCCTCTCTCAGTTCCCTCTCCGCCAGACGTCTTGGTGGGAACAGGGCTGGAGGTCAGATGGGCTCTGGACTGGGGAAGGAAGATGGGTGGCCATGTTGTGGAAGCCGGCCACCCTATTAGGAAAGCTAGGATGCCCACCTTGTGACTGTGCTGGACTAGATGGTTTCCCCATCACCCACTACCTCTTTAAAGGAAGGTGTTTCTGTCTCACCAGATATCCCTGTGGCAGTAATTTTGCAGAACCAGTCATTGAAAACTGCCCATGCTGTCCTTCTCAAATAGCTGTTCCCCGGTGAATTCACAGCACGCACTTGCTCTGTGCCTCTGCTAAACAGAGAATCCATCCATATAAGCAGGTAAAAGAGTGCTTTGAGAATCGACTTTTCTGACAGTCGGCAAATGGTAGCCTGCCATCTGCAATTGGAGGATTGAAGCCGAGTTCCTGTGGCGTAACGCAGGCCGGACAGTTCTCCTTCTAAATTGCTGCGGAAACCTCTGTAACTCAGTGATCCTGAAATTTGTTAGCTCCTACTCACCTAGCTTTCAGGAAGGCTAAGAAGGGGTTAGTATAGGTGAACATCTCCAGGGTCTCAGATTCTGTCTCCCAAGAGCAGATCAGAAGCCAAGGCAACACGGGAAATAAACGATCTGGAGGTGAAACCCACAGGCCGCCGCTTTTCTGATCAGGTTCATTCTTAGAGCACTGTTGAGACAGCAGTGCTGTTCAGGAGAGAAAACCCATGTTTATTCATTTGCTATTCCAAAGTAATTTATTTATTTATTTTGAGACGGAGCTTCACTGTCGTCACCCAGGCTGGAGTACAATGGCACGATCTCAGCTCACTGCAACCTCCCCCTCCCAGGTTCAAGTGATTCTCCTGCCTCAGCCTCCCGAGTAGCTGGGATTACAGGCTCACGCCATCATGCCTGGCTAATTTTTGTATTTTTAGTAGAGACGGGGTTTCATCATGTTGGCCAGACTGGTCTCGAACTCCTGACCTCAGGTGATCCATCCACCTCGGCCTACCAAAGTGTTGGGATTACAAGCATGAGCCACTGCGCCTGGCCCAAAAATAATTGTTGGGTGGCTACAATGTGCCCTTGGACAAGACGGGCAGGGCTTCAGCTGTCTTGGAGCCTAACTTTGAGTGGGAAAAACAATAAATAAGTTAAAAGCTGATAAGCAAGACCATTCAGAGACTAAAAGGAAATAAAACAGGGCAATAAGATAAAGAGGGGACCGATGAGGTGGGGCTGCCCTAGAGGTGTGTTCACTGAAGGTCCTGAACAGAAGAAGGAGCAAGGCTGTGGGCATCTGCGGCAGAACACGCCAGGCAAGTGCACAGGCTCTAAGGCAGGAGGAACAGGCTGAGCCACATCAAGGAATCGAGGCAAGCGCCAGGAGCCGGAGTCAGAGAGGTCAGCAGGCACCCCTGAAGGGGAGTAGGATTTCTTGTCAGTGCCATAGGAAGTCACTGGGCAGCTTTAAGCAGGAGGCTCCCATGATCTGATTTCAGTTGTTAAAAAAAGACTCACTGCTGTGTGGAAAATGAAGTGAGTGCAGGGTTTGGGGGAGACAGCCCAGAGTGGAGGCAGAGAGACCAACTAGGAGGCGATGGTGGTGTCTCTGGGGGAGACCCTGGTGGCCCAGGCAGCAGCACACGCGGGCAAGGAGGTCAGCTCCAGGGCGTGTTCTGGAGAGAGAGCCGAGGGACGTGCCCACATACTGGATATGAGTGAGAAAGTGAGAGGGGACGAGGGGACGGCAAGCTTTTTAGCAACCGCTCGAATGATGGACCCATTTTTAAGATAGTTTAAGACTAAGTGTGGAGAAAGTGATTTCAGAATTCTGTTTCAGGCACACCAGGCACATTGACTCACACCTGTAATCCCAGCACTTTGGGAGGCCAAGGCAGGAGGATCCCTTGAGCCCAGGGGCTCAAGACCAGCCTGGACAACATAGTGAGACCCCGTCTCTACAAAAAAAAATTTATTTTAATTAGCTGGTCGTGGTGACGTGTACCTGTAGTCCCAGCTATCCAGGATGCTGAGATGGGAGGGTCACTTGAGCCCAGAAATTCAGGTTGCAGTGAACCCTGATCGAGCCACTGTAACGCCAGCCTGGGCAACAGAGCAAGACCTTGTCTCTTAAAAAAAAAAGAGAGCATTCTGTTTTGGGCATTTTATATTGGAATTCCTGTTAGATATCCAGGAAGAGAGGCCAAGCAGTCACTTGGGGCTTGGTGGAGAGGTCAGGGTTGGAGATGAAAATAACTGGGAGCCTGGGACCTGAATGAGACCACCTGGAGAGCAAGGGAAGAGCACTCGGGAGGCCTAGGACTGAGCCCTGGGCAGCCTAGTCGTTCAAAGTGCAGCCGAAGAAAAGGAAGCAACCCAGGAGTCGGGCAGGCTCAGCCAGCGAGGCAGGAGGAAAGCCAGGTGGGTGCAGAGCCACACAAGCCCCAGGGAGGAAAGTCATCGCAAAGGAGGGGAAGCTGCCGAGTACTGCCGAGCCGCCACACCCACCCACTCCTAGGAGAAATTCCTATTGCGTATGGCAGTCAGCTGGACCCTGTAATTTACTTTAGGAACCAGACACTTCTGAGAGTCATTAGTAATGACACCAGGATAACAGATATAAATCAGAATTGTCCCAGACAAACTAGGATGGCCCGTCACCCTAGTTACAGGTGCCCGGGCCAGGTGGGTTCCATGTGGAGGTGGAGGCAGAAGCCCAACGGGAGGAGGAACAAGGGGTAGTGGGAGGAGGAGCCCACGGGGACAGTGACACTCAGAGATTCACTGACGGGGTGACGGACAGATCATGCGGGGGGCCCTGCAATGGAATATTCCTTAGCAGTAGAAAGGAAAGGAACTATCAGTTCCCATAACACAGGTGAATCTCAGAGCAGTTATGGTGACTGAAAGAGCCGAGCAAAAAAGACTACATGCAACATGATTCCTTTATGTAAACATTCCAGAAAGGACGATCAGTATATAGGGAGGGACCATAAGTGGGTGGTTGCCTGGAGCCAGGGAAGGAGGAAGGGGAGACAGGGGTTACCAAGGGGCACGAGGAAACCTTAGGGTGATAGGTACGTTTGTTCTCTTGAGTGTGATGGCTTCATTGGCGTAGACACATGTTAAAACTGATCAAGCTGTACCCGTTAAATATGCACAGTTTATTGTATGGGGTGTGTATTCTATTCCCCGATAAAGCTGGAAAAAGAGTTTTGCTGTAAAGAGGATGACACAAGTGAAACAGTAGCAGGAGATGTGATTTTATCTTAAGCATGGAAGGAAGAGAGTTGAACCTGCGTGACATAGGGGCATTTAGGCTGGCAGTGAGAGAGGAGAGCGAGGTGGGGACCATTTGTGAAGGTTACTGTATGTCATGTGGAGAGCTTTGGAATTTATCCCATCATCGGCATGGTTCTGCACCCCGTCGTGTGAAGAAATCATCCGGAGAACTTGTTCTGAGTCCAGAAGTTACCTACAGGCTGCCTTGAGGCAGTGGTCCTCACACGGCATCCTCCTGGCTCCCTTCCAACTGCAGCTGCCGTGAACATGGGACAGTCCCCGCATGTGGACAGTGCCCTGCCTCAGGTGCTCGTGGGGTGCTCTGCCGTGGGAGCACACTCAGCTCGTGCATGTGTTGGGGCATCAGTGCCCTGAGGGCAGCCTTCAACAAGCAGTGGATAAATGTCCCAGTCTTGGAGAGACATTTGCGACATGCATTTAAGCAGAAGACTCCCATGATCTGATTTCAGTTAAAAAAAAAAAAACTCACTGCTGCATAGAAAATGAAGTGTGAGTGCAGGGATTTGGAGGAGACAACGCAGAGTGGAAGCAGAGAGACCAATTAGGAGGCGGCAGTGGTGTCTCTGGTAGAGACCCTGGTGGCCTGGGCAAGGAAGGCAGCAGCACATTCCAGGTAAAGAGGTCAGACCCAGGAAGTGTTCTGGAGAGAGAGGCGAGGGACAGCTGGCGGATTGGATGGGCAAGTGAGAAAGAGAGGGATCAAGGGGGCCACGAGGTTTTTGGCCACTGCTTCAATGATGGAGCCATTTTTAAGATAGGTGAAGACTAGGGTTGGGGAAAGTGAGATCTTGGAGTGCCGCAGAGGGCCCCCGTGGGAAGGAGCACCAGTTGGCCACAGCAGTGACCAGCTCAAAAAAACTGGGTTTTTCCTTTTTCCTGCCCTATCTTGCTTTCCCCATTTCCTCTTGGAATCACCTGCCAAATACTCGACTTGCACCCGAGTCCTTGTCTCAGCCTCTGCTTTTACGGTCTCCCAATTATGATGCCCACGGAGGCCAGGAAAGCTGTTTTATAAGCACTCCAGGCTTTTCGACGCAGATGGTCTCAGGAACTGGACTTTAAAGAACACTGCTATAGGCTGTGAAAAAACATGAAGGATTTCACACAGGGGAATGACTGGACAGATTTGCTCTGGTAGGAAATGAACTCTGGTGGCAATGTGAAGTCCAAGTTAAAGTAGCAAGAGACAGGAAGCAGGGAGACCCATTAGTAGGCTATTACGAATGTCCCGACAGGAGGTAATGATGACGAAGGCAGCGATTGAGGCCGTCTCTTTGTGAAAGTCCTTTGATTTATAGAGTATGTAGCGGTTCCCACAGAAATGAGACCAAGCCTAGTTTCACACCCCCAGCACTGTGGTTTTCAAAAGCTTGCATTTCTAGCATTTCACATTTTCTTTTCTTTTTTTGGTATCTTCGACTTCCAAAATTTCATACATCAGTCTGATGCTATGCATCTTCACTTTGTTAAATCTTATGGTTTCAGGATCTTGACATTGGTGCCAAGAACGTGAAGCTTTACGTCAACAGAAACCTCATCTTCAATGGCAAGTTAGACAAAGGAGATAGGGAGGCCCCAGCTGACCACAGCATCCTGGTTGACCAGAAGAACGAGAAGAGCGAGCAACTAGAGGAGGCCATGAACGCTCACTCGGAAGAAAGCAAAGGCACCCATGAGATGGCTGGTGCCAGCGGGGACAAGGAGCTTGGTCTCGGTTGCTCACCGCCAGCTGAAACATTAGCGGATGCAAAGCTTTCTTCACAAGGAAATGTGTCTGGCAAAAGAAAGAATTCTACTAATTGCAGGAAAGACAGTTTGTCCCAGTTAGAGGAATATTTGAGACTGTCGGCAGTCCCCACTTCGATGGGTGACATGCCCAGTGCTCCTGCCACTTCCCCACCTGTGAAGTGCCCTCCTGTCCATGAGGAGCCCTCTCTCATCCAACAACTGGAAAACCTCATGGGCAGAAAAATCTGTGAGCCACCCGGGAAAACCCCATCCTGGTTACAACCTTCTCCCACCGGCAAGGACAGGAAGCAGGGAGGCAGGAAGCCAAAACCCCTCTGGCTTAGTCCCGAGAAGCCCCTGGCCTGGAAGGGCAGGCTCCCATCAGACGATGTCATCGGTGAGGGTCCTGGAGAGACCGAGGCCAGGGATAAAGGCCTACGGCATGAGCCAGGGTGGGGGACCAGCCGGAGTGTCAACACCAAGGAGAGACCCCAGAGGGCAACCACCAAAGTCCACAGTGATGACTCAGACATCTTTAACCAGCCCCCCAACAGAGAGCGCCCTGCTAGTGGGAGGAGGGGCTCAAGGAAGGATGCTGGCAGCAGTAGTCATGGGGACGACCAGCCAGCCAGCAGAGGTAAGCTCCAAAGAGCAGCCCGACTTGGGCATCATCATCCCAGCCCCTCTAATTGGCATGAAGCCAGTTAGCTCCTGGACCTCAGTTTCCTTATCTGCACAACAAGATGGTTGTTCTCAACTAAGGGTCACAAAATCACTGTCTCAGGGGCCAAAGAGATGCATACATGAGTGAAATGGGCAAGACACATTTTGCATGGTAAATTCATAGATGTATTTGTCATTGCCACCAAGGTATGTCCCTTTGCCCATTTTTCTTGCAACACATGGCTTTTCCAAGCCATTTTCCAAAAGACTTTGTTCTCCTGCCTTTCATAGAGACATCGGTCTCTAGTCACTTCACTTTATCCTTAACTGTACTGTTAGAAAAATAGCTGGGTACAGTGGCCAGGCCTGTAATCCCAGCACTTTGGGAGGCTTAGGTAGGAGGATCGCTTGAGCCAAGGAGGTCGAGGCTACGGTGAGCCATGATTGCGCCACTGCACTCCAGCCTGGGTGACACAGCGAGACTCTGTCTCAAAGAAAAAAAAGAAAAAATAATAACACAAGTGTGATGATGCATAGCAATTGACACTTGCCTGAGTGTTGGAAGTGGCACAGGGAATAGTGAGGACTTTGGCAATTTGGAGACCATAAGCCCACCCACAGGGCGGCTGCCACTCCACTCAGGTTTCTAATAAGCATTTAGGAGTGCAAGGCCAGGCCGGGCGCAATGGCTCACACCTGTAATCCCAGCACTTTGGGAGGCCGAGGCGGGCAGATAACCTGAGGCCAGGAGTTCGAGACCAGCCTGGCCAACATGGTAAAACCCTGACTCTACTAAAAATACAAAAATTAGCCAGGCATGTGGTGCGTTCCTGTAATCCCAGCTACTTGGGAGGCTGAGGCAGGAGGATCACTTGAACCTAGGAGGTGGAGGCTACAGTGATCCGAAATTGTGCCACTGCACTCCAGCCTGGGCAAGAGAGTGAGACTCCGTCTCAAAAAAAAATAATGAATGCAAGGCCACTGTACCAGACCTCCTCTTTACTTTTTTCAAGAGAAACCAGAAATGTTTCTTATTTTTTGACTTTGGCAACTGATTGAGATTATTTTTAAACTACTGTATATGTCAAAAAAAAAAAAAAAAGGCACATCTGCTGGCAGGACTCACCCTGAGAGCTTTGTGAACTTTGCAGTAGATGATTAGATGGTCTTCAAGGGCATTCCTGATTATGAAAGGAGAGCCCATCAAGGCAGGGAGTCTCAATATTTGCACTCAGACTTGGCTCCTGGAGAGTACGGATAGCAGCTAGGAGTCAAACCATTGAATCCAAACTCAGCCGCTTACAGACCTGGGACCTCTAGCCAGGCACACAACTCTCTGGGCCTCAGTGTTTTCATCTGTAAAATGGTTATGACTTCCCCACCCAGTGTGGCAAGGAAAGAATGAGATGATGGCTTCCAAATAGCAACACTGAGCCTGTGACATGATGAGTGCTCGGTGAGTAGTAGTCGTTATTTCACCACTAGCTTGGACGAGGTCCTTTTCCATCCACAGAACACTCAGGCCTGCCATGCCAGGGCTCACCCCTAGAGCCTCTGGATTTAACCCCACCCCATACCACGTGGGAGCACAAACCCTGGAGCCAGGCTGCCTGGGCACGTATCCTGGCTCCATCACCTCCAACCCACACCTCAGGCAGGTTCTGAAACCCTGCTGAGCCTGTTTCCTCCTCTGTAAAATGACACTAATAATACATGGGGTGCTGGGAGAATAAATGAGATCATACTTGTGGGGCATTTAACACAGTGCCTGGCACACAGGAGCCCCCAAGAGATATTAGCTGTTCTGTCATCATCATCACCCTCTCTGTGATGCTGCCTCTTGGTGAAATATCTATGCAAAGCCAAGGCATGCATTTTTTTTTCTAGTTTTCTTTTCTTTTTTTCTTTAACTTTTATTTTGGGTTCTGGGGTACACGTGCAGGATGTGCAGGTTTGTTACATAGGTAAATGTGTGCCATGGTGATTTGCTGCACCTATCAACCCGTCACCTAGGTATTAAGGCCAGCATGCATTAGCTATTTTTCCTAATGCTCTCCCTCCTCCCACTACACCCCCCAACAGGCCACAGTGTGTGATGTTCCCTTCCCTGTATTCATGTGTTCTCGTAGTTCAGCTCCCACTTATAAGTAAGAACATGTGGTGTTTGGTTTTCTGTTTCTGCATTAGTTTACTGAGGATAACGGCTTCTGCCTACCTCCATGTCCCTGCAAAGGACATGATATTGTTCCTTTTTATGGCTGTATAGTATTCCATGGTGTATATGTACCACATTTTCTTTATCCAGTCTATCATTGATGGGTATTTGGGTTAATTACATGTCTTAATGCATGCATTTTTTTAATGATTCAAATCGGCATCTTCTGTATTAGGGAGTGTCTAGCAGATATACCCCTGACATGTCACTTAGGGTACAGGAACAAGTTCCTCAGACTCCAAGTGTTATCCTGGACAGAGCTGCCTCCTCTGATTCCCCAGCCTTACAAATTTTTGCTGCTCACCCCTTCTGAGACTTAACACTGAGGCTCAGTCAGTGTCAGGAGGAGGGTAAGGTGGAAAGAAAGAGTTGAGGAGCTCTCTGAGGGCAGGCGCCTGGCTCATGGCAGGTCCTCCACAGTGTGGGAGGGCCATTGTAAAAAAGAACTGCAGTGACCAGGTGCACAGCATGCTTGTGGTAAGCCAGGCTCTGGTCCAGGCACGTTACCCAAATAACCTCCCAACAGACTCATTTTACAGATAAAGGGAACATGAGATTGAAGTAATATTTTTCAGGTCACATAGACAGTAAGGGTTAAAGCAGGACTGGAACCCGCACAGATCAGCTCTACCATACATGTTTCCAAACATTACCCTATAGTAGTCACGGCCTATGGTCACAGCCATCATCACCCACCTGCCCCGGGAAAGCCAGGCCTTCCAAGCTTTCCCAGCAAACAGTCGGTGCAAAGCCTCCAGGAGTTCCAAGGCAATGGTGTTACTCCAACTTGCCCAAATTCAAGAGATTTTGTTTCACTTTAATTTCTTTCCAAGCATTTCAGTGCTTGGCTCAATGCACATTAAGAACCAAGCCCCTGAGATTTCATGCTTGTTAAGTCAGTCGTGCTAAAAAGGAAAGTTGCTTAGAAATTTTAAATTATCCATTACCCAGAGCCAAATACCGTAGCCATGCCCTTCCGGAAAGGTACAGGCCAGCCTACCAAGAATGCTGGTAGAATGAATGACTGCCCAAGTTCTATTCTGGGATTGGAATTTCGTTGCCAGTATAAGAGAGAGCCTGGGTAGTGGGTGCACTGTCTCACACCTGTAAACCCAGCACTTTGGGAGGCCAAGGTGGGAAGATTTCTTGAGGCCAGGAGTTCAAGACCAGCGTGGGCAATATAGTAAGACTCCATCTCTACAAAAGTTTTAAAAAAAATAGCTGGGTGTGGTTGTGTGTGTCTGTAGTCCCAGCTATTCGGGAGGCTGAGGCAGGAGGATCACTTGAACCCAGGCACTGAAATGCCTGAAAAGAAATTAAAGTGAATCAAAATCTGCAGTTCAAGTCTGGAGTTCAAGGCTGCAGTCAGCCATGATCACACCACGGCACTCCAGCCTGGGTGACAGAGCGAGACCCTGTCTCTAAAAAAATGAAAATTGGGCTGGGCACAGTGGCTGTTGCCTGTAATCCCAGCACTTTGGGAGGCTGAGACGGGAAGATCACCTGAGGTCAAGAATTCGAGACCAGCCTGATTAATGTGGCAAAACACCGTCTCTACTAAAAATACAAAAATTAGCCAGGTATGTTTGTGCGCACCTGTAATCCCAGCTACTCGGGAGGCTGAGGCATGAGAATCGCTTGAGCTCGGGAGGCTGAGGCATGAGAATCGCTTGAGCTCGGGAGGTGGAGGTTGGAGTAAGCCAAGATCACGCCACTGCACTCCAGCCTGGGTGACAGAATGAGACTCTGTCTCAGAAAATAAAATCATAAAATAAATAATAAAAGAAAATAAATTTAATTAATTAAAATCAAAGTAATATAGGGAATTTATGAAAATCAAGACAGAGCAGGATCCGATCTCTTTAAAAAAAGAGAGCAAGAGAGAAAGAGCAAGCCTGAGAAATCTTATGCTCAGCAGAGCATCTCGTTGAATGCCATCTGCATTTTGGAAGTATTTTCATCAGGGGTCAGTTGTTTACAGGTGGAGGAGATCTCATCAGTCCAGTTTGAGCAGTAAAGAGGATGTTATTTGGAGAATCCTTAATGATCACCTTGACCCCAAAGGTAGAGAGTGTAGCCACTCATCACAGGGGACCGGAAGGAAGAACCAGAAAGTTGGCAGGAACCAAGGACGCTTCTTTCTATTTCTTCTGGGCCCTACCTCTTCTTCTCTGTGGGTCCACTTCCCCTCACTTTCCTCACGATATCAGCTTTCTCTGCTACTCACACGGCCTCACAGCCATATGAGCAGAAATGTGAGGAAATGGCCTCACAGCCCTGGAGTGACTATGCCCAGCTCTTGTTCCTGCAACCAATTCCAAAGTCTCAGGGGAGAAGCCAATTGGTCTACTTGGGTCAGGTGTCCACTCCTTGTCCAATCAGTTATGGCCAAAGGGTGATTCACTGGAATAAACATGGCTCTGTGATATCCCTCTAAGTACTTCATCGTTTCCTGTTTTAGTAGCAATTACCACATACCTCATGGCAGTGCAGTTGATTTTGACAAACTTCAGAGCTCCATAGTCCTATTCATCTCAATCTAGGAGTATGTCAGGAATTTTGATAGCACCATCTCATCACTGGGGGCCCTCCCAGATTGTGTTGACTGCAGGTTGAAGGAGTGGCTTTCTGATGTCTGTGCAGATTGTAGAAATGTTGGTGACAACAG
Organism: Homo sapiens; assembly: GCF_000001405.40. Lineage (NCBI taxonomy): Eukaryota > Metazoa > Chordata > Mammalia > Primates > Hominidae > Homo > Homo sapiens. Next base: position 27,745,830 of record NC_000016.10, read on the forward strand.
GACAGAGCACTAATCCCAGCAGCTCCCCAATTCCCCAATTCCCATGGAGTCTGCAGACAGAGAGGTCCGTGGGCCCCCAGCCAGCTCTCATGTCAAAGAGGTCTAAGAGCAAGGCTCAACTCCTCTGCTTTTTTTTTTTTTTTTTTTTTTTTTGAGATGGAGTCTTGCTATGTCACCCAGGCTGGAGTGCAGTGGCACAATTTCAGTTCACTGCAACCTCCACCTCCTGGGTTCAAGTGATCCACCCACCTCAGCCTCCAAAAGTGCTGGGATTATAGGCGTGAGCCACCGTGCCCGGCCATCTACTCCTCTGCTTTTAAACCCAGAGTGTACAACTCAGGGAGAATAGGTTAGAAAGCAGACGCAGAATGAAAGCAAAGTCCCTGCCTGCCTCGCACACTCAGGCAGCATCCCTGACACGTGACATTCGGTGCTGTCTCCTTGGTGCGCTTGCAGACCAACCCAGGCCATTCATTTTAGTCAGTGGAAATCAAATCACATAAACTGAAGTCACGAGAATCCATCTGGGTAGTTCCTTCTGCCACATGTTAAGCCTCGTGCCTGAGGGGAGAGGATGGAAGAAACCTCTGGTATCTTTTTAAATGGCAGATGAGAAGTGGGGGAGGGCAGAGGACAGGGGCAGAGGAACTGACAGGTGGAGGGGGGAGTCCCTCGGCCTCTAGGCCTGATCCTGAGGGCTGCACAATTGTGGTGCCAGTGTCCATCCCTTCACTGGCATTTCCACACACCAGGAGCTGTGCTGCGCACTGGGACACCTCCAGGAGCGAGGATAAAGTGGCAGAGAAGGCCTCTCCAAGGAGGCGGGTGACAAGCAAAGCCAGCTAGGTGGGCCTCCAGAGGAAGAGCACTCCTGGCAGGGGTGCAGCAAGGGCAAAGGCTCTGAGGCCAGAAGAGACAGCCTGTCCAGGGAGCAGGAGGGCCAGCGGGGCTGGAGCTGAAAGATCATGGTGGGGAGCGCAGAGGGGAGGGGACAGGAGTCAGTGGCGGCCGTACTCAGGGCTGTGGGCATGGTAAGAGTCAGGTTGTCTTGATTCTCAGTGCAGGAGAGACAATGCCAGCTAGAGGGGTTGATGACAAATTCCATTTTAGGCACATAGAGACTGAAGTGACAGAGTGGACATGTCTGGACCTTCCAAGAGGTCATTGGAATTGAAGGATGGTGCCTAGGGAAGAGACGGCAGAACTTGACCTGTAAAGTTAAGCAGGGCCTGCCTGGGAACCAGGAGCTAAATGAGGGCAAGGAAGGATGGCAGTGTCAGGAGAGGAGCGGCCTGGGCCTTGGGACACCCCCAGACTGAGGGTAGGACTGGGGTGATGGAGAGAGTTGTCAGTGGGAGAGGCAGAGAACCAGGGAGGTATAGTGGCTCCTAAGCCAGTGGAGCAGGAGGTATCAAATGGAAGAGGTTTGCCAGGGATGTCACACATAGACTGAAGACTGACAAAGACTGGGAGGTCATTGTTCACTTGGAGAAGGCATTTCAGTGGCGGGTTAGGGAATTGTAGGAGTCTTACGGATGCAAAGGCCAGAAAGCCACCAGGAGTTTGACTTTAGGCACAGCTGGATCCAGGAGTTCAGAGGTTGTCATCAGGATCCTCCATCTCTCGACTCGTGTTCTCGGTGTTGGCTTCATTCTCAGGCAGGTTCTCTCTATAGGGTAGCAAGATAGTCTTTGGCAATTCCACATGTACATCCTTCCAGCTTCAGCACCACCAGTTTAAAGAGTGCCCCTCCTTGAGGCCAGCTTGGAAGGATACTGTCGGCATTGATCCAATTAGATGGCCGGAAGGTGGGGGGTGGGGTGTCCCCAAAGGATCCCCCAAATCTGAGTGGAAGGGGAAGTGGAGTTTGAGTGAGCAAAACAATCCCACTGGAAAGAGGCACCGGGTGGCAGGGGCTTGGGAGAGGCTGGGAGGGGTGGGAGGGGTGGCAGAGCACCTGAGCGAAACAGGGAGAAAATAGGGCTGTGGTTGGAGGGAGCCACAGGAGCGGGTCGCCTTCCTGTTTCTTCCTTTCTTCTCTTCCAGGTAGGAGAGATTTATGCATGTCTGCAGGCAAAGAGGGGAAAGTGCCAGTGGGGAAGGAGTGATTGGAGATTCTGGAGAGAGGAGATAATTGATGGAGCCGAGCCCCCTAGGAGACAGGCAGGAAATGGAGTACAGGGCACAGTGCGATATGAAAGGAGGAAAAACAGAATGTCAGTGTCAGCAGCCGCTGTTTTTGCAGGATGACACCCTTAGATGGCAGTGAGCCATGGCGTGGCTGTGAGAACAGGCCACTGCGTGGTGTGCACGCCGTGGCTCTCATGTTCCATAAGGAGCGTGGGGCCTTCAGATCAGTCTGGGACCGTGTTCTCCACGCACCTGGGACACAGGCTTTAGCCATGTGTGCAAGTAAATTCCTTACCTTATAATATACCTGGCTTAATGGCTTTTTAAAATAGCATTTTTGGCTGGGCGCGGTGGCTTACGCCTGTAATCCCAGCACTGGGATTCGCCCAGCTGAGGCAGGCGAATCGCTTGAGCCCAGAGTTCAAGACCAGCCTGGGCAACATGGCAAAACCCCATCTCTACCAAAAAAATAAAAATAAAAATTAGCCGAACATGTTGGTGCACACCTGTGGACCCAGCAACTCGGGAGGCTGAGGTGGGAGGATCACCTGAGCCTGGGAGGTTAAGGCCATGGTGAGCCATGATCACGCCACTGCACTCCAGCCTGGGTGACAGAGTGAGACCCTGTCTCAATAAATAAACAAATAGCATTTTTTTCTTGATGATAAAAGTATTACAGGCTGGGCCCAGTGGTCATGTGTATAATCCCATGTACTCGGGGGGCTGAAGCGGGAGGATCGCTTGAGGCCAGGAGGTCAAGGTTGCAGTGAGCTTTGATCACACCACTGCACTCCAGCCTGGGCAACAGAGCGAGACCCTGTCTCTAAAAAAAATTAAAAAGAAAGAAAATAAAAGTAATGCATGAAGGGAATTTAAAAAAATCAAGCTACAAAGAAGAAAATAAAAGTCCTTCCTGCTCCCCACCCAGAAACCAGGAACAACACTGTTAACACGGGTGCATGTCACCCGTACCAGGATATGCTGCATTTAAAGCTGCGTATCTGGCTTTTTCCTTTTAACGTTCTTTTACAAACCTTCCACCTGCCATTAAATTGTCTTTGAAAACACCGTTAGAGTCACGTGACTGTGACAGTCTCCAGCACACACCCTCTTGTGGCTGACTCAGACGCCTCAGGCAGCAGCATTGCCCCTGGTCATGTGAGTTTCTACAGTGGGGAGCGACTCCTGGCAAAGTTTCTAACACAGCCAAGTAGTCTTCCCTTGGTTCACACGATGATTGCATTCTTAGAAAATTCAGTCTATGAAAAAATGCTTTGTGTTTTTGCAAAAACAACCAGATTCTGGAATTGGGTGATCATAGACAATTATTTTACCGACCTGAATGGCCCACAGGACAGTCAGAAGCTGTGTGGGACAGGAGACCAAGCTCTGTGCCAGGGCCCCCATGCAGTGCAGGATGGTAACATGCCTGGCCCCAGCCATCCAGTGCCAAGAGGCCTCTTGGCTAAGGAGACAGCCGGGAACAACCCCGCTGGTTTCTAGAGGGCTCCCCTGGAGGTGGCCCTGCCTCACTGAGAGCCACCACAGGAGACAGTCTCTAATGGTCCCCACTTCCACACATGCCACTCACAGGGCTTCCCCCCTCTTGTGTCCTTTCTTCCAGAAGACACCTGGTCTTCCAGGACGCCGTCACGGTCAAGGTGGCGCAGTGAGCAGGAGCACACACTTCACGAGTCATGGAGCTCCCTCAGTGCCTTCGACCGCTCCCACCGGGGACGCATCTCCAACACGGAGCTCCCGGGGGACATCCTGGATGAGCTCCTGCAGCAAAAGAGCAGCCGGCACAGCGACTTGCCCCCCTCCAAGAAGGGGGAGCAGCCAGGGCTGTCGAGAGGGCAGGATGGCTACTCTGGAGAGACAGACGCTGGGGGTGACTTTAAAATCCCCGTCTTGCCTTATGGACAGCGCTTGGTCATTGACATCAAGTCTACCTGGGGGGACAGACACTATGTCGGCCTCAACGGAATAGAAATATTCAGTTCCAAGGGTGAACCGGTGCAGATTTCAAACATAAAAGCAGACCCTCCCGATATCAATATTTTACCAGCCTATGGGAAAGACCCCCGCGTGGTCACCAACCTCATCGACGGGGTGAACAGGACCCAGGATGACATGCATGTCTGGCTGGCCCCCTTCACGCGGGGCAGATCCCACTCCATCACCATTGACTTCACGCACCCTTGCCACGTTGCCCTGATCAGAATTTGGAACTACAATAAATCTCGGATACATTCCTTCCGAGGCGTGAAGGACATCACAATGCTGTTAGACACCCAGTGCATCTTTGAAGGAGAAATCGCCAAGGCCTCTGGAACCCTGGCGGGAGGTATGGCGTGTCTGTAAGAATTTTCTCAGAGCCCCTATCTGTGACTTGCTGAGAGTCTATGGGAAAAAACAGACCAGCTGGCTAGCCAACAACAGATCAGTCCTTTCTCTTTCTTTTTTTTTTTTTTTTTTGAGACGGAGTCTTGCTCTGTCCCCCAGGCTGGAGTGCAGTGGCGCGATCTTGGCTCACTGCAAGATCCGCCTCCCGGGTTCACGCCATTCTCCTGCCTCAGCCTCACGAGTAGCTGGGACTACAGGCACCCGCCAACACGCCCGGCTAATTTTTTGTATTTTTTTTTTTTTTTTTTAGTAGAGACAGGGTTTCACCATGTTAGCCAGGATGGTCTCGATCTCCTGACCTCATGATCTGCCCGTCTCGGCCTCCCAAAGTGTTGGAATTACAGGCGTGAGCCACCGCGCCCAGCCCTTTTTTTTTTTTTTTTTTTTTTTGGGTGGGGAGACAGGATCTTGCCCTGCACAGTGGCATGGTTTCGGCTCACTGCAGCTTCGACCTCCTGGGCTCAAGCAATCCTCCCACATCAGCCTCCTAAGTAGCTGGGACTACAGGTGCACCAACCCACCTGGCTAATTTTTGTATTTTTTGTAGAGACGAGGTTTCACCATGTTACCCAGGCTGGTCTCGAACTCCTGGGCTCAAGTGATCCACCCACCTTGGCCTCCCAAAGTGCTAGGATTACAGGCATGAGCCCCTGCACCCAGCCACAGACCCGGTCCACTCATCCCCTCTTACAGCATGAGTGTGCTAGGCCTGACCTCATTCAGCATCTCCCATAAAGCACCTGTCTTGGTCCGGCCCCTAGAACCTGAGTCTGAGATGGGGCATTCTTTGGCAAGTGACTTATGGAGGGAGTGCTCCTAGGAGAAACCTGGCATAGTGAAGCAAGGATATAGTTTCCAGGAAGCCCAGCCACAACCAGATCTTGAGGGAGGTCTGGAACATAAATTTCAGGTCTTTCCTGCCTGAAGGTGAAGGAGCAGGGCGTTAGAACCCCACCTACCAGGCAGTCATTGGAACCAAGGCTTGCCGGGTTGGAGCTGTAACTCCCACACCCTTCCAGGCAAGGCACTCTGAGAAAAGGATCCACCAAGATCTGGGTGGGGTACCAACAGCGTCTTGCATAGTGCCTTGCCCACCCCAAAGAAATGTCACTTGCCTGATGACATATCACAGTGATTCTCATGAAATTAGATCCCTTCCTTAGATCCATGTGATGCTTATGGTCCGTGCATTCCATTTGCAAATCTGTGAAGACTAATAAGGCTCACACTAATCAATACCAGTTAAGGGTGTGGGGTTGTACAGCACAGAAGTGGATGGGTTTAGGCTCTTGATCTACAAATCTCTGGGATGTGAAGTGAGTTGACCTTTCTGTCATCTTGATAACCCATTAGCCCCAGAGCACTTTGGAGACACGATCTTATTCACAACCGATGATGACATTCTCGAGGCCATATTCTATTCTGATGAGATGTTTGACCTGGATGTGGGGAGCCTGGACAGCCTGCAGGATGAAGAGGCAATGAGGAGGCCCAGCACGGCCGACGGCGAGGGGGATGAGCGGCCCTTCACCCAGGCTGGCTTGGGGGCTGATGAACGGGTAGGACTGGAGCTGGGGGGCTGTGGGGGGACCCCCAGATAGGTTTCTTCCCCTAACTCAGAGTAGAGCAGGGAGAATTAAGATGGATATCCTTTAAGCTGCTGGTGCCACTGTGTTGACATTTCCCATCTTTCTACTTTGTTTTTTTGTCCTCTATGTCATATTTCATTCTCTAATTATTTTTATTTTTTTATTTTTTTTTAACCGAAGTAAAGAAAGTATTCAAATTCTAATCAAAGCCAGGAGAAATGAGCTCTGTGTCATCTCTGCAATTCAGAGGTTGGCAGTCTGGGGGGAGTTTTTGCTTGGGGTTGCGTTTTGATCATTCACTGTTGTTTTTGATGGAAGGACTAGGAATGCTTTTCATAGGCAGAGTTACAGTTAAAATAATGATCATCACAGCCATGGTTTCATGAACACATATCATGATCCAAGCAGGGTACACAGTGTTCTTGTTTCACCCTCATGACAACCCTCTGAGTAGAGACTATTAACATTGCCATTTCGGAAACTGATGCTCAGAGAAGTCAAGTGACTTGCCCAAGGGCACATTGTGACAGAGAAACAAGGGTAGAACTTGAATGCGTGATTCCACAGTTTATGCTTTTAATTGGTAAGCAACTTATTATTTTTTTATTTTGTTTAGAGATAGGGCCTGGCACTGTCGCCCAGGCTGGAGTACACTAGCGTGATCATAGCTCATTGCAGCTCAAACTCCCGGGGCTCAAGCAATCCTACCACCTCAGCCTCCTGAGTAGCTGAGACTACAGTGCATGCCACCATGCCTGGCTAGTTTTTTTTTTATTTTTTGTAGAGATGTGGTCTTGCTATGTTGCCCAGGTTGGTCATGAACTCCTGGACTCAAGCGCTTCTCCCACCTTGGCCTCCCAAAGTGCTGGGATTACAGGCAAGAGCCGCCACACTTAGCCAGATAAACAAATCTTTTAAAATGAAAGATGACCTTCAAGGTCAATTCAAGTCAGGACCAATAGGAAAAAGAGGAGATGGTTAAACAGGGTAGGGGAGAAATGGGGACAACACAAGCCACAAGGGATGGGGCTGGGCTGTGGGAAGGTCATGACTGAGGCAGGACAGCAACATGTCGTGTGGACCCCATGGTGTTCCCTGGGGATTGTACCTCGCAGCCAGGCAGAGCATGGGGTGCAGGAGCAGGGCATGGGGAGGCACAGGCAGCTGGGGAGTGCGTGCCCCTCCCCCTCCCCACATCTAAGGAAAGCGGCCACCAAGAGGGGCAAGCCCATTGTTGCCAGTTCTCCTGATTTTTACAAGAGAAGCCAGAAAGCTGGATTTTTCTGTAAAACCTCTCCATTTAAAAATGCTGGCAGTGAATTCAGATGTGTTCAAACCTTTTTTGGGCCACAAGCCGTGCCTGTGCTCCTGATTCGACCCAGGGGTCTCCAGGTGGGAGTCTACCCTGGGCGCTTCCATTTGCCCAGCGTTTTCCAAATGACAAAGGTGCTCGTAAGGGACTCTGATGGGCCCAGCGCTGTGAGGGGCTGGGGGGATCACTCTCTCAGTCTCGTGAGAGACCAGCGCCTTCACTTATGGTGCAAAGAGACAATGAGCAAATAGTTTATATGTAAGGCCCAAGAAGGGTGTGGTGGCCCACCGTTGACTCTCTGAAGACCAGGATTTTTTATCCTGGCTACCCGTGGAAATCACTTGGGTGGATCTTTAAAAATGTCTGGGCCCCACCCCTAGAGATTCTGCTTCAGTGAACAGCCAAAGTTAAGAGCCACTCTCTATGGTTTGAATTCTTCCACTTCCCCTTCCTTCCTTCCTTCCTTCCCTCCCTCCCTCCCTCCTTCCTTCTTTTCCTCCTTCCCTCCTTCCTTTCCTCCTTCCTTCCTTCCTTCCTCTCTCCCTTCCTTCTCTTCTTCCCTTCCTCCTCCTTTCCTTCCTTCCTTTCTTTCTTCCTCTAGCTCACCACATAAGCATTTATTGAGTCCTTCCCTGTTGGAGGAAATTTAAACACCTTAGCTGTTAGCATCAGGCTCCTCCCCAGCCAGTGAGAGCTGCTGACAAGGATGCAGACCCTGGAGGGTCAGGGTCCGCCCATATCACTGGTCCCATAGCTTCCACAAAGGCAGAAAAATCCAGGAAAACACACAAGGACTTACCTGGGCATAGGGTGGGCAGTGGTAAATGCAGAAACAGCCAGCCAGCTAGCTGTGTGGGTATCACTAAAACCACCCCCTTTTCCTCTGCTTCTCCAACCCATGTGCAGATCCCGGAGCTAGAGCTCCCATCCAGTTCCCCTGTCCCCCAAGTCACCACGCCAGAGCCAGGCATCTACCACGGAATCTGTGAGTAGCTCTCCTGGAGCAGTGTTGGGTGGAAGGAGGACCTTCCAGGGACAGGGGGAGTTGTGGCCACTTGGGACAGGGTTTCGCTGGACAATCGGGTGGGTTGGACACTGTACAGAGACACCAGGCCATGGGGCAAGTGGAGGCTGAAACCAGCCTGCGCTCAGCTCCCTGGCCCTAGCAGGGCCACCTCACTCCAGAGGAGGGGCATCTCTTAGCATTTTGCCTTCCCTGAGGGGCATTTTTGCATGCAGACACCCTATGTGTTAGCTGTGACCATGACCCTGACCCAGGAGGTGTAGTTGGCACCCAGAAAGTGTAGAACAAGAGGACATTAGAGCCTGAAGAGACCCAAGGCATCTGTTGGTGCAGTGCCCCGAGCTGTCTCTTCCAACTCCACCAAAGAGTAGATGCACAGGCAGAGAAAACCTGCATCCACTCTGCCCCGGGGGTGGGGGCAGGTGCACAGGCCCAGGGTACCAGGTCTTCTGACTTTTCAGAAGAAGTCGGAAATCTAGAGTCTTACGTGAAGTCTCCAGATTCTCAAATGTGTGTAACGAATTTTCTCATGTTTTAAAATATCACATGAGCCAAATAAAACACTTATTGTGTATCTGGCCAGCTGGCTGCCAGTTTGTGACTTCTGAGCAAATCCCAGGGGTTTTCTGCTGGGCCTGTTCCTCACCCTTCTTTTCCATTGATCCTTCCAGCCAGTTCCTCTCTTCATCCATGCGTGTCCACATCAGCCCCTCCCCGTCCTGGGGAATCTTCAAGCCCAAGGTCACTGCTGATTGTGATCTCCTCCCTCCTGCACCCTGCTAACCAGGTTCCTGGCAGCCTCACTTCCTGCTCTCTCCTGCCCCCTGTGAATGTGACCCGCTTCTACTTTATCTTCTGAGACAAAAGATGTGACACTGTCAGGATCCCCTCCCCACCTCCCCATCCTCATCTCCAAAATGAAGCTGGAGCCTCTCCGAATCCTGGTGTCAGCCCTTCCGGGACCTCCCCATGCCATCTCTGGAGTCCACCTGCAGGCACCTGTGCAAGCCACACCTTCCACCTAGGATGCCTCCCTGCTCCATCTCTGCCTTCTGACGACCACCTGTCGCTGGCTAGGTTCCCTAGACACAGACCCTGAGATGGAGTTTCCTGGGGTGTGCTCTTGTCAGGGAAGGGTAGGAGGCAGGATTGGGCAGAGGGAGAAGCTGGTCTGCGGTTCAGCCACTTCAAGGCCTCAGCCTGCTCCACAGGGAGCTCGGAACCTGGGATGGCCCTTTGGGGTCATCCTGAGTTGAGTGAGGGGCCATGTCTTTATCTGTATCAACATGGCACTGGCTATGGGCTGCCCCTGGGGAGGGGCATGGCTTTTTATTTTACTTTTTAATTTGTATTTATTTATTTTGACACAGTTTTACTCTGTCGCTCAGGCTGGAATGCAGTGGCATGATCTCAGCTCACTGCAACCTCCGCCTCCCAGGTTCAAGAGAGCTCCTGCCTCAGCCTCCCAAGTAGCTGGGATTACTGGTGCCCACCACCACGCCCGGCTAATTTTTGTAATTTTAATAGAGACAGGGTTTCACCATGTTGGTCAGGCTGGTCTCGAACTCCTGACCTCAGGTGATCCACACACCTTGGCCTCCCAAAGTGCTGAGATTACAGGCATGAGCCACTGTGCCCAGCCGGACATGGCTTTTTGCAAGGAGACTCTCTTCAGCCAAGGGCAGTCACAAGTCAAGAGCCTCAGTGGTGAGCTGCCAGCCGTCAGCACTTCCCGCCACCAGAGGACTAAGTCCTTCTGTTCCTGGGGGTGGGAGGTGGGGTCTGAGCAGTGCCCTAAGTGAGCTCCACATCCCCTCCCTTATGGCCCTTCTGCGACCGCATCTCCTCCCCAGGAGTCTTCTCTATCATCCCCTGTGAAAATTCATCTCTCCTTCACCTACTCCAAAATGACCAATGATCTCTTAGAAGGTGCCTTAGAGGAAGGTGCCTTATTTGGAATTCTCATAGCCCCTTACATTCCAGGGCGCACTCTCAATTACTTTCGAATAGCAGCAGTTTTAAAGGCCAACCTAACATTAGGCAAGAGCCTGGGTTGAGGCTTGGTTTCATCTCCCAGACAGGCACTGTGCTGGGCTTTCTCTGCCTTATCTCGCTGTAACACTCCTAGCTCTGTTTTCCATGAGATCAGGCAGCTGAGGCTCAGAGAGATGGAGTCACCTACCTAAGGTCACACGGCCAGTACGGAAGCTGGGAGTGCAAGCAAAGGTGTTTGAATCCAAAGCCCACATCCTCACCACACTAGCAGATTGCCTTAGGGTTGCCACTGGGAGAGCACCTCACATCAGAAGCCTGTGTGCAAGAGTCAGTGTCCCCCATGAAGCTGTGAGGTCCCAAAAGACAGCCATCGTTTTTTATTCAATTTGGTTCTCCCCTAAGTTGGTCAGGATTTTTTTTTTGGCAGGGGATGAATAATGGAAATTTAATTCAAGCTGAGTTCAGCAAAAAAGGGAACTTATTGGCTTATGCAACTAGAAGTTAGGGGTCGTCAGTTTCCACACAGCTGCGTTCAGTTACGAAAATGATGGCATCAAGACATGGTGTCTGCCTCCCTCTCCCTGCTTTCTTTTCGTCTCTTGACATTCTCCCATTCAACACCATCCATGTGGAAAGTCCTGGAAGCTCCAGTTTATGCCTCCTTTCTACCCAGCAGTCCCAGATGAAAGACAACTTCTGTTTTCCTGAATCCCAATAGTTGCAACTACTATCCCAGAATTAGATCTCTGGGCCTAGCTTGAGTCATGTACCCATTCTCTTTTTTGTTATTTTCTTTGCTTGCTGTTATTGTTGTTTTGAGACAGGGTCTCACTCTGTGGCCCAGGCTAGAGTGCAGTAGTGCAAACACAGCTCACTGCAGCCTCATACTCCTGGGCTCACGAGATCCTCCCGCCTCAGCCTCCCGAGTAGCTGGGACTGTAGGTGTGCCACCGTGCCCGGCTAATTCATATGTCCATCCTTAAGTCAGCCACTGTGACTCACCATGGTGGGTAGGGCGGGAGGTGGGAGATGGAAAACAGATTGGCCAGGCCTGGAGCCCAGAGAAAGGGGTCAGCCACCCAAACAGTGTGGACCGAGCACAGGGTGGTTCTCCAGAGCGGGTCAGAGTGTGGTCACCAGAAGGAAGGCAGGAATGCTGGCCAGGCAGAAGCAGCCACTGTCCCCTTCATCTGATGATTTCCCCAAAGATGCTGCCTGTAGATGTGTTTCCTGCTGACCCAGCTCCTGACCTTTCACAGAGATGTTATTTCAGTGCCTTTGGGAATTTGGCCCTGGAGTAGAGCTCAAAGACCTTTTTACTGCAAGGCAAGTGTAATTTCTCTTCTCTTCTCAGTAGGAAGGCAGAAGAGCCTCTCAACCAAGCACCCTCTGCGTCTGTTTTGAGGCCTGTGATTTCTGCATCTCTTCTCTCTGAACCTTTGGCTTTTTCCTCACCGTATTCAAAATCCTCAACCTGCTTCACCACTCCGTGCAAGAGCGGAGCACAGAGAGAGCTTTAATAAAGTGACCCGGGGGGAATGTGTCGGGGTTGGTAAATACGGCCAATCCTATTAATGTTTTGAAAGGGGATATATGACTTGCTAATTTGCAGATGACACTAATTTTGGAAGTTTTGCAAATATCAGCAGTGATGAATAAGAAAGGAGCTGAGAGGGTTGAAACATGGGGGAGAAATAACAAAATTAATTTCCATTTGTATAAATACTAATTGATACACCAGAGGAAAATGAATATGGAATGTTGGATATTAGCTCGAAAAGGAGAGTAATCAATTTCAGAACAGCCCCAAATTAGATGGAATCGCAGTGCAGCTTGCCAGGCAAACAAAGAGATTGTAGGCTTGGGAGAGACTGGGCATCTCTTTGTTGTCACAGAGGGAGGTGGCATTTCTCCCTCGCACTGATCTCCATCATCCAAATCCACATCCTCCTCCACCTGTGGCCCTTCTGTCTCAGGAGTGGTGCCACAGTTCCTCTGTCACCTAGGTCAAAACTTTTTTTCCCCTTCCTTCTGTATCCAGACCATTGAGAATCCTGGTAGTGCTATCTCTGAAACAGATCCTGTATCTGTCCCCTTCAACCCTATTTTCATTGCCACCAGCCTTGTTCAAGCCATCCTTACTGCAACAGCTTCCTCCCTGGTCTCCCTATAAAATCCAACTGATGGGAGCTTTATAAGATGCAGATCAGATCATGTTGCTCCCCTGCTTCAACATAGAATCTGCCAGTAGCTTCCCATTGCAAAGAGAGGAAAATCCAGGCTTCTCGATATGATCTAGCCCCTGCCTACCTGTCTGATTTCATTTTCTTCTACTCTCTCCCTTGGCCGCTTGGTTCCACCTATGGGTCAAATTTGCTCTCCTCTCAGCCTGGAATGTTCTTCTTCCAGAAATGCAAAAACATGATAGGTTCCTTCTCAGCACCCTGGTCTCAGCTCAAATGTCACCTCCTCAGGGAGGCCCTCCCTGACCACCTCTGCTCATATTCAGTCACTCCCTATCCTGTTGCTATTTTCTTTCATAGTGTTCATCACTCTTGGAACTGTTGCCTTTCTTTGTTCATTATGTGCTTATTGACAGTCTTTGCTAGAATGCAAGCTTCTTGAGTTCAGAGATTGTGCTCTGTTGTTCATTCCTGCAGCTCTTATGCCAAAAATAGGTTCTGGTACACAGTAGATGACCAATAAATATTCGTTGACTGTTGACTGTGAAGTTGGTAAAACCCAATAGTTTTCGTTTGTCTCATTTACTTGCAGATATCTACTGAAGCCCTACTTGTTAATTAGTCATGTGTTTAAAATTTTTACTAAAAACATTCATTGAACATCTACTAAGCACTGTTCTGGGCTCCGGGGATACAGCAGTGAACAAAACCAGCAGAGTCCTGGCCTCAGGGAACTTCCGTCTTAGTGGGGGAGACTGATGGAGACAAATAAGCAAATCAATGTAGACTCGATTGTCAGGAAGCATTCAGTGCTATAAACAACAAGGCGAGCAGGGTAAGGATGTAGAGAGTGATGGGGTGAGCAGGGCTGTTTGAGCTCTGGTTATTAGGGAAGGCCTCTCAGGAAATGACATTGGAACACTGACTCATGCTGAGAAGGAATGTGTCAGCTAGCTTTTGCTGCCGAACAAGCCAATCCAAAATCCACTGGCTTAACACAACTACCATGAATTATATTCATGACTGACTGGTAATTCAGTATCTTGGCTGGGCAGCTCTGGGTGAGCCAGCTTGGTTGGCCTCTACTGGGCCTGCTCGAGTTCCTGATCAGCAGGGAGGTGGACCAGCAGCTGAATGACCTAGGACATCTTCACCCACCCGTCTGGCAGTGGGGAGGCTGCTGGCCAGAGAGACAGGTGTCTGGGTTAGCTGGGCTGCCTCGCATGGCAGTCTCAAGCCCCGAGTGCTTTACAGGCTCTGCTTGCCTCACGTGGGCTTCTGTCCCAGTGTTCAAAGCAAATCACGTGACCCAGAGTCAGGAGCAGAGAAGGAAACTCCAACTCTGGATGGGATGAGGGGCAAAATCACATTGCAACAGCAGGGACACGGGATGGGACGAGCTTGTAGCCACTTTGCACGTGAATGATGCGGCGAGAAGCCCATGTGCAGGGTGCCGTGCTGGCCACATGTTTTTTTCATCTGCCCCAGAGATGCTCAGAGTTACCTTGGCACCACGAAGGAGGAAAAGGATCTGAGGGCTAAGTTACAAAAAGTATGTTGGGAGATGTCAGGGGCGTGGGAGAGAAAACCAAGCTCCAGGGAGGTCAGGTGACCCAGCCCCTCTTCATGGCCACAAAGAAGTCCTTTCACCTCTCTGGGCTTCCAGTTCCTCATCTGAGCTGCAAGGGGGTGGTGCCAGATGACACCCTGCTTCCTTCTGCCTGCTCTGTGGTGCTGGCATTTCTGTGAACGCTGCAAAGAGTGAGTCTTACACTTAGCTACCCAAAAGGGTGCTAAAATATGCGGCAAATTCTCTAAGGGCAGAAGGGTTTATTGTGTTTGGTCTTGCTCTAATGAGACACCGTTAAGGAAAGAGACGTTCCAGCCAATTATCTGACAGGGCTTGATCAAGAGATTCATTCCATTTGAGTTTCCTGGGCAAATGAATGACATCTGGGCTGTTTTGCCCCAGGGCCACAGAAGGTCACTTCTAAATGGTCTCTGATCGAGAGAGGATGGGAGCAGAGGCAAAAGGATGGCGGTATCACCCTAGGTCACTTCCTTTACTCTGAGCCCACGTGAATGTTTGTGATAGCAGCCAATTTGCATAAAATGTCAGTTTCCAGCGCTGGGGCTTACTGATACAAGTCTCCATGTAGTTGCTGGTTTAATCATTCCATCTGTACTGAGCTCCTACTGTGTGCCAGGCACCATGCCAGGCTCAGGACACAGTGGTTTAGAGAAACAGATGGGGTTTCTCCCTCAAGGAGTTAGGCATCTGGCGGGGCAAGTGGGTATTTACCAAGATCACGCGATTACAGCAGTGACCAGGGCTTGGAAAGGGAAGTGTACAGTGGCATGGCAGGTTATCAATGGAGGTTTGACCTGGTCAAAGAACTCAGGAGGGCTTCTCTGAGGAAGGGAGCTGGGATCTGAAGGGTGCTCACAAGTCAACCAGGCCATGTGAATTCTAGGGAGGGGTGACAGCACATTCAAAGGCCCTGTGGTTGGAGAGAGAGGAATATAAATACGAGAAACTGAAAGACAGCCTGGGTGGGGCCTAGGGTCCCTGGTGCACAGTGAGGTCAGAGAAGTAGATAGAAGTCTGATGGGGAATGCGTTGTTGGCCAGAAAGCATGGGAAGCCACCAAGGATGTTCAGTGTCGGGTGGGACAGCACAATCTGGTAGGCGGAGGAAGGACTCAGGGCTATGTGCAGGTTTAACCCTCGCCCATGCAGCTTACCGTTGTTTCCTGAGCACTGACAGTGGCCTGGGCCCAAGGCCACCTAGAGGAAAGCCACAGAGCCCACCTGCAAGGCACTTTGGGTCTGGGTTGAAGTTGCTAGAATATAGAGGCCGAATAGCATTCCTCTTCCTGTCTTCATTTTAGATGCCTCCTCTGGAGCCTCTGGTGCTAATGGGCCACTTCTCTTCCTGTTGCAGGCCTTCAGCTGAATTTCACTGCCTCCTGGGGAGACTTGCACTACCTGGGGCTCACTGGCCTGGAAGTGGTGGGCAAGGAGGGCCAGGCGCTGCCCATCCACCTGCACCAGATCTCTGCTTCCCCCAGAGACTTAAATGAGCTCCCCGAGTACTCTGACGACTCCCGGGCCCTGGACAAGTAAGTGTCTATCAGAAGCTTTACTTTCATGCCCACTGGGTTTTGGGGACATTGTTCTGCCTCTGAGACTTCAGATTCAGACATCAAATAGAATCGCATATGTCCCTCCCCTGGCCACCCTGTGAGGTAATGTGGTCAAGGGAAACCGAGGCTCAGGAAACCAAGGCTCAGGAAAGAGAGGTGGGAGGTGATTCTCCAGGGCCACACAGCTGGAAGTGTCAGGCGGGATTTGAAGGCGGGTTCCCATGCTTCCAGACACAGCCATGGTCTGCATTTTCTTCTCTGTGCTTAGCAGAGCGTCTCGCACACAGTAGCTGTCTGTAAACCTTTGCAGTGGATGGTTCAGAGTTTACACATGAATGACCCAGGCCTCCCGGGGGCTGAAAGCTCCCTCTCCCCTCCTTGAGGTTAGAGGTGATGGCTCAGGAAGCCTCCACAGGCGGTGGTGGCTGCACTTTCCCCTGCACTTGTCAGATTTCATAAGCCAAGGTTGCGTCAAGTCAGTAGGTGGGGAAGCCTCAAATACAGCATTGATCCACATGGACCTGCAGCCCACAGACCAGCACTCAGTTCCCCTGCCCTGCACAGCCAGAGGGTCTGGGCGCTGCTTAGAGGTGTGAACTAGGGGAGTCAGAGGGATGGGAGTTCAAATCCCGCCTCTGCCCCATGCCAACTATTAGGTAACTTTCTTAACCTCTTCAATAATAACAGCAATGCTAATAATAATAACTGATCATATGACTGCCAGTTTTTGAGCACTTATTAAATGCCAGGCACTGGGCTATGCGAAGCAGGTGACACATGTTCATCCATTGAAGCCTCAAACAGCCCTTTGAGGAAGGGACCATTATGAGCCCTACTATACCGATGTGGAGACTGAAATATGCAGAGGCCACCTAGACTAGTGCAGTGGCAGAGTCATGATTGGAACGCAGGCCTGTGGCATACCTACCATCCACTCACTTAACCACTAAGTTATACTGTCTCCCCTGCCTTGGTTTCCTTATCAGTAGAATGAGGAGTCATTCCCATGGCATGTCACATTGCAGCCACATCCCTTGGCCTGGTGCTGAGCTCATGCAGAGTTGGTGGCAGGCTTCTCCCTGCTTTTCTATAAGGTGGCCCTGAACCGTGGCCTCACCCCCTGCTATCATTAACTGCTCATGGGCCCCTCTGACCACCCCCAACATCCTGGCAAGTCACTCTCCTGAGTATTTAGGCTTGGAGCCTGGAGACCTGGCTCCCAGTCAGCTGGAAAAGTGATCAACGCACAGTGCGGCTTATGGATCCTTCCCACCCACTCACCACCCACCTGCCAGATTATCTGTTGGCAAATCCCAGGCCTGATAGCATTTCCTCTGTCAGTATTTCAGTGTATACCTCTAAACAATAAGGGATTTAAGAGAAAACATAATCCTGGTACCATTGTTATACTTGAAAAAGTTGCCTGTGCGCAGTGGCTCATGCCCATAATCCCAGCATTGGGAGGCCAAGATAGAAGGATCACTTGAGCCCAGGAATTCGAGACCAGCCTGGGTAACAGTGAGAATGTGTCTCTACAAAAGAAAAAAAAAATTAGCCAGGCACTGTGGCACATGTCTGTGGTCCCAGCTCCTTGGGAGGCTGAGGTAGGAGGATCACTTGAGTCCAGGAATTCAAGACCAGCCTGGGCAACATAGTGAGACTATGTCTCTACAAAAAAAAATAAAAAATAAAAAATAAATAAAAAAAAGTAGCCAGGTACTGTGGCATGTCCCTGTAGTCCCAGCTACTTGGGAGGCTGAGGTAGAAGGATTGCTTGAGCCCAGGAATTCAAGACCAGCCTGGGCAACATAGTGAGATTGTGTCTCTAAAAAAAAAAAAAAAAAAAAAAAAAATAGCCAGGCATTGTGGCATGTGCTTGTAGTACCAGCTACTCAGATGCTGAGGTGGGAGGATCACTTGAGCCCAGGAGTTCAAGGCTGCAGTGAGCCGTGATTGTGCCACTACATTCCAGCCTGGGCAACAGAGCGGGACCCTGTCTCAACACAAAAAAAAAAAAAAAAAAAGAAAGAAAGAAAAAGTTAACAATGATTTCTTAAATTACCAGATATCTAGCAGATTCATAGTCCCCACACCCACCCTTTTTAACAGTTTGCTCATTTGATTTGAGATCCAGATAAGGTCTATGTGTTGTGATTGGTTGCTATGTCTCTTAAGCCTCTCTAGGTTCTCTTTCCCCTTTTTCCATTTTTTTCTTGTAAATTACCTGTTGAAGAAACCAGGTGGACCTGAATTTTACTGGCTGCATCTCTATGGTATTGTTTAGTCTGCTCCTTGCTCCCCTGTATTTCTAGTACATTGTTAATTAGATCTAGAGGCCTGATCAGATTGAGGTTTGACTACTAGGGCAAGATGGCCCTGGGGACATACAGAATAGAATGTCTGGTTGCCAGGCTCTTTGTGATGTTGGAAGCCAGTCATGCTGGCGAAGTCCATTAATTCATTAGGGGTTGAAAAATGGTGGTATTTTCACCTACTATTCTTTTTTAAATTTATTTGCTGAAATAACTGCAATAAAGAGAGAATTTCCCTCAATTATTTGGCTACTCTGTGGTGAAATTCAGATGGGAAAGGCAGCCTAAGTGTTGGATTCTCTCCCCTCCTTTTCTTTTTGGCTTTCCAAATAACTGTTTCTCTAGCATCGTCTAAAACGTGTGTTTCTTTTTAGGGATTATTATGAACTCATGGATTTTAAACATACAGTACTGCATTTGAAGAGTCAATTCTTTGCAGTGTTTATCCTGATTGATGTTTAAATCATTCCCTCTTGGATGCTGGGAAGTCCTGAATCCTTTTAAACGGTCACCTTTCTTGCCTTCTGATGTGACAGATGCTTCAGGCTCATCTGGTTTATTTCTTGTCCCAGACCTGGCATCAGCCATTTCTCCAAGAAGCCCTGGTTCCTTTTAGTGGGTAATGGTATTTAGAGACCATAATCTGGCCACTAGGGATGCTCACTGCTACTTGGTCCGTTGCTGTTTCTAGGCTTTTTTATGGATAGAGCTAGGAATTCATTTAGATGTTCTTGAGAGTGTCTGTGGAGTCTTCCTTTCACTGTCGGCTACAAATGCTCCAGCAGTTCTCTCTGCTCTCAGAATTGGGCAGGTTTGCTATGGAGCAGCCCCATTTCTAGGACAGAAACATAATTGCCTTTAGAAGGAAATAGAAGGTTCTCTAGTGGTCATCCTCAGTCAGCTTAGTTCCACAGACACTCCAGTGTGGAATTGCTGAATTTCCTCAGTTTTAAGATGCCAGCAATTGTCAGACACACCATCCATCAATTTAATAACAGCCTTTTAGGGAACAAAGAAACATTGCCTCCTTGGGTAAACACTTCGATTATGAGATTTTTTTTTTTTCCAAATTCACAACTTTAAAATGTAAAAGGAAACAAAAAGTTTCTTTTCAAATCTAGGAAATGTGGCAGCAGGCCAAGTTTCTCCCAGTACAGCAGCTGTGAGGTACCAGGAATCCAGGGTGTGGAGTGGGGAAGGTTCTAGAAAATGGGAGGGAGAGGGAGGTTGCTCAAAAGGCTGCCAGCTGGGCCCTTTTTTCCAGGACCAGGCTTCTGAATGGCAGTGCCAGACACGTGGGCCAG
The DNA here is from genome assembly GCF_000001405.40 of Homo sapiens. NCBI lineage: Eukaryota > Metazoa > Chordata > Mammalia > Primates > Hominidae > Homo > Homo sapiens. Next base: position 27,765,231 of record NC_000016.10, read on the forward strand.
AGCCACGAGGACAAGGGCCTGAGGCCTGGGCTGAGGCATGCTGGGCAGTCCGGGGAAGCGAGAGGCACGATTGTCCTTGGGACAAACACAGGCCCACTTGAGGATGAACAGGATGTCCCAAGCAAGGGAACCAGAAACTGGCCAGGACAGGAGTGCGATAGGGCTGAGGTGACAAGCTCAGAGTGCCAGCTGGGAAGAGCATGAGGGGCTCCCTCCTACAGGTTAGAGGCTTCCCTGGGATATCCAGGCCATGCGGTCACAGAGCATGGTCCAGCCAGAGCAGCTCCCACAGTCACCTGCCCCTCCTTCTACTTGTTCCAAGCCAAGAGCTGCAGAGCTCACCTGGTGCTTTTGTACCTCTCTCCCCCAGCATGGGAAGGAAGGGCTACACTTCTTTCCAACTATGCTGTAAAGCCAACACAGCAAATTTACAGAAAGTTTGGAAACTTGAGAAAAATACTCACCTCCATACCCTCTGACCCAATTATGTTTTTCACTTTTGCACACTCTCTCCTGGTCCTTGTCCTCATTTCTCAGCTTTATAATCAGTGTCCTGCCTCCTCCATGTGACTGCAGTGTCCTCATGATGGCACCTTAACCCCTGTGAAATTTACTTAACCATTTCCTGATTTTGAGATCTTTTAGGTTGTTATCCTTTTTTAAGCTATTGTAAATAACACTGTAATGAGCATCTTGGTTCGGATAGCCTTTCCCATATATTGAATACATTTTCCTTCTGGGGAAGAAAATCCCAGAAATGGGATCACTGGGCTAAAGGATTCTGAAAAATGGTTCATTTTCCCTTTTAAAAAAAAAACAAAAACCCTGATGATTGCTTTTCTGCACCTTTAACAGCATAGCCTTTTTTTTTTCTTTTAAAAAATGTCTCATTTCATAGATGAGAGACGACTTCTGACTGTTGTTCTCAGCAGTCACACCTCCCCTTAACAAGCCTGACACAGCCAGGCTAGTGCCAGGCAGTGGGGACGTACTTGGGGCCGAGGGGGTGGGGGCCCCACTGTGATGCCTCCTGTGCCCACTGAGCCGCCCCCCTGCCGCTCCGTCCCCATTGCTGCAGGTTAATTGATGGCACCAACATCACCATGGAGGATGAGCATATGTGGCTGATCCCCTTCTCGCCGGGGCTGGACCATGTGGTCACGATCCGCCTGGACAGGGCCGAAAGCATCGCAGGCCTGCGCTTCTGGAACTACAATAAATCTCCCGAGGACACCTATCGCGGGGTAAGCTGGGGAGCAGTGGCCGTGCTCAGTCCAGCATCAGGGAAGCAGCACCTTGATGAATGGCTGGCGTGGCAGCCAGAGAGGAGCATAAATCCTCCAGAATTTTCCAAACGGAGCTGGGGGCGTTATGTCCAGGGAGAGAGAGAGCTGCTGTTTCCTTCTGCAAATGGCAAATGCAGGCTAAAGAGCGCAGGGCATTTCCAGGGAACTGCACAGCACCGTTTCTCCTGGTGCTGGGGGGTCCTAGGCAGGTCCAGGCCCCAGCTTGCCATGGTCAGTTTTGTCCCTCAAGTCCCTTGAGTGCTCGGGTGGCCAGGCCTCTGCTGAGGGCTTCACGGGCATTCATTGTTTCACTGGATTCTCATTCCAGCCAATGGGAGGTGGGTGTGATTACCCCCATTTCTTAGGGTCTAAAACTGAGGTCCAGGAAGGTTCACTTGCCCATCCAAGGCCACACAGCTGGAGTCTCCACCTTGGCCAGCCAGACCTGGAGCCCACATTGTGATTTCCGTGTGATGTTTTGCTGAGTGAGAAGCAGCAGGGGGGCGCTTCTGAGACTCAGCCTCGGTGGGAATGAAGAAGAGAGCCTCGGAAGAGCCCTTTTCTCTGGCTTTTCTGGCCTCAGGTGACTGAATGGGTGCCCTCCAGTCATGTAAAAGTGACAATGAGGCCACCGAAAGGTAGCAATTCAGCTAGGGCCCTACTATCAGGAGGGCCTGAGTCTGAGTCTCAGCTTGGACCCAACCAGCTGCGTAACCTCTGGCACGTGGCCTGCCTTCCCTGGGCCTGTCTCCTCATCTATAAAATGAGGAGGGAATAACACCTGCCACGGCGGATTGGCATCACCGTTGCCAGGTAACAGTTGACAAAGCCAGGACTCAGCCTCAGGTGATCCCCAGATCTGGGCTCCCCACCATATACCCACCATGGAATTTATTCTAGGGCCTTAGGAATTGTATCACAGACCAGGTGTAGAGGCTCACGCCTGTAATCCCAGTACTTTGGGAGGCTAAAGTTGGAGGATGGCTTGAGCCCAGGAGTTCTAGACCAGCCTGGGCAATACAGAGAGACCCCCATCTCTACCAAAAAAATAGGCAGGCTTAGTGGCACACACCTGTAGTCCCAGCCATTCAGGAGGCTAAGGCAGGAGGATCTCTTGAGCCCAGGTTGAGGCTGCAGTGAGCTATGATCTCATCATTGCACTCTAGCCTGGGTGACAGAGCAAGACACCATCTCAAAGAAAGAAAAATGAAAAAAAGAATTGTGTCACATCTTACAGCAGGATCGGCAGCCCCTGGCCCTCCCCGTGTAGCAGGAGCTTAGCCAGCATGCTCCTCTGAGCAGGCCGGTCACAGACCCTCCCAATGCCGCCCTGTGTCTCTATGAACGCTCCCCTGGGTTCAACACATTGAAGAAGTCAGATATATTGACATTAAAAAACAGCCTTCTGCCTCAAGTTGTGCCTTTGGGCCTTAAAATTCCCTTGAGCAAATCACAGTCTGTCTGGTAGAGCTTCTGTGACCTGAATTCACCATCTGGGGATGTTGGGCTGAGTTCCCATCTCACAGGTCTGGGCCCCACCAGCCAGACAATGGCTACAGTGGGATGAGGTGGGGGTGGGGGGGAATGGGCACGTGGCCTGAGATGGGAGACCCCCACTGCAGTGAAATGGGTGCTTTGACTCAGATCCCACACCCCAAAAGGCCTTCCCGAGCACCAGGGGTCCCTGACATGTGGTTGGAAGCCAGGGCCCTGGACTCCTGGACTTGGGGCTTCAAATCCCTTCAGTGGCCCTCGGGCAAATCACTTAGTCCCTGTGAAGTTTAGCTTCCTTCCCTATAAGATGGAGGTGGTGATAGAGGTCACCTCGAAGGGAATGAGCAGAGGACATGTGGCCAGCTCTGCCCAGGGAAGTCAGGGATGCTTCCTGGAGGAGGTGTTGGCCCTGGAGGATGGACAGGGGCTTCCTGGGCCTCTGCTTTGCCATCACTGAATCTACTTTTGGGCGACTCTGTCCAGGGCACACTCTGGCAGCTCCAGGCTTATGTCCTGCTAGCTCCAAGCCCAGCAGAAGAGAAAGCTCCCCTTTCCAGGCAAGCCAGCAAAACCCCAGGAGTCATGCTGATGGGCCCGGCCATGTTTCAAGTTCAGCTCAGGGGGCCCAGGTAGGAATCCCCCTTGAGGAAAGCAGATGGAGAGATGGAGGACAGGGACCAAGTTCTAGTGACAGCCACGCCCGAAGCCAGGTAGCACCACACTTCAGGTTTACTTGTCCTGTAACTGACATAGAGGGGCTCCCAAAATGCTGAAGGAACGAGGGGCCCCAGGGGCACATGAGAGCCAGGTCAGGGACCCTTCCTCCCTTCCTTTCTGCAGGAGGAGCGCCTCTGCCTCTCCCTAGAGGAAAGGCACCAGTTGGATCAACAGCTGCACCCATGTTGCTGACCACGAATGTGGGCTAAGGTGTCGAGGAGAACCAGGCTCCAAAATCTGAAATCAGAGAGTGATGGCTGTTGCCCCTCCCTGCCCATAGAGCAGGTGGTGGCTGGGCCGCCTCAGACTCTACCATTAGGACTTTGAAACTGACCAGTAGAACCTGGCCATCTGGCTGGAGAACTCTGGCTAGAACAGGGAGAGATGTTGGCTCAAATCCACGTGAATCCTGCAAGCTCTTAGAAAGCATCTGCTGTGTTCCAGGCCCTGAGGCAGACAGAGAGGTGGTCCAGCCAGAACCTCTGCCATAAGAGAGACCCAGAAGCCACTGGGATGCTGCTAGGCATACAGGCCCAAAAAGGATGAGCTCAGTGCCATGAGAAGGAAGATCAGAAAGAGGCCTGTCCTGTCCTAAGGGAGAGCTCCCAGAGGGGTATTGATGTGTGAGCCAGGGGTTGAAAAAGGAGTGATAGAGGCTAACATTCACGAAGTATACAGTTTGTGCCAGGCTCTGTTTAGGGCACTTTACGTAGGTTAACTCATGACCGTGCCCATTTAACAGATGAGGAAATTGAGGCATAGGGAAGGTAGGTAACATACACAGCTACTAGTGGTGCACATGGAAGCGCCTGAGTCCATGCCCTTGACCTCCATCTCATGCCGCCCCAGGCCGCTGCAGCTGTTGAGGTGGGCGAGGCCTTGGCCAAGTCACGTGCCACCCCTGAAAGCCGTGGACCAGTGTCCGCTGTAGCAGGGGGCTCGCCTGTCTTGTCCTCTGCTACCTGCCCAGCGCCCACACAGCACCTGATATGGGAAATGGACCTCGGTCAGGTGGCTCTGCGAAAGGCTCCCCATGGTGAGCACAGCTGCCAGCAGCTCCGGTCACGTCAGCACCGCTTCTGTCCCCACATGGCCTGCCTCCCTTCAGTCATGTTATTTCTTTTGTTTGCCAGGCCAAGATTGTCCACGTCTCCCTGGATGGCCTGTGCGTCTCCCCGCCAGAGGGCTTTCTCATCCGGAAGGGGCCAGGCAACTGCCACTTTGATTTTGCTCAAGAAATCCTCTTCGTGGACTACCTACGGGCTCAGCTGCTGCCCCAGCCGGCCAGGAGGTGAGGAGAAAGTGGGCGCCACACACAGCCCCTCCCGGCCCCTGGGCCCGCTTGCTTTGCAAGTTGCTCTGATGTACATTCCGAAAGGGTTTTGAAACGATGATCAAACGCATTGCTTTTCAACTTAGTCATTTTCTAAAGCTCAGCCAAGCCTCACCGGAAGCCTGTGGAATGGACTTACCTTGTCTGGGGACATTTGGGTTTTTCACAGTCTGGAGTGCTGAAGATTTTAAATGCTTCATTGCGTTTCCTGCTGAGAAAAGAGGCTACAGCCTGCCTCCATTCCAGAAATGCCTGCCGGCCAGTTTGGGGAAGGGCCTTCCTTCTCCCGTTTCTGTGTTCCTGATTTAGAAAGATTCAAGGAGAAAAATAGAGCTTAATATTTCATGGATTCACTGGGATTTCTCGGCCCCAGTCTCAGCTGCATTAAGTTCATAACGATTTGTAAATGCCACGTTAAGTTTACTCATTGAAACCCCCTGATGTCCAAACGCCAGAGGCCAAGCTCTTGAAACAAAATGAGTTTCCCTGCACTGTAGCGGGGTTGGCTGGCTGGGCTGGTCACTAGGAAGTCATTTAATTGTAACATTGCCCTTGAAATGGAAGAGAACCAGGCTAGGGCTGGAGGGCACTGACAGCGGACCAGGGAGAGGGGCCCCGTCAGGAGGGCCGTGGAGGAGAGGATCCTTCCCGAGGGCCAGCTGTGTGAACACTTTGATGTGTCCTTTGGGAAATCCTTCCAGCCACCCTTTGACCTAGCCAGTATGATGCCCGTTTTACAGATGTGGGAACTGAGGCTCTGGCTGGTGGAGCCAGGTGCTGAAGATCATGAAGCCAAAGCCATCAGGGCTGTGCCTGCCTTCCAGCCTCCTCTCACTTCCCTCTCCCCATCCTGCCCCAGACTCCAGCCCTCTGGCCGCTTTCTGGGGCAAACACCAGCAGCCCAGTGACTTCCCACCTTGGGCCTTTGCTCTGCTGCTCCTCTGCGTGGAAGGTTCAGCTCTGGCACTTCCCAAGGCTGCCTCCTCCTGGAGGCCTTCCCAGAGCACTCCCTGAGGCAGCCTGCCCCACCCAGTCCCTCTGCCCTGTCACCCCGTCCTGGCTGTCGGCACAGCGTGGACCCTCCTTGTGTTTAAAGACATAGAGGGGGTTGGTTAAGAAAGGGGGCAGTGGTACCAGGCAACCTCACGTCCCATCCCGGTTCTGCCACTACCAGCTGCATGGCCTTGAGCAAGTGACCTCACTTCTCCGTGTTCCAGTTTCCTCATCCACATCCCAAGCATCTAAAAATACCCACCTCCTAGGGTTGTGTTGAGGAATAAAAGAGTCCATTTCAGGAAAGCCCTGAGCCCCGTGCCTCCCTGGCACAGCATCCTGCCAGCATTGGCAATGACTGTCATCTAGAGCGGGAACTCCACACGAGCAGGGGCCTCATCTCTCTTTTCCCTGCTGCATCCTAGGGAACGCTAAACTGCCATGTTTCTTCAAAGGCTGTTACCTAGGGGGTAACTGGCTGGTGATTCTGGGCCGTCGTGAGCTTCTTCATGGTGCTGTTTTGTGCTTTTTCAGGCTGGACATGAGAAGCCTGGAGTGTGCAAGCATGGACTACGAGGCACCGCTGATGCCCTGTGGCTGTATCCTTCTCCTCCCGCCCCACCAGCACATTCTGGGCCCCGAGGCAGCGCCTGGGCCGCAACTGCCCAGCCAGGGTTTCAGGCGGCCACAGATGAGGCAGCTGGAACTCCATGCAAGGAAACCAAGGCAGAGGATAGGAGGCCTCCTGGGTCCTCAGGGCCACTAGGAGCTGCTGGAACTGGGGCAGCCAGGCTAGTTCCTGCTGAGGCTGGAGGGGGCAGCACCCAGGACTCCAGCTGGGAGGGGCTAGAGAAGCTGGCACTGACCCCAGTGGCTGGACTGGGGAAGGGGGGTGTCCTGGAACCAGCCAGGGAGGAGGTGAAGATAGAAATAACTTGGCAATCCAGGCACAATAGCTCACACCTGTAATCCCAGCGCTTTAGGAGACCAAGGAGGTTGGATTGCTTGGGGCCAGGAGTTTGAGACTAGCCTGGGCAACATAATGAGACTCCATATCTTAAAAAAAAATAAATAAATTAGCTGGTGGTACATGCCCATAGTCCAAGCTACTTGGAGGCTGAGGTGGGAGGACCTTTTGAGCCCAGGAGTTCGAGGCTGCAGTGAGCTCTGATTGCACCACTGTACTTTAGCCCAGGCAGCAGAGCCCAGCACTCTGGTACTACTATCATTCCCATTTCACAGCTAGGAAAACTGAGGCACAGAGAGGCTCAGTAATTTGCCCAAGGCTGCACAGGTGGGAAGGGGTAGGGCCCAGGGGAGGTGAACCCAGGCAGCCTGGCTCTAAGGCCCGCTCTCTAGCCAGCCAGTTCTGGAAGCACTGTCTCTGGCTATGCCATCATCTGAGAGCCACCCGGCCTGCTCCTGGGAGTGCGGGGAGTGAGCAGAGCACAGGGCTGAGGAAAGGCTTGATGCCCAGCTCTGCACGTGGGACTTCAGCAGCAATGGTGGTCTCCTTGCCCCGGCCCATGGCCCCTGGCGCTGTGAGGTTTATGTGTCCCCTTCTTAGCCTCCTGTTTACTTGAAAGGGATGGAGGAGGTTGCAGGTACTCTGTTCTTGTCATTTCACAACCAGGGAAACTGGAGCATTTTGTTCAATACCATACAATCAGTTTGTGACACAGATGTTTCCCCATCCTGCCTGCTCCCTGGAGAGCACCCTCTCCTCCCGTCCTGTCTCCTGGGGCCTAGAGGAAGGCTTTGAATTCCTAATACACACACACACGGGCACACGCACACGTGCACACATGCATGCATACACACACATGAACACTCACATGCACACACACACACACATGCACACACATGCAATTTAAGAAAATGTGATGCTACCTATATTTTGATAGGCTCTAGTTGCAATAAGAGAAAAATGTTTTTCTCTCATTCATCAACATAAACCCAAAACAATTCCTCTTATCTTTGCCATTGTTTTACTATATTCTGAAAAAAAAAAATTAAGCCTTCTTTTCCTTAATAAAGTGTCCCAGTCATTTTCCAGTTTCAGCTTCTCACCAGCTGGGGCGACCCCTACTACATCGGCCTCACCGGCCTGGAGCTGTATGACGAGCGAGGAGAAAAAATCCCCTTGTCGGAAAACAGTATCCTTTGTAGGACAGGAGTGGGCTCCACCCAGACTGAAGGGAGCATGGGAGGGTCGGGAACGGGGCAGAAGCCTTGTGTGCAGAGGGAAATGGCCCTCTAGGAACCAGAGCCCAGGGGGCTTTGCTTATAGTCAGATGCTGACCCTTGGGGACGGGCAGCAGAGAGCAGCTCCCAGCCCTGCCTGCTAAGACATCAGGAGCAGGAATTCCACAAACCAGAGTCCTGTGGTCCAGTGAATTGAGAGAGGCTGCCAACTATAGCGCCCCCTTCTCGGAGAACCACAGATACTTTGGAGTTCCAAAGGCTCTGACAAGGTCTGCAGGGAGAAGCCTGTTGCACTGTGTTCAACTCAGTGTGTCCTGAATTTCTTAAGTATGGAACCCTTTGTGCATAGTATGCCCACACCAGAATTTGCAGACTGTTAGCCCAGTGCATTTTAAAATGAGTTGCTAATATTTTTAGAAATCACGAGGTTTCACATGAAAACCCTGATCTCTGGTTTCCCCTGAGAAATTGGCAACACAGGCCCTTGATTATGCATAGTGACAATGGCTGGACCTGGTTATCTGTTGCCATTTCTCCCCAAGCATATCCTTCTGGTCTACCTTAGCCCCCCACTCCTCCCATTGTTATCTACCAGGCCCCGAAACTCACTGCTAATATTTTCTCAGGGCTCACTCTGTGCTACCTCATCTGCCCTCACAACAATCTTGTGAGGTGATTGCTGCTGTTATCCCCATTTTACAGATGAGGAGCCTGAGACACAGAGAGATTGAGTAACTTGCCTAATGTCACACAGCCAGTGAGTGTCCAGACACCAGCTCTTGACCAAGCAGTAGGCTATCCTGCCTCTTTCATGTAACCTGCCTGGCCCCCTCGGATCTTGAATCTGTGATCCCTGGCCCACCACAGTTAGGGAAATACCAGGGCAAGTCGAACCCCAAAGCCTGCCTTGCATCTGTTTGGGGTCCCTGGCTTCCAGTTGGATCCTTTTCTGCCTTCCCCTGGTGCCACCACCCTCCTCAGCTGGGATGAATGATTCTTGATGTTTTAGATCATTATTAGCGACTCCTCGAAGCTATAAAGTTTCATTGATTTTACCAAAGTGCTCACATCTGGTGCACTCTGAGATCCTCACATCCATCCTGGGAGCTGGAGGTTTTTATACCCATTTTACAGATGGGAAAACAGGCCCAGGGTTGACCTGTGACTTGCCCACGCCCTCACAGGTCATAATGGCAGAGGCAGAGCTAGAAGCTGGGTTCTGCAGATCACATTAGCTGGGTCCAGCTGCTCCGAGGTCCTTCCACACTGACCAGGAAGAGAGGCTCGGCATGATACTCACATGCCAGGGTAGAATCCAGCCACCGCCCCATTCCCTTCCAAAAGAAAACCTCCGCAGAGCTTGCCCTCCACCCTCTCAAGCAGCAGCAACATTTTACGTCCCCAGCTCTGGCAGTTCCCTGCAACGTCTCTTTTTCAGCTGGCCTTCTGTGTGGTTTCCTTCTCTCTCTACTTGAAACTGACCACCTCTCCAGACACACCTGCTCCCCTTGGGCCCGGCACTCCCCGTTTCCCCAGGACACGTCCAATTCAGCTGTCACTGCTGCGGCTGCCCAAAGCATCAGCCCTGCCAGCCCCAGAGTCCCCCGAGCCACGCCATCAGCCTGAGGGTGGCTGGCAGCCCCGAGCACACAGATTTGGGTTATGGCAACTTAGACGTCTCCTCAGATATTGCGGCCTTCCCCGACAGCGTGAACTCCCTGGAGGGTGTGGGCGGGGACGTCCGCACCCCAGACAAGCTCATCGACCAAGTGAACGACACCAGTGATGGCCGGCACATGTGGCTGGCTCCCATCCTGCCGGGCCTGGTGGGTTCCCGGCAGCGGCCACCGCAGCTCCTGGCCCTCAGGCGGGCAGGGGGACTTTCTTTCCCTGGTCTCAGTGACACGTCTTTCTTCCAGGTCAAGTTAATCTCAAGCCAAGATGCTTGGGAGCTGTCAGAAAGGTTTAGGTCTTTGCTAACTTGCCTGATGGGGTCAGCTCTTCCAGGCCAGCAGTTCTTTCTCTTTTATAAGTGGACACCTGGGGCGAAAGGGGTCCCATGGGAATCTGAAGCCAGGAACCCCAGCACAACTGCCTGAGGGCTTGGGCGTCCTGGGTCCCTGCAGGCAGCCCTCTCTGGTTCTCTGCTCTGCCTGGCTTTGCAGCCACTGTGCCCTCTTCCTCCCCACCCAGCTCTCCGCACACTCACGGTTTCTGCCCCTTCCTACATCACCAGGTAGATGACCCCAGTACGGCCGCCCTGCCCTCCTTCTGGCCCTAAATTGGCCTGGTCAGCTCTTCCGACCAACTGACTCAGTTTCCCAGATCTCAAATCTTGCACTGGGTCCTGCTTAGCTTTTAGCTCTGAGGCCTCATGGTGAGAAGACGTGGTTGGTTGTGGTGGAGAGGAAGGGGAGAGGGCATGGACGGGGTGGTCAGCCCCCCTGCAGCCTCTCAGCCCAGGGCCAGGTGCCTGGTAGAGATGCACAGCGGGTTCTTGGCAGCCATATGACTAGGGATGTGTCCCTTGTCCATGCCATGGGACTGAGTGGGGGATCGGGGGCACCTTTTTCTCTGAAAACACAGGAAGGTACAGCATCAGCAATTCTATGACGGAAGTTTTCCAAAGGCCACCCTAAAATTAGACCCCCCCTATTGAGCGTCCTCAGCTTCCCCTGCCCCATTGCAGAGGGGGCAACAGAGCTCTGTCCTCCCTGAGACTCAGGCCACCCACTGACGGCCAGCGGGTATTTTCCATTGTCTAGCACTGGAAGGCCTTTTGGGGTGCGGCGACTTCAGCTGTTGCTCTCGCGGCTGGACTCCAACATCTGTATCTGCTTGAGCCTCACAGGCAACTGAGTTTGGAGACCCTCACCCTGACCTTTATTGTTTCCATGGTCCAGCCAGGAGGCTGGCCCTACCCGAGCAGCCGCACTCCCTCTTGGCATATTCTGAGGATGGTCACAGGCTGGGGACCAGGGCCTGGGGCAGGACTGAGCCTGCAGTCTGTGGCCAGTGTGGAATGCTTATTTCTTGATTCTGTCTTGCAAGGGAGGGCCTCCCCTAATATCTGAGAGCTTTGGTTGGGGGTGGGGAGAGGGAGGGCTGTTTGAGGCTGCTCCGTCCCACTTTTCCCACTGGATTCTGCCCCGATCTAGACAGCCCCCTTTTTACTCCCCCAGCGGAGGTTCACAGACACGCCCTGGACATTGTCCAGCAGCACCTTGGCGTTGCTTCTCAGTGATGGTTTGGGGAAAGGACAGACAGGGTCAGATGCTGATCACCATGGCTGGTGCTCAACCCGAGTTGGGGACTGTCCCTTTAGCTCATGGGGCTCTAGACTATTTCTGGGCCTGACCTGAGGGGACGTGGGGGAGGGCCGAGGATGTTCCCAATCCTCCACTGGCATTTAAATGAGGGCTCCGACAGGCCCAAGAACACAGGCCCTCCAAAAGCCAGCTCAGCGGTTTGTTGCAAATGCAGCCACACGTGACCTGACTCAAGATGGGCTTCGAGGAGATGAAAGGGGGCGGAACTCCAGGCTGGCCCACGTGGCAGGCGCTGCCTTGGGCACCACCGCTCACCCCAGCCCACGCCTGGCACCCCCAGCCCAGCCAAGCGCCTCTGTTTCCAAACATGCCTGTTTTAATTAGTGCCGCTCTCTGACAGGTGAACCGGGTTTATGTGATTTTCGATCTGCCTACCACCGTGTCAATGATCAAACTGTGGAATTATGCGAAAACACCCCATCGAGGGGTGAAGGAGTTTGGCGTAAGTACTTATTAGCTGAGTTTTTTGAGATAATTATGCTCGTTGGTAATTAGGCCGCCGGCAATTATCATTTGTCGCAGTTTGATTTACTTCTCTCTGTTGCAACCCTCAACACAAATGCCTGGTCGTCAGATGCAGGCGAATTTCCCACCCAACCATGAATTCAGAACCTGCTGGCAGTGATTTCAGTGTCACCCTGAGCAAATAGAAAGTGGGTTTTCTTTCGTCTTTTCCTCTAGAATCCCACTGGTTTGGGGCGGTGACCCTGGGATGGGGAAAACAGGGACCCTGGATACCAGAGACCCAAGTTTGCCTCCAGCTCTGCCACTTGTGCTAATGGTATTAAAGCCCCTCGGGCCTCAATTTCCTCATCTGCAATGCATGCTGATAGCTCCTGCCTTTCCCAATGGTTGTGAAGATCTGAAATCACAAGGCAGACACAGCACACAGTAGGCGCTTGTTCCTGACAGCCCCGTCTTCCCGAGGAGAAAGCCTTGGCTCAGAGCAGTAACGCGTTCTGCCCAAGGTCAACGTGGGAGGGACGAGGGGGACCCATGAGTCCTGCCCCGTGTCCCTGCAGCTCCTGGTGGACGACCTGCTTGTGTACAATGGGATCCTGGCCATGGTGAGCCACCTGGTGGGGGGCATCCTGCCCACATGTGAGCCCACCGTGCCCTACCACACCATCCTCTTCACCGAGGACAGGGACATCCGCCACCAGGAGAAACACACCACCATCAGGTAGGGCCCCAGCCGGCCCCATGGCCTCCCCACCAGCCCTAAGGAGGATGGATGGCTGGGACACACGGCCAGGAGCCTGATCGAATCTTGTGTTTCCTTCCTACCCTCAGTAATCAGGCCGAGGATCAAGATGTCCAGATGATGAATGAAAACCAAATCATTACCAACGCGAAACGGAAGCAGAGCGTTGTTGACCCAGGTCAGTGGCGTTTCTCTGCCCAGAGCATTGTGCCTTGGGAGCTCGGTCTGAATATAGAAGGAGCTGGTGGCCTTGCACCCCCACCCTCACCCCTGCCTGCCCCTAGACCGCTCTCCTCTGCCCAGGAGCCTGCCCAAAGGCCTAGGGAGGGACTGAAGAGGATGGAACCAGGGGAGCAACATGCTTCCATCTTCTTGCAGGCACCTGTAACACAGTGGAGCTTCCTGAATCTAAGTGTCGTGGGCACAGAGTGGGGAAGCAGTCAGGGACAGAGCACCATGTTAAAGGGGTTTGCCCCGGGCCGTGGGAAACCAATAGAGGATGCCCAAGGTGAGGGCTTCCCGGAGGAGGTGATGTTTGAGCTGGATCCTAAAGGATGTGAGGAGTGTGCCAGGCAGCCTGGGCAAAGGCTGAGAGGGGTGTTGTGGCAGAGCCTGCTCCAGGCGGAGGGAAGGGGCCAGCGTGCCAGGCGCCCCGAGAGCAGGGACTTTTCCAAGGGCCTTGAATGGCAACCCAGGCTGCTGGATTTCACTGGGGAGTGTGGGGCACCCCTCCAGGGTTTGAGACTTAGTAACTCTGGTCCCTCTGTTCCCTGTCATGACAGCCTTACGTCCCAAAACCTGCATCAGCGAGAAGGAGACGAGACGACGGCGCTGCTGACTGGTGAAGGAGGGAGAGCTGGTCCTCCCACTATGGTGGGCTCCGTCAGCAGCCCCACTCAGTGCCTGCGTCCCTCACCCTCAGTCCCAGGAGCTGGAAGCGAACCACAGTGTTGAGGGGAGCCCGCTGGGAAGAGGGGACTCGGGAGGACAGCCCTGGATACTACCAGAGTGACAGATGGCTGTGGCTGCAGGGCAAAGAGATCCCCTGCAGTTCTGGGTTGGCCACAGGGAGCCCAGGACACCCGCCTTCATGCCTCTGCTGTGAGACCCAGCAAAGCAGGGCCCATGACCACTAGGGCCTGGGCTGACCCTGACTCAGAACAGGACAATGACGGGGTGGGGAGGCATCCCATCCAGCCTCAGAGGGCCCAGAGAATGGCTGAGCAGGACAGTGGGAGACCAGACCCTACCCCGCAACTCCAGTAAGCAGGGCACTGCCCAGGGAGACTGCCTTCAGAAACCTGAGCTTCAGCGGCCAACACCCCCCATCCCCTGCGCATCCTTGTCTCATTTGGGGACTGGTGGAGCTGGCTGAGAGGTTGGGGTAGTTTCCTGGTTACAGGGGTCCACAAGACCCTCTCTCATCCCGGTATAGGGGCCTCTCTCCTCTCATCGGGCCTGATAAGGGATTGGCCAAGGCTGTGTGCATCCTGCAGAGGGAAGGAAGTCAGCTGGGCCACCCGCCATCCACCTTGGCAAGAGCTGGGCCCACTCTGGCAGGCCAGGGTATCATCTGCGTGCTGCTGCCGGGCCAGGAAGGGTGGGTGGGTGGCCAGCAGGCTGGCAGCTCCAGACCCCAGAGGGCCAGAAGAACTCACCCCAGTGCCCTCTGGATGCAGGTGTTGGGGAACACTGAGGACAATCCCCCATCTCCCCTCACCCTTGAGCAGGCCCTCCCTGCACTCTCTGCCACATGTCCCTCCTGGTCTGATCACGGCTGTGCTCACTGATGTGGCTGCTTTCTGTCTCTGCCCCTGTGCCCTTGGAGGCAGGCAGTGAGGTGCTCCTTTCCCAGGCCCCCACCCCTTCTCCCCCTTCAGCCACTTCCCAGCGAGTTGGAAATGTGCCTTGCACCCCCAGCCGAGTGAAGCCCAGAACGCATCTATATGCATCGATGTAACAAGCTCGGATCAGGGACCTAATTGGTTTCCCAGTAGTGGGTAATTTCTCGTTGCAAATATTAATCCGTTGTTTTTCTGGCGCCCAGCCCGGCCCGCCGCAGTACTGTACTCGAGGTACGTTCCTATGCAACCGAGAGCCCCGGCAAATACTTCATGAGCTTAGCAGCCTGGGCTCGAGCAGCTATGCAAACGCGCTTTTCATTTGGAGCACGGGGCTGATGTGAAGATAAGAATTGTTTCTCCTGGAGAAAGATCCATCATTTCTCCAGCTTCCAAGCCCCCGGCACCTCTGCTCAGCTCCCAGATGTGACGAGCACCTCCCGCCAGGGGGAGTCAGGGGTTGATCAAACCAGCTCTTGTGACCCAAACCAGTGCCGCTGCATTAAAGGGAGGCCCAGCTACTCCTTCCCAGCTGAGATGTGGGTACAGGTCAGATTTGTCAGGGAGATGGCACTAACACGACACAAGCTCACTCCCAGAACCGCAGCTGATGTTTATAATAATCGTATGTACTGTGCAATTTAGGAGGGGAAAAAAAGGCTGTACAAGCTTTAACTCTAAAATAAATTTCTATTTTTTTCCTCTTGCAAAATTAATAAAAGATGTTATTAAGAATATAGTCCGAGTCACCGGATTTGGGGTCAGATGGGGAGTCCATGCTGCCTCCAGGAGCTGAGTGACACAGAGAAGCCCTCACTGAGCTGCAGATGGGGTCATGATCTCGCCCTGACTACTCAATGAGATTGTCCTGCCGTATGAGCAGACAACAGTAGCTCATCCATAGAGAGTGGTGATTACATGCCTGGCTCTAACTTGTTTAATCCACGTAACACAACCCTTTGGGGTGGGCACTATTATTATCCTCACTTTACAGATAAGGGAGCTGAGACACAGAGAGGTTGTGCAGCTTTCCTGGGACACACAGCTTTGGAAGCTATTAGCCAATGCACAAATCCTGAGAGGGCCCCTGGAGAGTTGAGGTGGGGGTGACAACACTTGGGTCTTTGGCCCTGGGGTTTCCCTTCACCATGTGTGGATCCTGGAATGGTGGCCCCCAGACCCCCAGTTCCTGGACCTCCTCCCTGCCCACCCCCATGCCCCTGCTGCCTCCAGGGGTGAGTGTTGGCAGCTTGTGGCTTCTGGATAAAGCAGCCCTTGAGTGGAAAGAGGGCTCAGTTGAGGAGGGTCACACTGCAGTTCAGGCACCGGCAATAGCACTGGCAGCAGGTAGGAGAGTCCTTTAGAAACCCTACTTTGCTTCACTGTGTGGGTCAGAGGAGAGAGCCCCCTCTGTCCAGCCAGGAGAGGCCCAGCCCCAAGCATAGAGGGAAAACAGCAGGGGCTCCGGCCGGCCTGCTCCATGCCCCCTGTTCCCTCTGATTTCCTAAGAGACGGGCCTGGCTGTGCCCAGCCATGCTAGTGTTGGAAAGCAGTCGCCCTCCCTCCTTTTGGTGGAAGGATCTCTGGGCCAGCCCTGGAGACCCTCGAGGGCAGCCCAGACCTTCCAGCATTCCCTCTGTGAGAGTGGGAGGCCGGCAGGGGTGTCCCAGCCTCTCAGCTCTGCTGAGCCTCTCCAGCCCCTGCCAGAGCCCTGGGGTGGAGTCCTGTTATTCAGGGGCCAGACAAGTGATGTCAGGGAGTGATGTCAACACTGGCCTGCAAGGACCGTGGTTGACACGGCGGCACAGGCCCTTCGAAGGGGTCAGCCACACCTCAGATCCAAGGGGCCAGCAACATCCGGTCTTCAAGGTTTCTTTTTTTTTTTTTTTTTTTTTTTTTTTAATTGAGACAGAGTCTGGCTCTGGCTCTGTCGCCTAGGCTGGAGTACAGTGGTGTGATCTTGGCTCACTGCAAGCTCTGCCTCCCAGGTTCATGCCATTCTCCTGCCTCATTCTCCCAAGTAGCTGGGACTACAGGCGCCCGCCACCACGCCCGGCTAATTTTTCTGTATTTTTAGTAGAGACAGGGTTTCACCATGTTAGCCAGGATGGTCTTGATCTCCTGACCTCGTGATCCACCCGCCTCAGCCTCCGAAAGTGCTGGGATTACAGGCGTGAGCCACCTCGCCCGGCTCGGTCTTCAAGGTTTCTAAGAGAAGCCAGACAGCCAGGCGTTTCTTTTATCTTTAATGTGAAATCTAACTTTTAAATGTTGGCTCAACTTCAACAAACAGGCAAACACACACTGAGTGAGCCAAGTATTGAATAAAACCCGTCCGCAGGCAGGCCCCGGTCCGTTCACCAATCCTGCTTGCTCAGCGGGCCTCCCTTTCTGCCCCACCTCCAGCCTGGGGTTCAAGAAATGTCCCAGGCTGGAATCTCCCAGCTCCTCTTCCCTCTCCAGGGAGGAAAAAGGAGAGAGGGCTCCTTCCTAGCCTGTCACTCCCACTCCTCAGCCCCCAGATGGGCAGAGACAGGACGACCATCAGGTGACACCTCTGGGTCCTGGAGGCGGCAGCCCCCACACTCAGCTGTTGTGGGTAAACAGACGTCCTCCTTTCCCTCCACATGCTGAGGCTTCCTATTCTGTGCAACGCCCCCCGACCCCCAGCGCCCCAACAAACAGAGACATAAATGACTCCCAGGCTGCCACTGTCAGGGGTCAGGGCTCGTTGGCTCCCTGGCATAGGTGACTGGAAATGGGCCTCCACTGCAGCTGACAAGAGGGTTACGGCACGGGCTCCCAGTGGAGGCTCCCACAGGCCTCCAGCCCTTGGGGACCTGCCTCCTCTGTTCAGCAGTGGGAAGGACCTGCTTCCCACCCCCCTGGAAGTTCCAACACTGGCACTGCCACCCCAGAAGGACCCAGAAGGACCCCCCCAGAGCCTGCCAAGGGGGGCTTCGCAGCCAGGCAGGTGGCAGCTGCCCCATGCGAGGCACGTGTGCTGAGATGCCCGGGTTCCCTCTCCCAGCCTCACCTCCCGCCTCACTTGGAGCCAGGACAGTCCCTTTCCAAGGCCCCCAGGCTCCACCTGGCCTCTTCACAGTCCACAATCCAGTGGCCCAGCCTCTTGGGTTTGGCGGACTCACTAGGCGATGCTTAATTTTTTTAAAATGAGTTGCCTTCCTTTATTATCAGGTTTCACATTAAAATTCAGATTCCCTGCTTCTCTGGAAAGACAGGAAGATCTGGCAACCTGGTCCCACGTTCCCAGCTGGCCCCAGAGCCTGAGCAGTGCTCTCCAGATGGTCCTGGTCCCCGCCAGCCCCTCTTGTCCCACCCTTGCCTGCAGTCCTCCCTCGCATGACCATACACACACACACCCAGCCAGCGTGTGAGTTTGCAACCCCTGAGATAGAAGCAGGTTAAGGAATGTGGAGGAGAAGAGGGGACGTGGGGATAGTGCTGCGGGGCCCAGTGGGCGTGGAGCTGGCAAGGCTGGACCTCTCGCAATGAGACCCCAGCCTCCCAGGCATGCGCAGTGCTCTCTGGGGCCCTGAGACTTGAGCCTCTGAGGGCCAGAGGCCGGGGAGAGCAAGAGGTGGCCAGCCTCCATCCAGTATGTTGCATATGTCCCCAGGTGCTCTGGGGGTGCCTCCCTGACTGTGTGGGCATGTCCCAGATTGCCGTGTGCAGTGTGGCATTTATGACAGCACTCCAGTCTCCTAGCCTCTCTGGGAAACTGCTCCACTCACAGCTTCTGCCACAGGGGCAGCCTTTGACAACCATATGCTGTGATGATGACAACAAAATTCCTAACAGCGGCCAGGCACGGCAGCTCAGGCCTGTAATCCCAGCACTTTGGGAGACTGAGGCGGGTGGATCACTTGAGGTCAGGAGTTCGAGACCAGCCTGGCCAACATGGTGAAACTCCATTTCTACTAAAAAAAATATAAAAATTAGCCAGGCATGGTGGTGGGCGTCTGTAATCCCAGCTACTCAGGAGGCTGAGGCAGGAGAATCGCTTGTACTTGGGAGGTGAAGGTTGCAGTGAGCCGGGATCGCACCACTGCACTTCAGCCTAGGCAACAAGAGTGAGACTCCATCTCAAAAAAAAAAAAAAAAAAAAAAAAATCCTAACAGCCAATACACACTAAGCCCTCATCCTGAGAGCGAATGCGCTGCGGTTTCTCCTGAAGGCGCACAGTGGTGAGTTGCAGTGAGACCTGGGCTGCAGGCACCACTCTCCCCAGAAAGCTGGTGAGGACTCACACACAGTGACCCTGGGGCCAGCTGCCAGGGTTCCAGTCTAGGCTCCACCAACCACTTCCTGACAGTGCGACCTTGGCGAGTGACCTTACGCCCTGGGCCCTAGGCTTCCTTACCCAGGCTGCAGTGGTACCAGCAGTACCTCTGTCATGGAGCAGAGCTCTCAGGCGCCAGGCCCACTGGTGCTCACATCAACTCCATCCACCATCAGACGGAGGCTGGGATGTGACTTCTGGGTCTGGGGTCTTCACCAGAGCAACGTGGCACTACCTCGCACCCGGTCCCTCTCAAATTTCCAGGGCACCATCCCAGCCTTGGCAGATTGGTCCACAAAGAAGGGCACTGGCCTTAGTGCAGCCAGCCCATTGGCTGAGCAGAGATCGATGTCCCGATGCCCTGCCCCTCCTCCGCCAACTCTTTCCCCTTCCCTATCCATTCCCTTCCCTCCCCTGATTGGCCCCTGGGATTCTTCCTCCCTTGCCTCCTCTCCCTGGGTTCATCCTGCTTGCACCTCCCACCCCCAACACACATGCCCTAGAAGTTCTCAGGAGGGCCGGGAAGAAGGGGTAAGAGTGGGTGTACCCGGCTGGGCATGTTGCACCCACTCACCAGCTTGGCCCCATCACAGAGCTTCTCCCATGCAGAGGCCCCTCCCGCTCCCCCTGGAGTCCCAGGACCCCTCATTACCCTGGGTGCCCGCTACTCCTGGCAGCTGCCCACTCCCCTGCCAGGCCTGTGGCCATCAGCCCGGCCCCTTGCCTTCCCTAAGGCAGAAGCTCAATGTCAGTCCAAGACTACATGTGGCCCAAGGAGCAATTACCAGGGTGACGTGAGCCAGGCGGTGCTGGGGACAGGGCAGGGGCCCTGCACAGCGATTTCCTGTCTGTCCATGCAGTAAATCCCCACACGGAGGAGACTGGTTTTTCCTCATGACTGATGGTCCCAGGCTGGGCTGAATTTGTCTCAATCCCACGGCAGCCAGGCCTGGGGCGGGCACAATCACTCTGTGCCCCACAGCTCAGCTCCCGGGCGAGGCTCAGGGGCCACGTCTTCCATGTTTGGGGGCAGGGAGGGGGCCCTTTTCTAATTCATCCACTCAGAGAGCAGCTTTTCCTGATTTCCACCAAGGCCTCATCTGGCCGGCAGCATCCCAGCCTGCACAGCATCAAAGCCCCAGACAGGAGCCTGGCCCAGCTCTGTCACTCATCTCCAAGCCCCATGGGTGCCACTGATCAGACGCCCACTTCCCTCCATTCCCGGGGCCAGCGCACCCCAAGCCACCGCCATCTCCCAGCAGGACCCTGCTGCAGCCCCCTCTGGTCACCCTGCCTCTGCCCTGCCGCCCATTTCTCAGGCCTGCCCCACACACAGCCAGAAGAAACCTCCCAAAATGCAGAGCCCATCATGTCTGCCTTTTAAAACCCTGCCTTTTAAATCAGTGTCTCCTGTGGCCTTCAGGATGAAGATGACGGCCAAACTCCTTGCCACAACCCCCAAAGCCCCACAGTCTCTGACCCCAGCAGACCCCATGTCCTCGCCCCGAGCTCCAAGCACTCTGTCCTGTCATGCAGTGCTGCACATGGCGCTCACGGTGCTCCTCCAACCCCAGGGCCTTTGCACCCACGGTTCCTCCCACCTACCCTGTGCCTCCTGCCTCCTTTCTCTCCCTTCATTCTGTGCTGCAATGGTCCTTCCGAGAGGCCCTCCCTCATCCTCTGGTCTAAATCACATCTTTCCTTGGTTCACCTACATAACACCTCTCACTATACAAAGTGATTATTTTATTATTTAGGAGTGTGTGTGTGTGTGTGAGAGAGAGAGAGAGAGAGAGAGAAAGAAAGAGAGAGAGAGAGAGAGATGGAGTCTTGCTCTGTCGTCCAGGCTGGAGTGCAGTGGCTTGATCTCTTGGCTCACTGCAACCTCTGCCTCCTGGGTTCAAGAGATTCTCCTGCCTCAGCCTCCCGAGTAGCTGGGATGATAGGTGTGCGCCACCACACCCGGTTCATTTTTGAATTTTTAGTAGAGACAGGGTTTCACCATGTTGGCCAGGCTGGTCTCGAACCCTTGACCTGAAGTGATCTGCCTGCCTTGGCCTCCCAAAGTGCTGGGATTACAGGCGTGAGCCACCACACCCAGCTTATTTAGGATTATTAATAATCTAATCTCCACAAGGGTGAAGATAGTGTCTGTCTTTCTTGTTCGCCATGGCCACTCCAGGGCACAGCTCTGTTCCTGTACACAGCAGTCCCTCCATAACTATTTCTTGGATCAATGAGGCACATAGCAGGTCTGCAGTGGCCTCGGGATTTGAACCCAGGCCTAACTGCACAGCCTCAGGGGCTTTCTTCCATCCTCACATCCTCCCAGGCAGGGGCTTGACACCCTTGCTGCAGCAGCTCTTCACAGGGGATGATCCTCCCGCAGCGTGCCTCGTCTTCAGGCCTGGCTGCCGCAGATGAATCTCCATGAATCAAGCTGACATTTCCATTACCCGAGGGAGACGAGTGTGTGGCCAGGACGGCTGGCTTTGGCGGGGGTGGCGGGGATGCGTGCCCATCACAGCCACCAGCCAAGGAGGGAAGGCAGCCCAGTTACTCACGGAGGCCCGGGCCTGCCCTTCAGCCCTTGGCCAGAGAAGGGATTGTGGCTTCATGGGTCCTCTGCACCTGGGTAGAGGGGGTGACATGGGCCAACAAGCAACAAGAGAAGCACAGAGCATGTGCAGACACAGGTGTGTGCCCAGGGCCACGTGTGTATCATGAGCATGTTTGTTCAGCATTAGCACATGTGTGGCATTTTGTCCAGAGCCAGCAGAAGCACGCATGAGCGTGTGTGCACAAGGTCAACAGAACACACAGTGTGGATGAGCAGTGAACATGCAGTTAGCTCCTAGGTACATACAAGGTGCTGACTCACACTTGAGCAATATCAACATGTTGTGGGGGGCCAGGGGAGTAGGGTCAGCACTTTGAGCCAAAGTCAGCCTCTGATGATCATGGGTATGTGTGACTGGGCCACGGTAAGGTTGGCATGTACACACGAGCCCAAGGCGTGTGGATACAGAGACACGGGACGCAGGTGCCCAGGGCAGAACGAGGTCGTGTAAGCGCTTTGGGCTGTGGGTCACGTCGATATATATGGGTGTCAAGACCAAAGACACACACACAGCCATTCTCTCCATGGTTGGAGCCTGTCTGCTCAGGGCAGCGCAGGGGAGGTGTAGCTGGGAAAGCTGTCTGTGGAGGTGGGTGGAGGGGCCTTTTCTTTCCCATCCAGGCCTCTGGGTGCTCAAACAGGCACCCCCTGCCTTCAAACCAGATGGTGACTCCCACCTTCCAGATTCAGGCAGACACTGGCATTCGCTCCCTGCATAAAGACAACTCTCATACGAACTCGTAGTAAACCCACTGGAATTACTCACCCAGCCTGCCTCTTATCTAACCAGCAGCTTTCTTGCTGCAGGCTCCATGAAACTGACAGACAGCTGGTTCTCAGCCCCCGCCCAGGAGGTGCCCAGAAGGAGACCAGAGGACTTGAAGCTCAGTGGCCCTGGGAGCCTCTGACCTCTCTCCCTTGCCCCGTGACAATGGCTGTCGCTCAAGCTGTCCGCATATCATAACCACATACCACTTGCACGATTATTTATTTAATATTTTTCTTTAAGCCAACTCTTTTTTTCTTTTACTTAAATGCCTATTTTGGTTTCATCCTAAGCAGTAACGTCTGTGAAGTCATAGCACTGATGTGCCCACTGTACATTTTTTTCTAATACACATTTACATAAACACAACTATTAAAATAGATTAAAATTTTCCCCATGTGTCAACTACAATCATCTCCTGGACCTCCTGCGGTCCACTCGCCAACTTCAGAAGGACCCTGGGTGAGAACAAGAGCTCCTAGATGCCTGGTGGCCAGGGCTAGATCCCTGTCAGATCTGTCCCTGCCCAGGCCCATATATGGCAGCCGCCCTCTCTTGCATGAGGCCAAAGCCCAAATTCCTTGTTCTGACATTCAAGGCCTCAGTAGAGCTGGACCATAATTGCTCTCCCAGGCCCATTTCCAGCCCCGCCTTAAGCCCCACCTAGTAGGTCATTAATATTTACTGAATGAATGGAAAGTGAATTAACAAATTGTTCGCTTGATGAATCAATGCGTGAATGAATGAGCACAAACCTCCAGCTGGCTGTCCCCTGAGCCCCTGAGACTCAAGACATCTGAACCACGAAGTCTCCGTCTTCCCTATCCCCCAAGCTGACCCTGTAACCTGAGAGTCGTCACCAACTTTCCTCTTCTCCCACTCAGTCTATTCCCTCCTAATTGGTTCCTGAATCTGCCCGCATGGTCCCCTCCCCAGGGCAACTTTCCTAAGCCAGCCCACTTTCTTCTCTTTCTTGAGTGTAAGAGGGATGAGGAAGGGAGAAGCATCTCCCACAACTATTCTGTGCCCATAGTTGCGGTGATCTTCCTCAAATGTACACCCAGGCGCATCCCAGTCTGCTAAAAGCATCTCACTGCCCACTCCCCATTGCCCCAGGGTAAACTCTAAGCTCCCTAAGAAGGTTTCCAGTTCCTCCTGGCCTGGCTCCACTGCCCTCTGATGCCTAATTTCCCACAACTGCCTCCTGACCTCCCTGCTCTCCACACCTGCCATTGGGACTATTTTAAAGTCCTCTAATGTACTTTCTTTCCCTGCTATACTCTTGCCTGGCTGATGCCCAGACAATCTTCATGTCTTGGCTTAGACATCATTTTCTCAAAGGAGCCTCCCTAGACTACAGCTCCCACAGCCCCGATTTCCCCTTGTTGTCCTGTTAGTAAACACCCACAAAGTGTTTACTTGTGCCAGGCTCTGTTCTAGACACTTCAAATATGTTAGCTCATTTAATTTGCACAACAGCTTGAAGAGGTAGGTATAATGATTATCCGGATTTAATGGATGAGGAAACAGGCACAGAAAGGTCAAGTAACTCGCCCAAGGTCACAAGTGGAGAAGGTGGAATCTGAACCCAGGCTCACGACAATAGATGCCCTCTCTGGATGCTCCAGCATCCCACCTCAAGTGCCTACCACAGTGCTTGGCACATAGTAGGGGCACAGTGAACTATATCAGTGAATAGATGGATGCACAGCTGGATGGTTGAGTAATGAGGATGTGTGACACATGGAAGGAGGATGGATGGAAGTCTGATACAAGGAAGGATGACAAGCAATCAATAGAAGATGGATAGATGGATGGATGAATGGATGGATAATTGATGGATGATGGATAGATGAAGGAATGGATGGATGATAGATAGGTGTAAGGATAATGGATGGATAGATGATGAATAGATGAAGAAATGGATAAAGAATAAATGGATAATGCAGAAATGGATAATGGATGGATGGATGGTTGATGGATAATGGGCAGATGGAGGGATGAATGGATGTGTGGATGACGGATAATGGATGGATGGATGGTTGATGGATAATGGGCAGATGGAGGGATGAATGGATGAGTGGATGATGGATAATGGATAGATGGAGGGATGATGGCTGATGAATGATGGATAAAGGATGGATGGATGATGGATAGATGGATGAATGGATAGATAGTGGATGGAAAGATGATGGATGATGGATGGAAGGATAAATAATGGATAAATGAAGAAATGCATAATGGTTGAATGGATAAGGGATGAATGGATGATGGATAGATGGAGGAATGGATAATGGATAAATAGCTAACGAATGGGTGGATGGATGATGAATGGATGGATGAAAGCATAGACAATGAATGGATAGATGATGGATGGATGGATGGATGGATGGATGATGGATGGATGGATGATGGATAGATAGCTGATGAATAGGTGGGTGGATGATGAATGGATGGATGAATGGATAGATAATGGATGGACAGATGATGGATGGATGGATGGGTGGATGGATGGATGAAGGATGGATGGATGGATGATGAAGGATGGATGGTTGATGGACTATAGATGGATAATAGATGATGAGTGGGTGGATAATGGATTAATGATGATGGAGGGATGAATGAAAAATGGATGAATGGACAATGGACAATAGCTGGATGAGTGATAGATGCTGGATGGATGGATGGATGGATAGATGATGGATAGCTGATGAATGAGTGGATGGATGGCAAATGGATGGATGAATGGATAGATGATGGATGGATGGAAGGATGGATGAATGAATGAATGATGGATGGATGAGTGGAAAGATGAATTATGAATGATGGATGGATGATGAATGATGGATGGATAATAGATGATGAATGGGTGGATAATAGATGGACGAATGATGAATGGATGGATGGATAATGGATAATGGCTGGATGAGTGATGGATGATGGATGGAAGGATGGAAGGATAAAGGAGAAGAATATATTCTACGTGGGGAAAAGCTCTAGAAATTCTTCTGGGAAGGAATAAGGCCTCTTGGGAAATGACTGAACTTGGAGTCAGGAGTCCTGATTCAAACCCCATCTCTGCCATTTGCTAGCTCTGTAATCACAGGCAAGTTACTTCATTCATCTCTGTGACCCTAATTTTCCTCCTCTTTATAATAAGAATCTGTTTCTCCAGGCATCTAAGCCCTGGGATTTTCTGTAAAGGTGGTGCTAGGCACAGGGTAAAGCCTCCTCAGGGTCAGGGTGGTGTGATGTTGCTGAGCTCTGAAGAGAAATGTGGCTTCTTCACCCTCCCTGCTTAGGGCTTGGGTTTGGGGGCCCACTTCTTGCTCGCCCCACATCTCTTGCTTGCCTGGCCCCTGCCTTGCCCACTCTCTGGAATACAAGGCAGCCCTGCCAGCCTGTGTCCAGCCTGGGCTCTGTGCTCCCTCCCTGCCACCCTGCAGTGTCTGGCCCTGGCCTCTGCACAGTCTCTGCTGTCACCTTCAGCCTCCTTGAGGAGTAATGGGGTGGGGCAATGACAGGGCAGCCACAGCCCACAGAGCAACTGGCCTCCATACACCGCAAGAAAACAAGTTCAACAAGCATTTATTGAGCCCCTGCTGTGTGCCTGCTGTGTGACACCCCTGCAGTGCCTGCGCCACTGCCCCCTCCTTCAGGAAGCCACTCTCTGCCCCCCAAAGGGCTCTGCCCCTCTGGGCACCTGACTGGCTTGTGGGTGCCAGCCATTCAGTGGCCAGTGGCCATGTGTCTCCTGGCATCGCAGCTGTGCCCAGCAGGGCTCATGTGATGATGGCAAGAGTCCGGGGCTGCTGTCCCAAAGTCACTCTGTGCAGCCCTGTGCATTCCCTTGGGCCTGCCCTGGCCCCATTTCCAAGGCCATGGGACCCAGGCAGCGATGGGCAGGACAGGCCTGGCATCTCCCACGCAGGCTGACTGAGTTCACGGCACACAGGCCAGGGTTCTGGGGGCACCACTCTGGTGGTCTTGCAGCAGGGGCTGGTGCCAGCGATGGCCTGAGGTCCGCGGGCCAGGTTGAGGTCTTGGTCACACCCAGTGCCCCAAGACCCAGCACTGTCGGTTCAGCTCTGGTGCTTCCTGTGCGGAGCTCCGGGGCCAGGAATCCGCCATGTGTGGCTGGTGTCCTGCCAGGAGACAAGGCGGTCAGTGCTGAAAGCCACCTTCCTCCACCCACATCCTGTCTACCCACCGCCCCCCACCCACACATCCATCACTCACCCTCATTTACTAGGCCTTCTGCCCATCATGCCTTTTGTCTACCG
Organism: Homo sapiens; assembly: GCF_000001405.40. Lineage (NCBI taxonomy): Eukaryota > Metazoa > Chordata > Mammalia > Primates > Hominidae > Homo > Homo sapiens. Next base: position 27,791,606 of record NC_000016.10, read on the forward strand.
ATCCATGCCCAACACCACCAGCTCTCCACCCATCCCTCCCCTGTCAGCCACCCAGTCACCCACCAGTTCACCAACACACCTGTGACCTAGTCATGTATCTGCCAATATTTGCTGCCATCCACTTATCAAGCCACCAATGTATCCACGACTCTGCTCACACCCTCTCCAACCCACAGCCCAGAACCCGCTCATGCACCTCACACCTGCCAACAGGTGCACCACTCCCCCAGCCATCCTCCTACCACCCAGTAACCCAACCATCCTCCTACCACCCAATAACACACCTTTACATGTACACATCCACCTACACCCAAAACATCCCCTTATCCACCCCATGCCCACCTGACAGCCACGACAGCACCCCCTGCAGTCACGTTCACTCACCTCACATAAAGCCATGCCCCCACTCCTGCCATCTGCCCACCCATTTTCCCTCCATCCTTCCCTTCCACCACCCACCCCTCAGCAAATCCACCTACTTGTGCAGCCATCATCCACCACCATCCTGTCATCCTGCAGCTGTCTCCCCACCTTGCCATCTGCCCCCAAGCAGGCCTCCTTGAGCACCCCATTTGCCTTATATGTGTTCAGGAGCTGTTGTGTACGGATATTAGAAGGGGAACAAGAGCAGATGTCTCCTAGGTCCCCAAGTCCTTGCTGGACCCCAGAAACTGTGTGTGTGGACATGGGTGTGCCCTAAGCTGACTCTGAGAAACTCTCTGGGCACCGAGGCAGGGGGCACCTGCCACTGTCTACCACACTTAGTGGACTGGACAAGGGGAAGGGCTGGAAAGGCTCTTCCCCTCTGCCACTCTCACTCCTTCGTGTTTTTGGCAATTTTTGGAAGATCACTCCCTTGTCACCCCTCAAGTGTCTCTTCAAAGTCTTTCTAGCGCACCAGAATCATTCCCATCTCATGCTGTGGCCTAAAATGTCCTTGTACCTCCCGCCGAATCAAATCAAGACCCAGCTGGAGTTTCAGCTCTCCAGGAAGCCCCCTCTGACATCCTCCCCCTGGCACTCAGGGATCTCCCTCATCCCAGAGCACCCACCCTCAGCGCACACTCTGCCAGCATCACCCCCGTTAGACCCCAAGCCCAGGGGAGCAATGACTGAGCCCAGAATGTATGCACCCCTGTGGACCAGTGGAGGTGGAGCTGGAAGGTGCAAAACTAAGGGAGAGGGTTGGTGTGGTGGAGTGGGGCTGGGAGTGAAGGGGGGAAGGAAGAAAACAAACAGTTCCTGAGCATGTGCAGCTCCAGAGGTAGTTCTGCCCATTTTACAGATGAGGGAGCCGAGGCTCTGTAAGGATTAGTAGATGCTTTAGAAGTCACAGCTATGATAGAGCTGGATTGAATTACTTTCCTCCTGATTCCAAATTTCAGCATTTAAAAAAATGTGATCCGTATAATTTCATTTTCCTACTCTGATTCTCAGACATACTTGTCATACTTTAGGGTCAGACAGGCTCTTGGCAGAAAGCCCATTGAGGTGGGAATTCCTAGTGAAGCCAAGCTCCTACTTGCATGCCTCTAAGGATGGAGATCTCCTTGTTCCTTCTCCATCCTCAAAGCAGCTCTCATTATCAGGAGAGTCTTTCTAATAACAAGGCTGCAAGACAAGAGTCAAAGAGGAAGATGGTTGTGTCCATAGCTGGGGTGGGGGGTAATATTTTTGGCTTTCACTTTTTTCTTTCTGCTTTTAATATTCCTTAATGTTAGTGTTTTGCAAGTTTTACTATATTTATTAAGGGGTGGGAAACATTTTGCAAACATTTTGGAATCATTTGGCTTCAGAAAAACACATTTGTTTTGGCCTCAGTCATGGAAACCATTGCATACTTTGGAAGTGTTGGCTGCCAAGATAGAGGTGTTTGGGTTTTGTTTTGTTTTTTTAATCTAGAAGCAAATATTTGGTGCATGGAAAGGTATGATTGTTTTTCTAAATAAGCATTTAGGCATAATTTTAGCTGCTTGTACAGTGGCTGAAAAGCAGAGCCATGGAGAGATCATCAGAACAGAAAGAAAGTGATAGTGTATTTTTTAAGGAAAAGGAAAGGCCACAATCCCTGTCCTTCCCTGAGTTAAAATCAGGCTGTCTGTCCCCTGGATGCAGAGGGCAAGATGCTGAGGACTGGGGCCCTCCTCCCTTTCTCTGGCTACCCAGGAGGCACTTGGGGCTCAGAGCCATTTAAGGTGTGTGTATACAGAGGAGAACACTCCAGCAGCCCACCAGGGACCCCCACCCACTTCTCTTCTCTCCCAGGCCTTGTGCTGTAGATTGGGAATCTCAACTCAAAATGTCTTGTGGGCCCAAGCAGGCAATGTAAATGGATGAGGTGAGTCAGAGACAGTGCCAATTGTTACCAAGGAGAATGTGGGCTCAGATCTTCCTAAACTGTTTTTTTGTTTGTTTGTTTGTTTGTTTGAGATGGGGTCTCACTCTGTCACCCAAGATGGAGCGCAGTGGCGCCATCATGGCTCACTGCAGCCTCGAGCTCCTAGGTTTAAACAATCCTCTTGCCTCAGTCTTCTGAGTAGCTGTGACTGCAGGTGCACATCACCATCCCTGGCTAATTATTTATTTATTTTTTGTAGAGATGGGGTCTCGCTCTGTTCCACAGCCTGGTCTTGAACTCCTGACCTCAGGTTATCTTCCCGCCTCAGCCTCCCAAAGCCCTGGAATTACAGGTGTGAGTCACCATGCCCAGCTGGATCTTCAAAACTTTCTTTTTTTTTTTTTTGAAACGGAGTCTCGCTCTGTTGCCCAGGCTGGAGTGCAGTGGCGCGATCTCGGCTCACTGCCAGCTCCGCTTCCCGGGTTCACGCCATTCTCCTGCCTCAGCCTCCTAAGTAGCTAGGACTACAGGCACCTGCTACCACGCCCAGCTAATTTTTTTGTACTTTTAGTAGAGACAGGGTTTCACCGTGTTAGCCAGGATGGTCTCAATCTCCTGACCTCGTGATCCACCCGCCTCGGCCTCCCAAAGTGCTGGGATTACAGGCTTGAGCCACCGCGCCCGGCCCAAAACTTTCAAAGAAACTGAAAATCTGGATCTCGAAACAAAACCTCCTGGCTTTTAAATGATGACAATTAAGGTTTCAAATGTATTTTCAACAATCTGTGGGCCAAAGAGCATTTCTCAGGCTGCACTCAGCCCACGAGAGGCAGATCCCAGCCTGTGTCTTCGTTCCATGATTCTGTTCCATGGCTTTGCATAGGCTGATCCCCTAGGTGGGAGCGCCCTTCCCTGCTCTTCTCCAGCTGTTGACTCCCTGATTTTTTCAAATGCTGCCTGCTCTGGGAAGCATTCCATAGCCCTGTAGAATGCTTCCTAGAGCTGGCAGCATTTGGAAAATGGAGGCTTTGCTCCTTTCCCTGTGCCCTTCAGCAGCCTGCATAACTCTCTCCCCGAACTCATCACTTTGTGTTGTAATAGCCAGGTCAGCATGGGTCTCCCCAATGAAACTGGGGATGGGAGACAGCTTTATGAGCAGGGCCAGGGTCTGCTTCATCTTGGAGCCCTGATTCCCCAGCCCCTGGCCCAGCACAGAGCAAGTCCCAAACTGACTCTTTTTTTTTTCTTTTTAAACAAATGAAGAAACCATGGAGGAAGGGGAGAGAGTGATTCCTGCGCTTGGGATGCACCTGCTCTACCTGCTCTGAGCTTCTGTACAGTATGAAAAGGGTTTTTGCTCAAACTCTCCTCTTTTGGGTGAAGGCTCAGGTGATGGCAGGGGGCTGGGGAGACCGTACTTCGGTCTAACAGCCAAAGGTTCAAACCCAGCCTCCACTGCTTGCAAATTGTGTGAATTTTTTTTAAGCCGTGTGGCTTCTGACAAGCAACTTCACCTCTCTGAGCCTGCAAATGGATGAAAGCTACAAAGGAGTTGGCAGGCCCAGCAGGCACCCTGCAGAGAAACCCTTCACTGTCCAATCTCAGACACAGACAGAAGTGGAAAGAACACAGTTCTGGAAGCACTAGAAGCAGGTTGGGTTTGAAAGCCTCTCTTCACAAATGGGGAAACCAAGGCCCATGGGTGGGAAAAGATTTGTCAAGGCCCCACTCAGAGCGTGGTAGCAGGTACTGTGGTTTCCATTTTCTGGGAACCTCCCAAGGTTAGCAGAGTATTTGACCACAGGAGGTTCCCCAAAGGTGTGATTTCTCTTCCCTTTTAAATCCAGATATCAAAACATGAACATATTTAACATCAGATCTCCTCCAGCCCCATCTCCCGCCTCCCTCAGTGAAGAATCACTGTCTTGAACCCTCTCTAAGCCACCAAGATCCGGGAATCAGACATAATTGCTGAATTGAATTAAATCACATCTACTGTTCCAAAATGGATTCATTGGGTTGGGAGGGCCCTTCAAGACCAGGAACGTCAATGCCACCACAAATGTACAGATCGGGAAACTGAGGCACTTAGAGGGAAACTGACTTGCTCAAGGTCTCTCTGCAGCTGGCAGAGTGAGGGTAACAGGTGGCAGGTATTGATGCTCCTGACCCTACAGTAGCCCAGCTTGGCACAGATCAGCTGGATCCCTTTACAGGGAAGTTCCTTCCGGCCAATCACCCAGCCGCTGTCCGAGGTGCTGAAAGCCTCTCTCTATAGGACTCACAGGTCCGCCCAAAGCCAACTGTCTGTCTGCCCAACCTTGACCTCTGCCCTCCAGAAAGAAAGGAAGCTTGAAGAGTGGTGGAAAATGAATCAGGGATGGCGCTAAGAAATCGGGCTTTGGAAACCTGTCAGCTAGTGACACTCTCATCGCTCTTCTAGGTCCACAAATCTCTACCATGAGAGGGCTTCAGAGGTGTCATCACATATGGGAATATCTGTTTACTGGTTTTCTCCTCATCTTGCCTTTGAGGCATGTGTCACAGGAGGACAAAGGCCAGCTCTGCTTTCCCTCACAGTTGCATCCCTGCATCAGCATGGTCCCAGGCACAGCGTTGAAAGCACGTGTCTGCAGAATGAGTGAACGGTGGAGGGCTCAGGAGGAAGGGCAGGCTTGAGTGGGACGGACCCGTATGGAGGGAAGTTTGTGTCTTCTGGTCTACCTCAGGCGGGCTGTTTTAGGAGATTGAATGGGGGCCATCTATCTCTCCACTGGGGTCATCCTCAGGGATTCCACGTTTCTGAGCCATAACATTCTCTTTGTCTCTTTCTTGCCCTTGGGATGAGACAAAGTCCACTGCACCTGCCACCTCTCCCCAGGGCCCCTGATTCCTCAGTCCTTTATTTAGACATGTGTTGGGCATGTATTGTGTGTCAGCCTCCACACTGGCTGCTGGGTTTACAGACGTGAGTGAGATGCGGCCCTCCCCCCGGGTGCTCACAGGCACACATATGAAGAGATGACAAGACCAGACATGCCTCCCACTCCTGCTGTGTGCCAGGAACCATTCAATGTGCTTCCTGTCCATGGACTCATTTAATCCTCAAAAATACGAGTTAGGTGCCATTATTATCCCCATTTTACAGGTGAGGAAACCGAGGTCCAGATAAATTAAGTCATTGTTTCAAGGCCTCACTGCTGAGACTTGAATCTAGCCAGCTTCACTCCAAAGGTTGGGCTCTCATCAACAGATACTTAGATTTAAAACTATGCAGCCATTAAAAAACAATGAAATCTGCTGGGTGCAGTGGCAGTGCCTGTGATCTCAGCACTTTGGGAGGCTGAGGCAGGTGGATTACTTGAGGTCAGGAGTTCAAGACCAGTCTGGCCAACATGGTGAAAACCTGTCTCTACTAAAAATACATAAATTATCTTGGTGTGGTAGCAGGTGCCTGTAATTCCAGCTACTTGGGAGGCTGAGGCAGGAGAATTGTTTGAACTCGAGAGGCAGAGATTGCAGTGAGCCGAGATTGCACCACTGCACTCCAGCCTGAGCAGCAAGAGCAAAACTCCATCTCAAAAAAAAAAAAAAAAGGGCCGGGCGCGGTGGCTCACGCCTGTAATCCCAGCACTTTGGGAGGCCGAGGCGGGTGGATCACGAGGTCAGGAGATCGAGACCATCCTGGCTAACACGCTGAAACCCCATCTCTCCTAAAAATATAAAAAATTAGCCAGGCATGGTGGTGGGCACCTGTAGTCCCAGCTACTCGGGAGGCTGAGGCAGGAGAATGGTGTTAACCCAGGAGGCGGAGCTGGCAGTGAGCCGAGATTGCACCACTGCACCACGGCCTGGGTGACAGAGAGAGACTCCATCTCAAAAAAAAAAAAAAAAAAAAAAGAGAGAGAGAGAGAATGAAATCCTGTCTTTCGTAGCAACATGGGTAGAGCTGGAGGCCAGCTCTTAAGTGAAATAACTCAGAAACAAAAAATCAAGTATCACATGTTCTCATTTGTAAGTAGGAGCTAAACAACAAGCACATACGGCCATAGAAAGGGAAATACCAGAAACTGGGTGCTCCACAGGGGGAGGATGGGAGTGGGGTAAGGGTTGAAAAATTACCTACAGGGTACGTTGTTCACTATTCAGGTGACAGATACATCAGAAGCCCAACCTGAGCATTATGCAATACATCCATGTAACAAACCTGCACCTGTACCCCCTGAACCTATAACAATTAAAACATTTAAAAACACAAAGATTGGGCTCATAGACATTATAAAAATTTGGCTCACAGACAAACACCAGGAGAGTGAAAGGCAGAGACGAACGTGTTCCCCTCTGCCAGGAGCTGGGGAGGGGGCTGGGGGCAGTTCCCAGACAGTTGAGCTAGATTTTGAAAGCCCTTGCAAAAGCTCCCAATTCCACTGGTAGGGTTGGTTTTCTGCCCAGTGGAGGAAGGGGGCACAGCATTTCATGCAGAAAGAACAGGGTGTGAAATAGGTCCTTGGCAGGCGGATGAGGTTCTTCAGGAAGTGTGAAAAACCTAGCAATATTGTGGTTTCAGGGAGGCAAGTGGACGGGTATGGCCTGAAAGCAGAGCACATGGGGATGAAGGGGTAAGGCATGGAGCATCGCAGCTGCAGAAGTTGCTTGGTGGCAGGTGTAGAATGCCCAGCAGGGCCCCCTAAACCCCATGCACCCCAAGGGTTTCTGCCTTATCATGACACTTCTCAGCTACAGATTCCTTGCCTGTCCCACACTGAGGAATTGGGCTCTGGAGGGCAGTCTATTTTGACACCTGCCCCAAGTGTTTCTTAGGGTTAGGCATGGTTGTGGTACCACTGCCTTGGACAGAAGTGGGCATAAAGTAGAAGAACCATGTCATAGCTTTAGCTTGGAGTCAGACAGGCTTGTGACCCCAAGGTCACAAGCTTGTCCCCAAAGGACAAGTGACATTACCTCTCAGAACCCAAGTATTTTCCCTTGTAAAATAGAAATACTACTCACAGCACACAGCTCCTGAGGACTAAGTGAGCTAAATCATGCACCAGAAACATACTGGTGACCTACTGTGTGCTAGGCCCTGGGGATGTCACAGTGAATGCAGCAACAAGGTCCCTGTGCTGGTGACATTTCCATTTCACTGAGGAGAGGCTGGACATAAACAAGGGAGCAGGCCGGGTGTGGTGTCTCATGCCTGTAATCCCAGCACTTTGAAAGGCTGAAGCGGGAGGATTGCTGGAGGCCAGGAGTTCGAGACCGGCCTGGGCAAGACCCCATATCTACCAAAAAAAAAAAAAAAATTAACTGGGCTTGGCGGCTCACGCCTGTAATCTCATCACTTTGGGAGTCCAAGGCAGGATTATTACTTGAGGCCAGGAGTTCGAGACCAGCCTGAGCAACATAGCAAGACTCCATCTCTACAAAAAAAATTGGAAACATAAAAAAAATTACCCACGTCTATGTCATGTGCCTGCAATCTCAGCTACTCAGGAGGCTGAGGTGGGAGGATCCCTTGAGCCCAGGATATCAAGGCTGCAGTGAACTATAATCACATCACTGCACTCCAGCCTGGGTGACAGAGCACAACCTTATCTCAAAAAACAAAACAAAACAAAACAAAAACAGAAAAACAAGTGAGCAAAGAAGGGCTCAGAGAGGAACAAGTGATGGAAAGAAAAATGATGATGCAGGAGGGGAAGGCGAGAGAAGGCCTCATGGGAACTTGTGAAGGGGGCGGGCACCGAGCCAGATTCCTACTAGAGCTGCTGTTATAGGAGGTTTTAGAGCTAGGAAGGACTGGGGAAGACATGATCAAGTTTATGTCTTCGGAGGATGGATTGGAAAGGAATTGGCCCTAGAAGCAGCAATTTCCATCTAGAAGTTGCTGAATAGCCCAAGCAAGCGACAAAATGCAGACTGGCTTCTGGCAGTAGCTTCAAAGGGACAGGTATTGGCCGAGGGTTGAGGACAACTGCAAATTTGGTCTGTAGATCAGCAGCATCAGCATCGTGGAGAACTTAGAGCTGCGGAACCCTGGGTCCCCCGCCAGACCTCCTGAATCAGAAATTCTGAGGGTGGGGCCCTGCAGTCCATCCTTTAACGAGCTCTCCATGTGTCTCTGATGCTCCTGTTGGCTTGGATCTCTCGACCCCCAGTGCTGAGGTCTCAGATGTCTGCAAGCTGTGTGCCATCTGCGCTCCCAGCAAATTGGCATTGATATTTATTTTAGAAATACTGTCTGTTTCCATTTTAATAAAGGAAGCAACTCGAGCAGGACTCTATTGGATTTGATTTTGATCTAATAAAAATGCCAAGTTGCTCTGGGTCCAGAAAAATTCTTTCTTGAAATTCCCTCTGCTATTTTGAGGGCAGCAGCAGTGGCAGAGACCCATCTAGATGGAGCTCCCAGAAGCCACCTCCGCGCCCAGCATGCGACAGCCTCTCGTGGAGCCCAGCCTTACAGATACACCTGGCAAAATCAAAACCTTGTCTCAGGCATTGAACTTGACAGCTGCAATCAACTGCAAACCTCAGTCGCCCCTGAAAGGAAGATGCAGACACCTGGGCCATATGGCAACATCGCCTCCATCAAATGTCACGTCTGATGTGCTCCTGAGCTGGCTGGTGGCGCCACAAAGCCCCAAAGGCAGGTTTCAAAAGCAACTTCCTCAGGAAAAAAAAAATTATAGCCAAATCCATATCACAGTAGCCCCCCAGAATAACATCTTTGGGGACAGTTAGGATAACCAGAAGTTTATGTAATTGCTAATATAAAAGTGGCTTCTCAGATGGGAGGTGGTGGGAGAAACGTGGAGGTTGACAGCCAACAATTAAGCACCTATTATGTGCCACACACTAGTTTAGACTCTTGGGATATACACAGGAACAAAACACTCAAGGCGCCTGTTCTCATGGCACTTGGTGGAGAGAGGCAGCAAAACGAAAACCAAGCATGTGAACATAAAAGATCATTTCGGAGAGGGACAAATGCTAGGAAGAAAAGAGAACCCGGTGATATGGGGATGACTGGGGAAGCTGGTGCAGATCAGGGAAGGCTTCTCGGAGGAAGCGGCCTTTCAGCTGACTTAAAGATGAGACGAAGTCAGCCACACCATGATTTAGAGGGAGAGCATCCAGGCAGAGAGAACAGCAAGTGCAAGGGTCCTACCAAGGGAATGAGTTTTGCGTGTTCAAGAAAGAGGAAGGTCAGGTTGGCTGGGGCAGCATGGGAGATGGGGAAGAGGCCTACGGGGTTGGGAGCCTGAGAAGGAGTGGCCTCTCTCCCAGGGTAAGGAGCAAGATCTAATTGCCAAGCTGAGTTTTATTGCCGAGTGAACCAGAGATCCCAGCAAAGCTGATTTGCCTTACAGCACTGTATTTCTAGAAGAAGAATCCCCGCTTCTCAGGGCTGGATCAGCCATCAAATGAGATGGCAGAGAAGTGCTTAGCACAGACCTGCACACAGTAAGTGTTTAATAATGCCGGCTCCCTGACATCCCGCCTCCCCCGTTCCTCCTGCCGGCAAGTCAGCCCATCGCAGGATCTGAGCAGCTGCTCCCCGCAGAAATATTGCAAAACTCGTCCAGGCATTTCCAAAATATTTTCTTGGCTGAAAACCCACTAGCAGCTAAGAGGCCGAATTCTGAGACGGCATCATTTCCATACTCATTTGATCGGCTGCTTCTCTAGACCATGAGCTCCAAGAGGACCGAGGCCATGTCTGGAGGCACCCCACATCCTCAGTACCCTGCCCAACCAATGGAGCTGCTGACTGACATCACCTAGCGGTCCAGGGTGTGGGTGATGAGGTCAGACCGGCCGGGTTCAAATCCCAGCTTTGCTACTTTCTAGCTGTGTATTGAGTAAGCCATGGTCTTAACCTCCTGGGCCTCCGTTTCCTCGTCTGTAAAATGGGTCCGTATTTAGGGTTAAATGAGTGAATAAGTGCAAAGTCCTGAGAACATGCACAAAGGTGAGATACTGTGATTAGATCTAGGGGACTGAGTTCTTCTTGCTGGCTGTTTCCGTAATCAAATGCAGGTATCATCATGATAGCCCTGGAGGTCCTGCCAAGGGGTATCACCCTGGCTAAGTCCCCCCTTCCTGCTTTCCCTTTCCTGCACCCCATGTCATCCTGAGTGGGATGAGGCACCATGCCCTGCTATCCCGCACCCTGCATTGACCCCTTTCAAGCTCTGGCCACACAGTGCACGAATGGCTTGGGTCTGTCTCCCCAACAAGACTTGGAAGTCAACAGGGTCCAGCAACGTGCCTTATTCGTCTCCATGCTCCCAGGAGCCAGAGAGGTCTCCTTAGTAATGATTTGTGGAATAAATAAAGCAGCCTGCTTCAGGATCCCTGAAGTCACGGGATCTCTCACGCATGCCAGCATCCAGCCCACATTCCCCTGACCCCTCCCTCAGCTCTGACCACAGAGGGGGTCTCTTCCTTATTAGCTGTTTGACGTGGGAGTTCCCAGCAACTCCGCTATCCCCAGGGAATGACGGCCATCCCTGCTAATGCTCAGCTACCTGATAAAAGGTACACCTGGCGCAGGGGTTGTGGGGTCTCAGGCTCTTTTCTTCCCTGAGAAGCCAGGATTTGGAAAGTCTCTGGGGGCGACTGACAGTTTTCCACAGCTCTTTCCCCACCGGCCTCTGGCTCCCCTGAACCCCCAGGAGGTTAGGCCCCTTTTGTGTCACTGTGTCTCCCTACCCTACACATTCTCCTCAGATGATCTTTGCAGTCTCTGGGCTTCAACCATCCCATACTGTACTGCAGCCTCAAACTCCTGGGCTCAATCAATCCTCCCCTCCCACTTCAGCCTCCAGAGTAGCTGAGAATACAGGCTTGCACCACCATGCCCAGCTAATTTTAACTTTTTTTTTCAAGATGGGGTCTTGCTATGTTGCCCAGGCTGGTCTCGAACTCCTGGCATCAAATGATCCTCCTGCCTTGGCCTTTCAAAGAGCTGGGATTAAGGCATGCACCACTGCACCTGCCTGTCTCTCTGCCACCCTTTTAAGCTCCCCTCCGTTGATCTGGCTGCCTCCTGGAGGCCCTCACGAGCCCCTCAAACTCCACACAGACAAAGCAACATTGCCCTTCACAAACTGACCCCTCCCCATATCCTTCCATCAGTCAGGGACCCCATGCCCCTGACTGCTTGGGCAAAAATTCTGTGCATATCCTAGGTCCCTCCTCTCCCCCGGTCCTCACTCAAATCAGTCACTTATCTGATGCTGTCCCCCCAGCTCCACGGTGGTGCACACTGCTAACCCCCAACTGTGCAAGGGGGCTTTCTCCATCGCGCCCCAAGCCCCTCTGTCCATGCCCCGAGCCATTACCTCCAGAGAACTCATGCACCCGACCCTCTCTGCGGCAGCCCTTGAACAATGGCCCAGGAGAGTTGCCTTCCTATCTGGGGGGATGGCTCAGATACATATGCTCTGCACTGGTGCCCCCAGCCCCCAGCAGGCTCGACGCTGTGCCTTTGACTGGTCGCCTTTGTCTCCCTTCTTAGTCTCTCTTCCTCACTCCTAGTTGGGTGTTCAATCATCAAAATAAAGCACTTGCTGTTATATCCTCATCTCAAGGGACTTCCAGGGAAACACAAACCAAGACACTCTAGGAATTCTACCAGCAGAGGGTCCTTGAGCTACCCACTTTTATCTCCAACCCCACAGTTCAGGCCGCCACCATCATGTCTCCCAAGAACGACTGCAACAGCAAAACATTTTGTGCATATTGTAGATTACAAGATGGTCTCCTGGTCTCGAGTTTGGCTCTTCTCTGATCCTTTTCCCACAGTGCAGACATATATATATATATATATATATATATATAGATAGATAGATATAGATATAGATATAGATATAGATATAGATATATAGATAGATAGATGGTAGATAGGATAGATAGGATCTGTAGATAGATGATAGATAAATAGGTAGATAGATGACACGATTGATAGATGATGGATGGATAGATTAGATAGATGGTAAGATTTATAGATGATAGATGATTGATGGATAGATGATTGACAGATGAATAATAGATGGATGATGGATGAATAGATAGATTAGATGGATAGATAGATAGATAGATAGATAGATAGATAGATAGATAGATAAAGAAATAGGGAGGGACAGAGAGAGAGAGAGAGAAATAATGTGGACATGTCTTCTCCCTGCTTAAAATGCCCCGGGCTCCCTGCTGCAGAATCAACTTCCCCTCCACTGCATAGCGAACTCCGTCCCTGTCCTGCCTCCTGCCACCGTCGGCCCCTCCAGCTCTCCTGCCCTCCCATTGCCCTCCCTGCCTCAGCCACCCTGGTCTCCTGGCTATTCCACAAGCACTGTCTGGCTCCTTCCAGCTGTCGGACACACAGGTCCCTCTGCCTGCAAAGCTCTTCATTTGACTCCTCACCCTTTAGGTCCCAGCTCCGTGGTTTCTCAGAGCGCTGACTCTGAAGGAGTGCCCCTGCCCTGTTTCCTCCCCATCACCACATCTTCCTCCCTTGTTTGTTTTTGAGCTCACTTACTGAATGATTCTCTCTCCCCTCAGACTGTGAGTCCCTGAGGCAGGGGCCGTTGTCTTGCCTGACTCCCTGCTGTCTCTCCAGCACCCACAGGGCTGACGTGCAGCAGATGCTCAATAAACACTCACCAAGGAATGAAAGATGAAATCGTTCAGACTGTTGCCTTATCAAATGGGTCTGATGATTCTTTCACAAGGAGATGCTGCTTGAGGGGGCACTAGGCATCAGGGCAGGGGGCGGATGTGGGGGCTGAGATTGGGGGTAGGGAGAGGGCTGCAGAGACTGGGATTGGGGGTGGAGAGGAGGGCTGTGGAGGCTGAGATTGGGGGCGGGGGGAGGGCTGCATGTACTGGGATTGGGGACGGGAGAGGGCTGCAGGGACTGGGATTGGGGGCGGAGGAGGGCTTTGGGGACTGGAATTGGAGGCTGGGGGAGTGCTACGGGGGGCTGGGATTGGGGGCACGGGAGCGCTGTGGAGGTTGGGATTGGGTGCCAGGGGAGGGCTGTGAGGACTGGGATTGGGGGTGGGGGAGGGCTGTGGCAGCTGGGGTTGGGGGCGTGGGAGAGGGCAGTGGGGTTGAGATTGGGAGCAGGGGGAGGGCTGTGGGGCTGAGATTGGGGGTGGGGGGGCAGTGGGGCTGAGACTGGGGGTGGGTGGAAGGCTGTGGGCACTGGGATTGGGGGTGGGAGGAGGGCTGTGGGCACTGGGATTGGGGGTGGGGGGAGGGCTGTGGGCACTGGGATTGGGGTGGGGGGAGGGCTGTGGGCACTGGGATTGGGGGTGGGGGGAGGGCTGTGGGCACTGGGATTGGGGTGGGGGGAGGGCTGTGGGCACTGGGATTGGGGTGGGGGGAGGGCTGTGGGCACTGGGATTGGGGTGGGGGGAGGGCTGTGGGCACTGGGATTGGGGTGGGGGGAGGGCTGTGGGCACTGGGATTGGGGGTGGGGGGAGGGCTGTGGGCACTGGGATTGGGGGTGGGGGGAGGGCTGTGGGCACTGGGATTGGGGTGGGGGGAGGGCTGTGGGCACTGGGATTGGGGTGGGGGGAGGGCTGTGGGCACTGGGATTGGGGTGGGGGGAGGGCTGTGGGCACTGGGATTGGGGGTGGGGGGAGGGCTGTGGGCACTGGGATTGGGGTGGGGGGAGGGCTGTGGGCACTGGGATTGGGGTGGGGGGAGGGCTGTGGGCACTGGGATTGGGGGTGGGGGGAGGGCTGTGGGCACTGGGATTGGGGTGGGGGGAGGGCTGTGGGCACTGGGATTGGGGTGGGGGGAGGGCTGTGGGCACTGGGATTGGGGGTGGGTTGGAGGGGTTTTGCCATTTCCTCTGACCCTGAGAACTCTCGTTCTTAATTCCAGGGCTTGCTTTTCGGGCCACAGTGCCTTGACTCTTCCAGTGGTAGGGACCTCCACCCAGGCCCCCAGATGCCCCTAAGACAAGCCCCAAGGCCTCTTTCTACCCAGGATTTCCCGCCTATTCTGCAGGGAGCCTGGGGAGGCTCACTCCCAAATAAGGGAGCTGAGGACATTCTGGAATGCACCAGGATTCTCAACCTCTATCCCTGCTGTGTGCTTCCCGAGCCCGTCTCTGATGATTTCTTCACTCTGTTGTCCCTGCAGGAGGAGTTCTCCAAACACATCCATCCCCTGGTTTCTGATCCCCTCTTCCAGGAAGCCCTCCAAGCTAGCACAGACATGAAACCATGATGTGTGAGCCCATGGTTCACTTCAGCACCATCTCCTGTCCCTCACAGGCCAAAATTGGGCTCTCTTCCCTCTCCTCTTCTCCAACAAGGCCTCCTCCCAAGCATCTTGGTTCACCACTGTCTCCTCCCCACTAGCAGAGCCATTTCTCATTCAGTTACTAGGATCACAGGATTTGGAATCAGACAGACCTGTGTTTAAATCTCTGCCTTCTTAGTTTGGATTCCCCAGCAGCAGACCCACAGGTAAGAATTTGAGTGCCCATGATATATTTACAAGGTACAGGGAAATTGGGCAGAGAGGAAAAGTGGGACAGGGATGGGAGGGGAGAGCCACTAAACCTGATGATCATTGACTCTTTATGCCTCAGGGGGATCCCACTCCAGGGTGAGGGAGCTGGGGTATCTATACACCAACTTCCCTGGCACTTCTAGCCTTCTATGGCTGGAGGTGGGGAAGCCTCCAGGCACAGAGATGCAGATACAGATAGATGCCACTGGAGCTTCCTAAAGGTCTGAGAGAGGTGGCCAGGGCACTGACTGTGTCTGCTGTGACTCCTCTGCCAGTGATTAGCTAAGCTATGTGACCTTGGGCAAGTTACTCCACCTCTCTGAGCCTTAATTTCCTCATATGCAAAGTCTAGGCAACAATCCCAGCTGTAGGGACTGGGGTAAGCAAGGATATGAGATCAGGCATGAAAAGCCCTTAGTACAGAGTGGGATGGGGTGGGGAACACGTGGTGGGCATTACAGCAGGCTCAGCCAAGATCTGACCATTTTAACTTTAATCTTACTTTGGTTCTTCTCTGCTTTGCTTTCTGATCCTGACATTTGTTTTCTGAGCAGTGCCCTAGATTCTGCCTCATGGTGTGCCCCACAGCAAAGTGTTTGAAGTGAATGCATCTAAGCTGCCAAGAGTATCCTCAGCTCAAACAACTCCTGTCCACGGTCACCTCCCTGCCTCGGCTCCTTCTAGCCAGGACTGTCCTCCCTCAGACCAGTGGCTAACCCAGGCCTGGCCTTGAGCTGGGTTTTCCCTGCCTGCTCCCTGGAACTCCAGTCTCTTCCTTCCTTTCTTAGCATCCCATCCCGACTGGGAAGCCTGTGGGGAGAGCTGCGTGCAGGGGCTTGCTACCCTGAGACACCAGACTCAGTTTCCTCATCTGTAACGTGTTTGTGGGAGAATGCAGGGTGCAGTGGGGGGTGGGGGCTGGCCTGACTCTTCTCCAGGGATTCTTTCTCCTCTGGCAGCCCATGAATCTGTCGTAGCAGATACCCACAAACAGGCCACTTACGGGCAGGGTATCTCTCGTGGCGGCAGTCTAAGTGAAAGTCCTCCTCGCTCCCGTCCCTCTTCTCCATCCTGGAAAGAAAAAAAAACAAAAACAAAATCCTAGGTAGGAAAGAGAAGGATGAGTGGGCAGAGACCCAAAACCTGAAAAAGTGCAATCTTCCCCCCTCTGGAGAATATTTTGCAAAGTAACTTTCCACCTGCTGCCCTGGGGGATTTTGACCACAACCTTGTGAGATGGGCATCATTATTCCCATTCTACTAATGAAGAAACTGAGGCTTTTGGAGGTGATGTGACCAACCCAGTGTCATGCAACTAATCAGTTAGAGGCAGAATAGGAAGGCAAACCCATCATTCTGTCAAAAAGAGGAAAATAAATTATTTGCGAATGGTATATATCAAAAGATGTTTACAGTTTCATTTGTTTTCAGAATTATACATTGAAAGGCACAGAAATTATTTTGGCAGAATACACACCAAAAAGTTAACGGTGATTATCCCTACATAATGAATATAGGGAATTAACTCCGGAGGCTTCTTTTTGCTAACTTTATTTTCTGATGGGGGGCAACAGGCTCTTCTTCGCTAAGCAGCATTTCCCTCCCCTCCGCCCACCCCAGAGACAAGGTCTCACTCTGTCGCCCAGGCTGGAGTGTAGTAGCACAATCGGAGCTTGCTGCAGCCTCCAACATCCTAGGCTTAAGCAATCCTCCTGCCTTAGCTTTCCAAGTAGGTAGGACTACAAGTGTGTGTTACCACATCCAGCTAATTTTTAAATTTTTCTATAGAGATAGGGTCTTGTCGTGTTGGCCAGGCTGATCTCAAACTCCTGGCTTCAAGGGATCCTCCTGCGTCTGCCTCCCAAAACTCTGGGATTATAGGCATGAGCCACTGTGCTCAGCTCTGGGAAGCATTTCTTAACTACATTAAAACACATCTTTTTTTTTTTTTTTGACATGGAGTCTCGCTCTGTTGCCCAGGCTGGAGTGCAGTGGCACGGTCTCGGCTCACTGCACCCTCCACCTCCCAGGCTCAAGCGATTCTCCTGCCTCAGCCTCCCGAGTAGCTGGGATTACAGGTACCTGCCACTGCGCCCAGCTAATTTTTGTACTTTTATTAGAGACAGGGTTTCACCATGTTGGCCAGTCTGGTCTCAAACTCCTGACCTCAGGTGATCCATCCACCTCGGCCTCCCAATAAAACACTTCCTAAAGATAATTCTGCGTACTATCAAAGCCCCAGTCTCCCAAATTCTGGTACAGTGTTCTTCCCCACCAACAATTGCAAGAGCTTCTCAGTGTGGTTTCTCTCTCCTCCATCATCTCAGGGTTGTGGTGGTCCCAGAGCGAGCAGCCTCTGCGGGGTGGCAGCAGAGGAGAAGCATGGAGCAGAGGCTGTTGAGGACCTGGACAGTGGAGGCAGGTGCATGGCCTCTGACACAGCTCCAAACTTAGACCTTCACCTGCGTCCCACTGATGGCTGGGCCCGAGAACCGGTGGGGTCATGTTCCCTCATTGCACACATGCATTTGTAACCCAGGTAAATTCCAGAGTTCCACACGGTCCTGTCCAAATGGGCATCACATTAGAGAAACACAATCTAGTCCTCTCAAGTAAGAACAACTCCAGGCTAGGCATGGTGGCTCATATCTGTTTTCCTAGCATTTTGGGAGGCCGAGGCAGGAGGATCACTTGAGGTCAGGAGTTCAAGACCAGCCCAGGCAACATAGCAAGACCCTAATCTCTAGAAAACATCAAAAAAGAAGCCAGTGCATGCCGGAGTGGTGGTGTGTGCTTCTAGTCCCAGCCACTCAGGAGGCTGAGGCAGGAGGATTGCTTGAGCCCAGGAGATCAAGGCTGCAGTGAGCCATGATTATACCACTGCACTCCAGCCTGGGCAACATAGCAAGAACGCCGTCTCTAGAAAAAATTAAAAAATAAGCCAGCACATGTGGTGTGGTGATGTGTGCCTCTGGTCTCAGCTACAGTCTCGGCTGAGGTGGGAGGATCGCTTGAGCCCAGGAGATCGAGGTTGCAGTGAGCTGTGATTATACCACTGCACTCCAGCCCAAGCAACAAGTGAGACCCCGTCTGAGAAAAAAAAAAAAACCAATCATTATTGTCTCTCCTAAAGCACACAGTGGGTGCTCCAATCCACACAGCTTGACATCTTTCCTCCATCCCTCTCTTTTCTCTCACTTGTCTTGCAGCTGTCCTAAAATCTCTCTCACCCTGTCTTTGTCTCATTTTCAACACTTCCCCTAAACTCTCTTCAGTGTCCTTGGTGGGGCATGTCCCCTTTTCCCCACCCTCCCTGTCTTTCCACTGCTATCTCCTCTTCTCTCATGCAAGGAAGGCTCAATCCTTTCCAAAACAAATGCCCTATCTCTGTTCCCTGACTCTTCCCATCACCTCTTATTCCTAGTTGCACATCCAGGAAGCCTGAGCTGGAGGAGAAGATGGGGGAAGGTGAGAGTGACAAGCTAGCAATGCCAAAGTGTCCTTAGTAGAAGGGAGAGAGATACTCATATATTGATAATCACCAATCATTCATTCATTCATTCGCTCATTCACCAGGAACTTCCTGAGGACCTTCTCTGTTGGCACCAGATGCTGTGTGGACAGAAATGTCTCTTTCGTAACCTCTGCCCTCAGAGTCCTTCTGGCCTAGTAGGGAAGACAAGCTTGCACCCTAGTTAGAAAATGGCAGGTGAGGCTGGGTGTGGTGGCTCATGCCTATAATCCCAGTGCTTTGGGAGGCTGCAGTGGGCAGATTGCTTGAGCCCAGGAGTTCGAGACCAGCCTGGGCAACATGGTGAAATCCCGTCTCTACAAATACTAGCTGGGTGTGGTGATGTGTTCCTGTGGTCCCAGCTACCTAGGAAGCTGAGTTGGGAGGATCACTTGAGCCCAGGAGACAGAGGCTACGGTGAGCCATGATCTCATCACTGTGCTTCAGCCTGGGTAACAGAGTGATACCCTGTCTCAAAAAGTAAAAAAGATCAGGCATTGAATAACACTACACAAGGACTGTCTGCACCAAGGGGCTAGGCCTGTACTTCCCAGGGAACATACTCTGAACTTTTTCTGCTTATAAGGATCTCCTGTGGCCTGAGTGGCCCTAGGCACCAAACCAAAAGAATGAGTGTTGATGCCTTAGAAAGGCAAATTTCAGTTCAACAAAAGGATAATGTCTTTTTTTTTAAGTTTTTCTTTTTTTTTTTAGATGGAGTCTCACTCTGTTGTCCAGGCTGGAGTGCAGTGGTGCGATCTCAGCTCACCACAACCTCCTCCTCCTGGGTTCAAGCAATTCTCCTGCCTCAGCCTCCCGAGGAGCTGGGATCACAGGCATGTGCCACCACACCTGGCTAATTTTGTATTTTTAGTAGAGATGGGGGTCTCGCCATGTTGCCCAGGCTGGTCTTGAACTCCTGACCTCAGGTGATCCACCCACCTTGGCCTCCCAAAGTGCTGGAATTACAGGTGTGAACCACCACGCCCGGCCCAAAAAAGTCTTTTAATAAAAACATCTTGGCTATTTTCCTGATAAAACAAGCTTGTTTCAAAAACAAACAAAAAATCTCCAACATCTTAGAGACAGCAAAAATCCCCCTATAATCACATCTCCATGTAATGGGATCAACATTGTTAGCAGTTTGGTATTTATTTTTTCAGAATTAATACTTTTTCTACACAAATAGACTCAAATTAAACATATTTTTGAAACTGATTTTCTTTTTACCTATCCAGAAATTTTTCATTTGAGTACACCTAGATCTCACCCACCTTTTTTTCTTATAGCTGTATATAAAAGAGTAATTAATATTCAATACCCCCATTGGTAGACATTTAGGTGTTTCCTCATTTTTGTTGACTCTTCCAAATAATGGTGCATGTGGTGAGTTTCCATCAGCAGAGGTGCTCAGGACTAGAGTATCACCAGTCACGAAGTCAGAACTGGACTCAAACATTGGTTAGGAGAGTGGACCAGGTAACAGCCCCTCCTCATCCCGGAACACCACCTCCCTGGCCACATCCAGCACCTCTAGGTCAACAGAGGCCTGTCCTATTGCATAAAGGGCTTCCAGCATCCTCCTGCTTTTCACAGCCTTGACCTTGAACCAACCCCTCCATCCATCCTCAGCTCCCAATTCTCCTGGTTTCTTTTCGTTGTTGTTGTTGTTGAGACGGAGTCTCGCTCTGTCGCCCAGGCTGGCATGCAGTGGTGTGATCTTGGCTCACTGCAACTTCCACCTCCTGGGTTCACGCAATTCTCCTGCCTCAGCCTCCCAAGTATCTGGAATTACAGGTGTGTGCCACCATGTTTGGTTATTTTTTTTATATTTTTAGTAGAGATGGGGTTTTGCCATGTTGACCAGGCTGGTCTCAAACTCCTGACCTCAGGTGATCCACCCGCCTCAGCCTCCCAATGTGCTGGGATTACAGGCGTGAGCCACCATGCCTGGTCTCTCCTGGTTTCTTCTCTGAAGTCTCATCTTCCTCCAGGCCTCAAGCTGGACACCTGCTTGGCTTCTGCTGGGAGCCTCAGCCTTGGGAAGTGGGGCCCTGTGAGCAAAGGGGCTGATGTCTAAGGAGACAGTCAGTCCAGCCTGGCACAATACCTTCCCTCCCTCATCACCCAAGCCTTGTTGCCCAGAGACCTCCACTCAACAGCTGACATATCCAGTAACACCTGCCGAGGAGAGAGCCAGGCCTTGTGCTGGGCTTGGGGACCACAGGGACCACCCAGAAAGACCCCTGCCCTCAAGGATCTCCTGTTGGTTTTACCCATACACAAATAACAGTGGCTTCATGTGCTAAGTTTCAGGCCAGGAGGATATGAAGAGGGTTGGCAGGGCCAATAACTATCTAGTCCAGGGGTTGGTGAACGTTTGCTGTAAAGGCTCAGACAGTAAATATGTGAGGCTTTGCAAGCCATATGTTCTCTCTCACAACTACTCAACTCTGCCCCTGCCGTGAAAGCAGACATAGACGAGATGGAAACAAATGGGTGTGGACAGTAGCAGGTGGTGGACGGGATTCGGCCTGCGTGGATAGCGTGTTAATGCCTGGTCAAGCCCAGTGGTTCTCAGCTTGGCTGCACAGTGAAGCCACCACGGGAGTTTTTAATTACAGGGAGTGGGGAGCAGGGCTGGAATGTGCAGCCTGGGTTGAAAACCACTGGTGCAGGGACCAGCGGAGGCTTCTCGGGGTGGTACCGTTTGAGCTGCATCATGAAGGCCATGGGACCTGCTCGCTTCCTTTTTATTTTGTCTTTGTTGTTGTTGTTGTTTTAATTTTTATTTATTTATTTATTTATTTTTGAGACAGAGTCTTACTCTCTCACCCAGGCTGGAGTGAAGTGGTGCGATCTCAGCTCACTGCAACCTCCGCCTCCCGGATTCTTCCGCCTCGGCCTCCCTAGTAGCTGGGACTACGGTCGTGCACCATCACACCCGGCTACTTTTTGTAGTTTTAGTAGAGACGGGGTTTCACCATGCTGCCCAGGCTGGTCTCCAACTCCTGACTTCAACTGATCCACCTGCCTTGGCCTCCCAAAGTGCTGGGATTACAGGTGTGAGCCACCGCACCCGGCCAGCTTTTAATTCTTTTTAACTTGCATTTTAGATTCAGGGTACGTGTGCAGGTTTGTTACAGAGGTAAATTGCATGTCACGGGGGTTTGGTGTACAGACTATTTTGTCACCCAGGTAATGAGCATAGAACCCGATAGATGGCTTTTTGGTCCCCTCCCTCTTCCCACCCTCCACCTTCAAGTAGGTCCTGGTGTCTGTTGTTCCCTCATCATTTAGCTCTCACTTATATGTAAGAACACGCAGTATTTGGTTTTCTGTTCCTGCGTTGGTTTGCTAAGGATAATGGCCTCCAGGCTCCATCCATGTTGCTGCAAAGGACATGATCTCATTCTTTTTTCTGGCTGTGTAGTATTCCATGGTGTGTATGTACTACATTTTCTTTATGCAGTCTACCACTGATGGGCATTTAGGTTGATTTTATGTCTTTCCTAATGTGAAGAGCGCTGCTGACCTGCTCATATCTAAGAGAGGAAGCTGAGCTCCAAGACTAGGCTTGCCCATCTTTCTATGACGCAGTGTTGCCATTCTGGAAAGAGCTGGTTTCCTTGCACAGACTTGAGGCTCTCCACCAGATTCAGCAAGCAAGACACGGGATCTGCAGAATCTGCAGGGTCTTGGCCGCCCTCTGGGCCTGACTAGGGCTTGGCAGTGGTTCTGGTCAAGGGCTGAGTGCCCCCAATGGCGGGGCTCCCTGGCAGGAAACACGGAGGGGACAAGGGTAGGCTTTGGGCACAATGAGACCTTGGGCCCTGGAGTGAGGAGGAATCATGGTTGAGCTCAGCTCTGCGATTAACAGGCAGCATGACCCTGTGCAGCTCACTGGGCCGCTCTGAATCTCAGTTTTCTTATGTGTGCACTGGGCATAATACCGGTGGTCATTTCACAACAGTAACGACCGCTGCCACTGCCACCCTGGTTGTTGTAAGGACTCAAGCCCAGGACCTGCCACAGAAGATAGGCTCAGAGCATGTTCACTACTGCTATCTTTAAACTTCTCTAATAGTCTGATAGTCTGCCTTCCCTAATACTTTTCTTTTTCTTTTCTTTCTTTGAGCCAAAATCTCACTCTGTCACCCAGGCTGGAGTGCAGTGGCACAATCATATCTCACTGTAACCTCGACCTTCTGGGCTCAAGCGATCCTCCCACCACAGCCTTCCAAGCAGCTGGGACTACAGGCACACACCACCACCCCCAGCTAATTCTTTCATTTTTTGTAAAAACAGGGTCTCACTATATTGCCCAGGCTGGTCTCGAACTCCTGGCTTCAAGTGATTCTCCCACCTTGGCCTTCCAAAAAGCTGGGATTACAGGCGTGAGCCACTGTACCCGGCCCCCTTAATACATTTTCAACTCAGAGAGAAGGATGGGGTTTCTCTCATTCTATGCTTGTAGCCTCAGGGTCTAGCACAGTGTGTGGCACAAAGTATTGTAAATAATGCAAGAAAAAATACAAAAATCAGCCAGGCGTGGTGGCGGGCGCCTATAATCCCAGCTACTCTGGAGGCTGAGGCAGAAGAATCACCTGAACCCAGGAGGCGGAGGTTGCAGTGAGCCGAGATTGCACCATTGCACTCCAGCCTGGGTGACAGAGGGAGAACCCGTCTCAAGGAAAAAAAAAAAAAAAAAAAGGAAGGGAGAGAGGGAAGGAGGAAGGGAGGTGAGGGAGGGAGGAAAAACAGTTTGAAGCTAAGAGCAGCCCACAGGGGAGGTAGCCAAGGGTCATCAGCAATGCTGGGCTCCCTGTTGAAAAAGGAGCAATGGTAAATGTCAGTACGTGACAATTTCCTTTGATTTGAACTGCAATTTCCTGCAGGAAACATTATGCATTTTCTGAAGACATGAAGACAGATTTACTTTTTTTTTTTCTTTTGACAGGGTTCCACTCTGTCACCCAGGCTTGTGTGCAGTGGTACAATCATAGATCACTGCAGCCTCCACCTCCTGGCTTCAAGTGATCCTCCTGCCTCAGCCTCCTAAAGTGCTAGGATTACAGTCATGAGCCATCGCACCCAACCAGATTTGCTTTTTTCATAAGATGGTGGTGGTGTAAGAAACATCCACTGATATGGTTTGGATATTTGTCCCCTCTAAATCTTATGCTGAAACGTGATCCCCAATGTTGGAGGTGGGGCCTGGTGGGAGGTATTTTGGTCCCTCATGAATGGCTTGGTAATAAGTGAGTTCTCATTAGTTCAGGAGAGAGCTGGTTGTTTAAAGGAGCCTGGCATCTCCACCTCTCTCTTGCTCCTTTGCTCATTGTGTGATGTACCTGCTCCCGTTCTATCATAAGTAAAAGCTTCCTGAGGCCTCACCAGAAGCTGAGCAGATGCTGGCACCATGCTTCTTGTAGAGCCTGCAGAAACACAAGCCACATAAACCTCTCTTCCTTATAAATTACCCAGCCTCAGGTATTCTTTTATGGCAATGTGAAACAGACTAACACACCCATAAATCTAAATAAGGTCCTTGAAGGGCTGATGGGGATGCTTGGTGTGAAACAGTGCTCAGAACAGGCATCAGGTGGAACCGGGCACCCCAGACGTGTCACATCCCTCCAGGGGTTGGGGCAGTGGCTCCACTACTCACCAGCCCTGTGCCTGGACAAGTCTTGATTTTCTCATCTGATGAATGGGCACATAATATACCTATTCTTCTGGTTATTATAAGGATTAAACTAATTAACAATGCACAGCATGCTGGACAATATAGGGAGATCTAGTCTCTACCAAAAACAAAACAAAAAAAATTATCCAGGTGCTAAGGCTCATGCCTGTAGTCCCAACTACTCGGGAGGCTGAGGTGGGAGGATCACCCAAGGCTGCTGCAATGAGCTATGATTGCACCACTGCACTCCAGCCTGGGTGACAGAGCGACACCCTCTCTCAAATAAATAAAACAATAAATAAATGTAAAGCTCAAGCTATTTAGAGCAGGACTGAGAACACTGCCTGGTGCTTGCCATTATTATCACCATATTATTGTTACTGTTGTCACCATTGTCATCCTTACCTCTGCGGTCTTTCTGGTCCTGTCACCCTGTGACTGCATATTCAGCCCCACCTCCCAGTTCCAGAGGTGGAAGGTATGAACTACTGTAATGCACTATCCGGTGCCCCCTCCCCAAACACACACTCCTTTCCTCCATTCCAGCATTTAGAGCTGTCGCTGTCATTGCCTCAGGAAAGGGATATTTTGCAAGAAGCAGAGGAAGGGCTTCAAAGGTATCGAAAACCTCTGGATTCAGGGCAGGCAAAACCCACAGGAGGTCACGGCACTGCCCTTTGCCCCAGAAGAGACAGAGTCCCCCAAACTGGGGACAAGGAACTTCAGAGCAGGAGCTAAGTGTGAGTAGATGCTGTGGTGCCTAGAAAGATGGAAGAGCCCCAGGGAAAGTGACAGTGACAAAGGCACCTGTTCAGACGTGAACAGCACCAGCCCTATTTCGCAGATGGGAAAGGTGAAGCGAAGACAGATTTGTAACTTTTGCCCAGTTTCTTGGTAGCCTGGCTGTCCAATACAAAACAGAGCCCTGTTTCAGTGTTTGTGAACTGCCATGGGGTAAAACCGTGGCTGAACTGAAGGGACCTCTATGACATCACTGAATGTGGAGCTGGGAGGAGATTTGCACAATGGGCCTTCGTGAGCAGTCCTGGTAGCTCCAACCCTGCAGCTGGCTTGTGGCAGGGCTGGGATCTGAGCTTGGGTTTATGGTCCCTGGAGCTAGAGCGAGTTTCCACGGTACCCTGCCGACTCCCAGCAGGCAGGGGATTCCTGATCAGACCCACCCCAGGCAGGCTTGCACTGTGAGGTCCTCATGGAAAGTGGGGCTGGGGACCCTCCATCACTGGCTCTGCCAGAACTGCTGCAGAGGTGTTGGAGGTGACTGTGCCATGTCACAGTCACTGTCCCCAATAGCCCACCATAGTCTGGAGTCTGATGGAGGCTGGGTGTTTGCTCTTTTTAGGAGAAAAGGCGGATGAAGGCAAGTGATGGAGCTGGGAGACTCTGAGGACACTGAGGGAGGGTTTCAGGGAGGACCAGAACTGATATATCACTAGGAGGCCACACTGTACCTGCCGGCCTGATTCCAGGGCCGAATGTGGCCACAATAGCCAGGGGCGTTATCAGGGGGCCTACCAGGCCCCATCTCTGCTGTGGCAGGGGTGGGTGTCAGGTGCCCTGGGGCCTCCCCAGCCTCCACTGCCCCTGCTCCAGGCTGTCATCCCCCGCCATGTTCTCCACCCTATATGGTTCCATCTGTGCCATCCTCAAGGCCAGCCCCTCTCTCTCTGGCCCCAGACTGACTCTGTTTCCCAAATATCCAGCCACTGCCTTGTATGAATTAATAGCCTACATGCTGTGCTTCTGCAACTATCTGTAATAAAGGACTAAGACTCCCCCCACCCCCTTAATTTTCTTCTCTTTTTTAGACACGGGGTCTTGCCCTATTGCCCAGCCTGGAGTGCGGTGGAGCAATCATAACTCACTGAAGCCTCCAATTCATGGGCTCAAGTGATCCTCCACCCACCTCGGCCTCCTGAGCAGCTGGAATTATAAGTGTGTGCCAACATGTCTGGCTCCCACTTAATTTTCAATCTGTCTTGAACCAATTTTTTCATAAAAAATGAAAATGAAATGAAAAAAATGCATAGAAAAGGCAAGCATGAGTGTCCAGCAATGTCAATTTGTTATGAAAGCTTCCATTTATCTCAATTTCTGTCCTTACATCACGAAGGATGTTTGCAAACGGGCAATGGTCCAGGGACCACACTTTGAGTAGCACTGTTCTGTAAGGCCCTTTTCTCTCCTCTGGCCTTGGCTGGCCACATCCACCTCCTGACCCTATGACTGGGGCTGCACCTGCTCTATCCTCCAGCCCAGTACTTCGCAAATTTAACGGTGCTCCAAGATCACCCGAGAAGCTTGTTCACATAAAGCCTCTGATTCAGCAGGTCTAAGGTGGGGTCTGAGATTCTGCATTTTGAGCAGGCTTCCAGGTGAGGCCAGCGCTGCTGGGTCCAGGCTTTGGCCAGGTGAGGGGCTCAGCCCAGCCCAGGCTTCCCATCCTCTCCCCATGGTCCTGGTGGCAAATGGCCATGATCAAAGAGCCAGCCACCTCCTTCCCGCCTCTGAAGCTCCCTCCAGCCGGCAGATATTTAAAAGAAAGCATGAAAGTTCAGGGAGTGAACATTCCTTCCAGATTCCTTCCAGATGTTCCTTTCAGATGTTCCTCCCACCATCCTTTGATAATTTTTTCACTTCAAGGACCATCTTGTGTTTTCACCTCCCCGTGTATGGGTGCTGGCTGACGATCCGATCACATGAGCCGCGTGAAGGCTCTGAATCTCCACGGTGCCATCTCCAGTTTCTGGGCATCGCGTTCCTCTCAAGAATGAACGGCGATTTCAAAGGACCCCAACACTGGGTGATGGCGTGCAAAGTGTTACCGAGAAATAAACTTCAAGCAGTGAAGACAGATGGATGAGATGGAGCTGTGATTGAACATGTCTCAGAGGCTAGACATCTAAGAAACAGTCGCAGAGGACAAAGAACACATTGATTTTTAAATAAGCAATTCACGATGGAATGAAAAATGGAATTAAAAGGAATTTTGGGCAAATAAATGACTGCAGGTAGTAAATTAAGATTCCATAACATCACGTAAAAAGGGTCATTGCAAGTTAGGGGGAAATAAATGGGTTTTTAAGAAGGACTTTTTTTTTTCTTTTCCCATTTTCTGAGTAAATATCATCATGATATAAAACATTTGGAAAATAACACAGAAGGAGATAAAGCCATGCGCATGTCAGTGCCTTAGCTTGATCTTTATGTGTAATTTACAGTTTTGTCTCCCGTTTCTCCAATACTGGGTTTTAAAAAGAGACCTCGGCCGGGCGCGGTGGCTCACGCCTGTAATCCCAGCACTTTGGGAGGCCGAGGCGAGTGGATCACAAGGTCAGGAGTTCAAGACCAGCCTGACCAACAAGGTGAAACCCCGTCTCTACTAAAAATACAAAAAAATTAGCCAGGCATGGTGGCATGTGCCTGTAATCTCAGCTACTAGGGAGGCTGAGGCAGGAAAATCGCTTAAACCGGGGAGGCAGAGGTTGCAGTGAGCCAAGATCACGCCACTGCACTCCAGCCTGGCGACAGAACAAGACTCTGTCTTAAAAAAAAAAAAAACAGACCTCTAGATATTAACACCTTGAAGTTACACTTTGGTTATTTCTAGAATCGCATGGGTTAGCAATGATTACCTGGCAATACAAATAATCACTGGCATGGTGGTGGTCCCCATCCCAAAACCCCATCCCCATCTTTGACAACCCCTAAGGAGTCCCTCCACCCATAAAGGCCGTACCGACAGCACGAAACCTCCAGACAGGACTTGTCTCAGAAGTCCCTTTCAGCACCCAGACGACGCCAGGAGGGAGAACAGACGTGAGGATACCTGAGGCGTGATGCTGCCCAGCTTGGCGGAGGAGACGGTGGGGAAGGTGTCAGGCAGCACTCCAGCAGAGAGAAGAGTGGGTCAGAGCTGCACAGGCCGGAACATGGCCGGGCTGGGGAGCTGTGTATGATCAGGAGATGCTGCATGCAGGGCAAGGGGCCCGGAGTACACGGTGGGACTCTGAAGTTATGATGAGGAATTGGGTCTTTGTCCTGAGAGCCATGGGAAACCACTCCAGTGTTTTAGGCAGAAAGATGGGGGTCCTGTTACCCTGATGACGTTAGCATATTGAGGAGGCATTGCAGCTTCTGGGGTGAGAGTAGATTAGAGGGGACAAAAATGGGTGTGCAAAGATCATGAAGAAAGTTGCTGGATTCACCCAGGTAAGTCCTGTTGCAGCCACAGACTAGGACGATGGAAGTGGAGGCAGAGAAAAAGGAAGGAGACATAAAGAGAAGGCCCTGGGCTTGTGGTGAGCGGGAGGGTCATGGGTGGTGAAGAAGCAGCGGCATCTGTCAGGACTGCAGGTTTCCAGCTTGCACAAGCAGAGCCACTTATGGAGGGAGAGATGGAAATAAGACTGCATTTGGGGGTGTGAATATCATGAATGAGTCTTGGACATATTGATCTGAGGTGCCTTTGAGAATCCAAGTAGAAACACCAAGGAAGCAACTGCATATGGCATCGGGTGGGGCGGAGCGGGTTCTTCTAATATGGGGGCCCTCGGCCACGTGGCCATGGAGGATGAGGAGCTGCACATCATAGAAGGGAAGACAGCCCTGTAGGAAACCAGAGACGGCGTCGGCACACAGGACCAGGAGAAGTGGCTGTGGGAGCCGAAGAGAGAGCAATTCGGGAGGCAGGTGGGTGCCGTGCCAGGCTGCCGAGAGCTGCTTCGTGGAGTGAGGGGGTGGGAGCCAGATTGGAGGGGGCTGGACGGTGAGTGGGAGGTGAAGATGTGGAGACAGGCCCTTCACAAGGCTCCCCCACAGCAAACAGGAGAGAGAGAACAGGAGCCATTGGGGCATGCGGTTGACGTGCCCATCCCTGCTCAGCCAATCCGGTGAATGTGTAAGGAGCCAGGTTGAGGTCACCCCTTCCCTGTGCACAAACCACTTTTGTCCATGCTGGTTTCTTGCAGATCTGAGATCTGATGGCTTTGTGTTGGGCTGGGAGTGCAGCGAGCACTGGCATCAAGGAAGGGGGCTTTGGATGGTTCCTACTCCATCTCCTCTCTCTTAGAAGATAAATGCATCCCAGTGATAGACAGATAGCTGCTACCACCAGCCTCCAACCCCAGACACCGTGGGAGGAGAAGAGAGATCAGAGACCCAGGCACAACTCCCATCGAGGCGCTCACTCTCAAATCACACCAAGTTGCTTAGATTTTCCTAAATGTGCTTCGTGTGTCGGCCCCTCCTGGCCTTTGCTTGTTCTGTTCCCCGTGCCTGAAATAGCCTTCCTCACCCACTGCCGATCTGTCTGGTGAATGCTGCATGAGTATTGAAAAACTCAGCTCAGGGGTCTCTTCTGTGAAGCCTCTTCTATCCTATACCTCCCACTGGGACTGGCCCCTCCTGCCTGAAGCCACTTCCGGGAGACTCGATTGTGCCACCCAGTTGCACTTTGCTGTGGTGTGAGCAGGGGGCTGTGAACTCAAGTGTTTCAGCCTGTTGTTGCCATGCTGGAACATGGGCCCAGTGTGGCCAGATCTCTGCTTTGTCATGAAAAGCCAAAAACCTTGATTTTTGATTTCTTGTATTTTTTTTTTTAGATTCAGGGGTACATGTGCAGATTCATTACATGGGTGCATTGCATGATGCTGAGGTTGGGCTTCAGTTGATCCCATCACCCAAACCCTGAACATAGTACCTGATAGGTGGTTTTGCAACCCTTGCCTTCCTCCCTCCCTGCTCTTGCAGTCCCCAATGTCTGTTGTTCCCGTCTTTATGTCCATGTGTACCCAGTGATTAGCTCCCACTTATAAGTGAGAAAATGCCATATTTCTTTTTCTGTTTCTGCAAAACCTTGATATTTTAACATGAAATCTCCTGATTTTTAAAACTCAGCCCAAATTTAAGAATTTTGGGCCGGGCGCGGTGGCTCACACCTGTAATCCCAGCACTTTGGGAGGCAGAGGAGGGCGGATCCCGAGATCAGGAGATCACGACCATCCTGGGTAACACGGTGAAACCCCGTCTCTACTAAAAAAATACAAAAAAAATTAGCTGTGCGTGGTGGCGGGCACCTGTAGTCCCAGTTACTCAGGAGGCTGAAGCAGGAGAACGGCGTGAACCCAGGAGGCAGAGCTTGCAGTGAGCAGAGATCACGCCACTGCACTCCAGCCTGGGTGACTGAGCGAGAGTGTCTCAAAAAAGTAAATAAATAAATAAATAAATAAATAAGAATTTTGAAACCACCATGCAAGCTAAACAAAACACATCTGCAGGCCAGATTCTCCAAGGACTACCATTTGCCGCTTGCTACAGGCCCCCTTTTCAGGCAGGGAGTGTATCTTATTTGCCCTGCACAGAGGGAGGTCTCTAACAGAGGGATGGGGTGAGGGGGGCGGGGGCAGGGAGAGGGGAACCCCAGCTTTGTTTCCAGAAACATAATTGTATCATTTCATAAAGTCCTCACAACAAAGCCTCAAGGTAGGCATTAGCTCATTTTCCAGCCAGGAAAATTGAAGCTCGGAGAGGTGAAGCGAGTTACCTGGGGACTCACAGCTAGTAAACTGCGAAGTTAATTCCAACCCTGGTCTATTTCTTCAGGCGTTCCACAAGGGCTGAATGCATGAAGTCAGCCAGGCGCTCAAACAGTGTCTGCAACAGGAGGCACTGCATAACTTTCTACTATACTTAACAATAGAATTAATGTTTTTTTGGTTTGGTTTGGTTTTTCAAGACAGGTTCTTGTTCCGTAGCCCAGGTGGGAGAGCAGCGGCGCCATCATAGCTCGCTGAAGCCTTGATCCCCCGGACTCAAGTGATCCTCCCACCTCAGCCTCCCTGAGTAACTGGGACCACAGGCACATGCCACCACACCCAGCTAATCTTTTAATTTTTTTGTAGAGACAGGGTCTTGCTATGTTGCCCAGGCTAGTCTCGAGCTCCTAGACTTAAGTGATCTGCCTGCATCAGCCTCCCAAGTGCTAGGACTACAGGCGTGAGCCACCGAGCCTGGCCTAATATTGTTAATAATTAATACCGTAATTGATTGGGCCTCTGTGGTTCTAGGTGCAGGGACAGAGTGGTAACCAGGAAAAGCAGGCTCCCTGCTCTCGTGGAGTGTGCACCGAAATGGGCCAGACATAAACACGAAAATAAATAAACAAGTAATTTCAGAGAGTCCTAAGTGGTACAGAGAGAGGTGCAGGGGTCCCAGGAAGGAAGATCTGCCCTCCCAAAAAGCTCCGGGGGCTTCCGTCCCCCACACAGTGCCACATTCCCAAGTGAGGCGGGTCATTTGTTTGGCACAGCTGAATTCCCTCTGGGATCCAATCCAACAGGTCTGATTTTCTTCCACACATTGTTAAACCAGATCTGAGCATTAAGTATTCAAGAAAGCCCCAATCTGCAAATATTTACCTTTCATTCAGCAGCATCTGACCCTCCCCTTGGGAGGCCCGATTAAGACGAAGGAGGGGACGACAGGCAGGGTGACGCTGGGAGGGTTTAATTCCAGATGTTTCTCAGGGGTGGGGCAGGAATTGGGGGGTGCAGGCCCTCCAATCCAGCAAACCCAACACATGTGCATACTGGTCCTTCCACATGACCATGTGCACATGCATACGCACACGCACACAGACGCGCACACACACACATAATACGCCTTTCTTCGACAGCGCTGAACACCATTTCAAATCTGCCCAACTGCTCCTCAGCCATGCAGTCGGCTCTTGCAGAGGGTAATCCAACAGGACATGGGTGGTGGGGGTAGGGGTGGGAAAGGGACAGTTTAATTTCTTCCTGTCCATCAGCCCCCGCAGGGCACTACCTTGTCGCTGGTCTCCAGGAGGACAGCAGGAAAGACTCGGATGAAATGGGCTCCAGAAAGCCCTCTCCCACAGATAGGAAACGTGGGGGCGTGAGGGAGCCCATGAGCTCTGTCCCACAGAATGCATCATACCAGAAACCCACTCACGGTCTGTCTCTCACCTCACCTGCCCCTCCTGCGATGAACTCCTCAGCCATGGGACTCCCTTTACTCTCATTGTGTGCCCAGGTCCTAGCTCAATACCCAGCAGAGATAATTGATCAAGCCTGAGAGGCCACACAGCACAGGGAAGGACTATGTGGCCTGGGCTTAAATCCCAGCTCTGGCACTTACCAGCTGTGTGACCTGGGGCAAGTCGCCCTCCCTCTCTGTGCCTCGATTTGCCACCTGTAAAATGGAGGTGACAATAACACTTACACATAGAAAGGCATCGCAGAAATTAACTGAGTCACATCTGAGGTATTTAGAGGAGAGCCTTATACAGGGCCACAGATAATAACGAGATTATCAGCCATGCTTCGAAATACCCTCGCCATCTCCATCCTAAGCTGGTCATGACCAAGCTCATGCTTCACTCTGGGGTCTGGTGAGGGCATTAGGAGCAGAAGGGACAGGAACTCACACACAAAAAGCCCTCCATGTGCCAGGCACTTGGCGCGGCATGTCACATGGGTTTTCAAATTTGAGCCTCCCTGAGACACCAAGAGCTCTGGATTCTCCCATCCTGGGTCACAGGAAACAGGCTCAAAGGGGCTCAGCGCCTCACCCCAAATTACATAGCAGCAAAGAGATAGATTTGGAAAACTCACTCCAAACCCCTGCTCTTTCCACAGCACCCTCTGTCCCCCGTGGAGGAGAAGGAAACCTGGGCAGGTGGGGCCATGGATCGCCCTCCCTTGAGTTCCTGGCTGCGGCTCCAAGGATGCTGGCCACTGTAAGATGTCAGCCCTGCATCTGAGCCATCCTGCAAACCTATGCAGACATCTATGTGCTCTGAGCTCTTTGTAGGGAAAGCACAAAAAAAAAAAGAAAAAAGGAAAAGAAATAGAACAGCCTGGCTAAGCTGAAATGCTCTCCTCAGAGGGGAAGGGAAATAAAATTTGATGAACCTCTGCATAATGTTCAAGTTATGAATGTGTAAAGTGATATTCTGCACATATGCTGGGAAGAATTCATCTTGGGGCTGAGCTGTTAGGAGCCATTGGAACTGGGGCACCAGCAAACAGCAGCTTCTTGTTGATGGGGTACGGAGAGGTCTTGTCTTCTGCCTCAGCAAAATGAGGTGTGTTTTACCCACAGATGCCCAAGGAGGTGAATCTCCGTAGCAGGGGTGGCAACTGACCGCAGTGCTAATGGGGCAGCTTTGGACATCTGGCTGCTTATGTGTCTATTGCAAACACTTGCTGAGTGCCCACTTCGGGCCCTGTGCCATGCTGGGCATTGCCACCATCCACAGCCTGGGACGAGATGAGCCGCATGCCAGGTTAGCCGGATCTTCCTGGCCACTGCTGCCTGGCCCGAGATTGAACACCTGACCTACACCGAGCAATCACATCCTCTCTCCTGGGGCTTTGGCATGGAAGTGCTGGGGCACTGAATCAGCGAGATGATGGTGGAGATGGAAATAAAAGAGCATGAGGGAGCCAGGGCTGAGGCCTCCAAAGACAAGAGTCTAGTCAATCACCAGAAAACCCTGAATGAGCTCCTAGTAGGTGCCTGGCCCAATTCTAGGCTCCTGGTCCACAGTGGGAAACAAGACGGCATAGGTCTTCTATCCCAGAGCTCACAGTCTGCAAACTGGCAAACAAATAAAGAAAATCCTGGCAGGTTGTATCAGGTGCTATGAAAAAATAGAAATGGTGCCAGGCATACTGGCTCATGCCTGTAATCCCAGCATTTTGGGAGGCTGAGGTCAGAGGATTGCTTGCGGCTAGGAGTTTGAAGCCATCTGGGACAACCAATAGCAAGGCCCCCATCTTTACTAAAAATGAAAAAATTAGCCAGTCATGGTGGCACATGTTACTTGGGAGGCCAAGGAGGGAGGACCACTTAAGCCCAGGAGGTCGAGGCTGCAGTGAGCTGTGCTTGTGTCACTGTACTCAGTCTGGGTGACTGATATGGTTTAGCTGTGTCCACCCAAATCTCATCTTGAATTGGAGTTCCCATAATCCTCATCTGTCATTGGAGGGATCCAGTGGGAGGTAATTGAATCATGGGGACAGTACCCCTAATAATGTCCTCATGATAGGGAGTTCTCATGAGATCTAATGGCTTTATAAGGGGCTTTTCTCCACTTTGCTCGGCATTTCTCCTTGCTGCCGCCATGTGAAGAAGGACGTGTTTGCTTCCCCTTCTGCCATACTTCTAAGTTTCCTGAGGCCTCCCCAGCCCTTCTGAACTGTGAGTCAATTAAACCTCTTTCTTTGATAAATTACCCAGTCTCAGTTGTGTCTTTATTAGCAGCATGAGAACCGACTAATACAGCAACAGAGTGAGACCCTGTCTCCAAAACATAAAAAATAGCAATGGGTTAGAGTGTCTAGGATAAGGTTGTGGGGAGTGTGTGTTTAGACCCAGTGATTAGGAGAGGCCTCACGGAAGCATCCCGTGGCACAGTAAGTAGAAAGGTCCCAAGGTGGGGACGCACTTGGAGTGCCTGAGGGATGGAAAGGAGGCTGATGTGGCTGGGGAAAGACACAGTGGCAGGCTGAGAGAGGGGCCTGTTACAGTCAGGGTACCTGTGTGGGTCTCCTCACCCCATGCGCTGCCATGCTTCTCTTCTGACTGAAACCCTCCCAAGGGCCCCACAGACAGTCCAGCTCCTCATTGCTGCCCCACCCTGCAGCCTCCTGTCCCCTTCCTCGTCCTCGTCCTCTGCTGAGCCCTGAGGATGTGCAGTGATGCCTTCCTGCCACTGAAAGGTGTTAATGCCCATCTCCTTCAGCTCCCCCAGAAGTAGGCCCTGTGATAAGGATTTGGGTAAAGGTAGTTTTCTTGAGGGGAGGCGGTCCCAGGAACTATGGGTAGGGAAGAAGGGAAGTGCGACAGGGAAGGGACGGAGCCAGCAGAGGATGTGATAAAGGCTGATCCCTGCTAAGGGCACCTGGAGACCAGTCCCATGGCAGAGCGTGCCCCAGGCCGTTTTGCACCCAAGGGTGGGAAGGTGGGTCTTCATCCACCAACACCCACCAACTCCTGACAGTATCAGTCTCCTGGGCATTCCAGTAAGCCCCACGTGTTGGGCAAAGCAGATTCTGGGGTCAAAGAGGGTCCTCAAGGCTGAGAGTCACATGGACTTGTGAGAAGCCCCCAGCCTGTTCATGAACTGTGAGTACTGAGCAGATCTGTCCAGGGCATAACAGCACCTGCATGGGCTCAAGCAGCTGCCTGAGTTAAATCCTGGGGCTGCCTCTTGAATCTGGGTGGCCTGATCCTGAGGCACTGCCAGCTCTGATTTTCTTCATTCTAGGAAAGAGCCACGCAGACCTGGGGCCCAACTCCCCTTCCATCACTGTGCAACCTTACATAAGTGTCTTAACTTCTCTGAGCCTCAGTTTTCCTCATCTGTAAAATGGAGCTAACAGTCCTAACTGCATAGTGAAGTCTTAAGGTTGAAATGAAATTCCTGGGCACAGGGCCTGGCACATAACTTGTGCTCCATAAATGGCAGTTATGATGGTTGACTCTGACCTAGGGCTGCTGTTCTATATCCCCTCTCTCAAGAGGAGAGACTGGGAGCATAGGGACCCCAGGCCAGATCGGCCATTCGCGGGTACCTCTAGGTGCTGCTACTGATTGGGATAGGCCTGGGAGGCAGACAGAGCTCAGAGAGAGTAACAGCCTGTGATTGTGCAAGCCCTGCCACAAACATAGGCACAGCAGCTCTAAGGATGTAGGCTGAGTTAAAGAGGGCAGCAGACCCTGACAGCCCAGAAGAGACTGGAGCAGCTAGCAGGGTGTAGGTTGGCACTAGGTTGGAGAGTGGTAGTGGTAGCTGGCCCATAGGAGCAGTTCTGGGTGGAGCCAGGAGAGCAGTACAGAGTGAGGTGGATACAGCAGAAACAATGAACTCATCCCCTGGAGGAAAAGCTCAGAAATTTCTGGTTTCAGGCTGCTGATGCTCTCTCTGAGTGGCTTCATCAGAAGAAGGTGTCTGGGAGGAGTTCTGCCTAAGGATATCTCCAGCTTCTAAACTCCTGAAATTCATCCAGCCAGCCTTCTGCCTGTCTGTCCTTCCACTCATACCTACTCATCTATACCTCTGCCTATTTACTTATCAATCCATTCATCCAACCATTCATCCATCTACCCATCCACCCACTCACCATTCCATCCATCCATCCATCCATCCATCCATCCATCCATCCATCCATCCCTTCACCTACCCATCCACCACTCATCCATCCATCCATCCATCCATCTACCTACCCATCCACCAACACACCTATCCATCCATCCATCCACCTACCCGTCTGTCCACTTGTCCATCCGTCCACCTACCTATCCACCCTATCCACCCAATCATCCATCCATCCATCCATCCATCCATCCATCCATCCATCACCTACCCATCCACTCACTCACCTATTGATCCATCCATTCATCCAGCCATCCATCTACCTACCCATCCACCCGCTCACCTGTCCAGCCATCTGTCTATCCATCTACCCATCCACTCACTCTCCTATTGATCCATCCATTCATCCAGCCATCCATCTACCTACCCATCCACC
Source organism: Homo sapiens (assembly GCF_000001405.40). Taxonomy (NCBI): domain Eukaryota; kingdom Metazoa; phylum Chordata; class Mammalia; order Primates; family Hominidae; genus Homo; species Homo sapiens. The sequence goes on from NC_000016.10 coordinate 27,828,262, forward strand.
CGCTCACCTGTCCAGCCATCTGTCTATCCATCTACCCACCCACTGTTTATTGTCACCTCCTCTAATCCCAGCTGGACCCTGAAGACTTGGGTGATTACATGTAGTTCCCAACATTGAGAAGCCATCCTCCTCCTGGAGCCATCACCAATCCCACAGCTGGGTCCTCTTTTCACTCAATGCCATGACAGAGCCCAAGAAGGAAACCTTGGTTCGGCTTCTTTATCTCTTTATCATGGTTCCAAGAAGCATAGGACCTAATGGTAAATGCTCAAACTTGGTTCCCTTCTGGGTTTCTAGTGCTTTGATCACATAAGCCCAAGGCAACCTCATGACCTATAAAACATTAAAATATCCCAGAAATTCTGACATAGTGGCGTCCAAACTCTGCCTTCTTCTGCCTCCCCCCTCCATAACCCCTCTGTCATACCATTCATTCCAGTTTTTGACTGGGGCCCGGTGGCCACTGAGGCCAGGCCGTGGGCTTTAGAGTCCCCGTGGTGGCCAGAGGTAACCCCCTGTGCACTGACCTCTCCCGGAAGTACTTGATGGCCTCAGGGTCTATGAAGGTCGGCTCTTCCCGGTAGCCCTGCTCAAAGACCTTGCGCTTGTGCCGGAACTCAATGACCGTCTTGGTGTAGGAGTTGAGCGTGGTGACAGAGGCTGCCATGCAGCAGGTAAAGGAGCCCCACGCCAGGCTGCCAAGAGATCAGGAGAGAGATGCCATCGTGAGGGTGGGCAAGGGACAGGAAAAATCCCACACCCACCAAACATTCATTCATCCCTGCATGGCTGCCTTTTCCTCTGGTACTTAAGCAGTTACTGCCACAGAGAAGGATAAGACTTGGTCCCTGCCCCACTCGCAGTCTGGGAGACAGAGAATTATCTGCACATTGTGATGCAGATGTAACAGAGTTCATTATGGGGAGGCAAGAAGAGAGTGAATCATTCTGTCCAAGGGGGCTGGCATCAAGGAAAGTTACCCAAAATACAGCGACACTTATGTTCAGTCTGGTAAGGAGAGTGAGAGTTGGCCGGGGGAAAGGGCATTCCAGGAGAAGGAATAGTGTGTACAAAGGCATGGAGGCATCAAACAGCAGGGAATGTTCTACAAACTGTGGGAGGTTTGGGGAGCAGAAGTGAGGATGCATGAGAAGATTAGCTGGAGTTGGTGATGGGGAAGGAGATGGGGGCAGACACCCTAAAAGCTCATTTTTTATGAAAGTTAAGTTACCTTTGTTCATGTATGACCCTGGGAAAGATGCCAACCCTTTCTGTTTCACATTCCTCATGACTATTTGTTTTAAACACAGGGATTCGCTCTGTTGCCCAGGCTGAAGTGCAATGGTGCGATCATAGCTTACTGCAGCCTCAACTTCCTGGGCTCAAGTGATCCTCCTGCCTCAGCCTCCCAAAGTACTGGGATTATAGGTATGTGCCACTGCTCCCAGCACCTCCTCACGTTCATCGTAATGGACAACAGCACTACCTCATAGGGTTGTTACAAGGATTAAAGGAGATGATCCACTGAAACCATCTTAGAATAGTGTCTGGCACATAGTAGGCACTCAAGAAAGTCTTGCTGTCATTATTATCATTAATATTAACATCCTCATTACCCACTTCCATATGACTTGGTTTGTAAACTCTCCCCCTGAGAGATGAGGTTATAATGAATGACCTGCTTGGCTTTCTCCTCCACAACTTTCTGTACAGCTGGGACTCTTGGCAGCCCTCACTTGATGTACATGCTGAGCCCAGCCCAAACCTGGAGAATTTGTCCTATCCACACTTGGAAAGGTAGGAAGGGTGGGGTAGAGCGAGGAGACTCAGCTGATCCAGTTCCAGCCTAGAAATGGCCTGCCTGTTTCCTCTGATCAAGACTATGCATTCAACGTTTAGTACCAGGAGTGGGGTACCTGCCTGGCCTCAGTTACCTCTGGCCTGGCTCCTGGATCCCTGTTCTTCAGTCTCTGCCTTGGTAACTGGTTTCCTCCAAATCAGGGACTCAGTTTTGCTGTTCCAACCCTGCATTTCCTGGGAGCTCCAGGCCTCCCCTGCTGCCAGCCCACCCAGCTGGTTTCTAAACATCATCACCACCCCTGCATTCCCCATGGTCAATGAAGCCCACTGCCTGCACCCACTGCTTTTCCCCTTGACAGCCCCTGAGCACCCCAGAAGGAAAGCAAGGAAAAAATCTGAGGACTCTGCCTTTCTCAAAGGGATCCTCAAAAGGACCATCTATTTCCCTTAACACAAAACCCATTGATAGAGTTCCCATTTCTTTCATGATAAGGAGCTGATGTAGATCTTCCAGAAGCCCTGACTGTCTGTAATAGACAGTTTTAGGATATCAGCCCGGCCCCTCTAAGAGCTTCCCTGTCCACCAAAGTGTCCAGCATGTGACTCACCACCCCCCACCATTCATAGATGACGGGACAAGGGCTGACCATCTGGTGAAAGCTGGTCCAATCAGATACTCTCTCCTGAGCAACAAAGCTGAAGATTCTACTTCAACCTGGGATGTCTCTTTATACTAGCATGATGGAAACTCAGAACCCGAGGATAGAGAATGAACAAGTAGGCTTTTTCTGGATTCCATGAGTAAGGAGTATGTTGGTTTTGCCTGCTCAGTAGCCATTCTTCCTTTTGGTAACCACACTCCAATTCTGTTAAGGGATCACTCCCTTCTTCTCAGGCCATTTGTTTTGTGTGGGGCTGGCCCCAACCCCAACATCCATGTGAGCACATGACCTCGGCTTGGCTAATGAAAATGCTGCTTTTCTCTGGCAACAGTAATTGGTTGGGGGGTGGGCACATGACCCAAGTCAGGTTCATGAGACTCAACTCCTGGACTTGGCTGAAGCTACTGGGAAACAAAGCTCATCTTTCTTCTGTGGTGCTAAGCTGGTGGGATTTGAGCCAGGAGTTGCTGGGGACCCTCTTGCCACCACCCAGCCTGAGAATGAAATTGACCCAAAAGAAAGCAGAGCCATGAAAAGGGGCTGGATCCCTGAGCTGAAGCCATTATCCCTGAACTTTTCAATCATGGAAGTCTCAGTTTCTTTTTATTTTTTTTCCTTGATTTTTTTCTACCCTGAAGCCAGTTTGAATTGAGTTTTGGTCATTGGGAACCAAAGTTATTATATGTTTACTTGCTATAAATTCTCCTTTTTTGCATGAGTTAGTTTTGACGTGAATTTCTAGTCTTTATAGCCAAGGATCTTAAGGGTGACCAAGTCTGGCTCAACCCTGATGGCCCAGTCAGGGGACAGAGCAGGGGATTCTCAAACTAAAGGCCTGAGCAAAGAAAAATACCTTGCATGAGTGGTGGAGTCCAGTAACTGAGTGTGTGGAGGGAACTTCCCTGGGGAGAGAGGGGGTTTGCTAGAGCCCAAGGGCCCCAGAAACAGATGCTATGCGGTGGAGCAGAGCCAGACAGGCAATGGCTGGACAGGCACAAAGTCAGACTGTGCTAGAAGAAAAGCCTACATCCCCGCCTTTCCATGTACTTTACATGCAAGATCTTTTTTCAAATAACATGTCACCCTGAGCTTGATTTCTCAGGCTCTCCACATCCCAGCCCTACGGTCTCTTTTCCACTCCTCAAAAAACTCAAAGCTCATTCCCAAACCTACCTCCCCCATTGCCTTCCCTCCCTGTGGAATCCCTGGACTCGCTGCTTTCCAAGCTTTACCCAGGCTTTTTGCCCAGCTGGTCCCTTCTCACCTGTGAATGTCACCCCTTCCTCAGTGGGCATTTTCTGTCTACCATCTCTAAGAAGCCCCCTCTCCATCATTCTGTATCACATGCCCCTGTTTAGTTTCATCTCAGCCCTTATCACACCCTGTGATTCTTTTTATCTTTTTTCCTTTCATTTATTTACTCTTGTTTTTCAATTAAATTTTTCCTTTTGAGATAATTACAGATTCACAAACAGCTGTAAGAAATGATATAGAGAGAGAACCCATGTGCCCTTTAGCCAGTTTCCCCCAATGGTAAACTCTTGCAAAACTAGTGTAATACAATATTACAATATCACAAGCAGGATATTGACATTGATACAGTCAAACTACAGACCAAGGATCTCTTCTGTGCCATTTATAGCTACAGCCACTTCCCTCCTGACCTCCCACAAATCCTGAAAGCCACCTGTTCTTCATTTCAATAATTTTACCTCTTCAAGTATTTTACATAAATAAAATCATACAGGAGTATGTATGGGATTGGCTTTTTTTCACCCAACATAATTATCTGGAGCATCATCCAAGTTGTTATGTGCATCAGTAGTTTGTTCCTTTATATTGCTAAGTACAGTATTCCTGCCAGCAATGTATGAGTTTCTTCACATCCTCACCAGAATTTGGTGGTGTCACTATTTTTTATTTTAGCTATTCTGATAAACGCGTAATAATATCTCATTGTGGCTTTAATTTGCACTTCCGTAACAGCTAATGAGGTTGAACAACTTTTCATTTGTTTATTTGCTATCTGTGTATCCTCTTTGACAAAATGTCTATTGGTGTTTTTTGCCCACTTTCTAATTGGATTGTTTTGTTGTTGTTTACTGTTGGGGTTTTAGAGGTCTTTGTATATCCTAGAGATTAGTTCTTTGTCAGAAATGTGGTTTACAAATATATTCTCTCAGTCTATAGCTTTCTCATCAATCTCTTAATAGGGTCTCTTGTGGAACAAATGTATTTAGTTTTGATGAATTACATTAATCCATTTTTCCTTTTATGTGTTTGATATCAAATATAAGAACTTTTTGCCTAGCCCTAGATTCCAAAGATTTTCTCTTACTTTTCTAAAAGTTTTACAGTTTTACATTTTATACTTAAATCTGTGATCCATTTTAAATTAATTTTTGCAAGTGGTGTGCAGTTTAAAGTAAGGCTGATTGTTTATTTTTGCCAGTGAATGTCCAATAGCTCCAGCACCATTTGTTGAAAAGGCCATTCCCTGCCTGCCCCACCCCTGCCACTACCACACACCCACACACAGTGAACTGATTTGTACCTTTGTCAAAAATTAGTTGGGCATATCTGTATTGGTCTATTTCTGAGTTCTCTATTTTTTTTTTCATTGATCTATGTGCCTATCCTTCCACTAATATCACACAGTCTGGAGTATTGTAGCTATACAATAAGTTTTCAAATTGAGTACTCTAATTCATCCTGCCTTATTCTTCTTTTTCAAAATTGTTTTAGAAATTCTAATTCCTTTGCCTTCCCATATAAATTTTAGAATACTTTTCTCTATATTTATAAGAAATTTGATGTCTTCTCTATATACTGAGTGTTCTGATCCATGAACATAGTATATCTACCCATTTATTTAGATCTTCCTTGATTTCTTTCATTGGTATTATTCTGTGGTTTACAGTTTTCAGCGTACAAGTCCTGTAAGTGTTTTGTTAGATTTATGTCTATTTCACTTTTTTAGTATAAATGATATATATTTTTAATTTTGTTGTCCGAATGTTCATTGCTAGTTTATAAAAATACAATTGATTTTGTATTTTTATCTTCTATCCTAAGACAACACTAAACTTATTTATTAGGTCTAGGCAATTTTTTTGGTAGATTCCTTGAATTTGTCTACACAGATAATCATAACATCCACAAATAGTTATATTTTATTTCTATTACAATCTGTATACTTTTTATTTTCTTTTCATGTCTTATGTATTGCATGTCTTTTATGTCTTATTTTTAGTTAGAACTTCCAGCACTATGTTGAATAATAATGGTGTTCTCAATCTTAGAAAGAAAACAGTCTTTCAACATTAAGTATAATGTTAGCTGTAGATGTTTTATAGATGGTCTTTATCAAGTTGAGGAAGTTCCCCTTTATTCTGAATTTTCTGAGAGTTTTTTAAAAAGTATGAATCAATGTTGAATTGTGTCAAATGCTTTTTCTGTATCAATTAATATGGTCATGTGATTTTTTTATTCTTTAGCCTGTTAATATGGTGAATGACACTGACTGATTTTTCAAATATTGAAGCAGCCATAATCCCTAGAATAAGCCCCACTTATCATGACGTATAATTATTTTTATATATTGCTGACTTCTATGTGCTATTGTTTTGCTAAGGATTTTTGCATCTATATTCATGGTGTCTATTAGTCTGCGGTTCTTTGCACTATCTTTGGTTTTAATAACGGTAATGTTAGCTTCATAAAGTGAATTGCAAAGTTTTCTCTCCTCTTCTATTTTCTGAAAAAAAAAAAGTGCTAATTCTTATTTAAATATTTGGTGGAATGTTCCAGTAAAACCATCTGGACCTGGAGATTTCTGTTTTGAAAGTTTTTATTTATAAACTAAATTTCCTTAGTAGTTATAGGGATATTCAAATTACTTATTTCGCATTTGGTAAATTGTGGCAGTTTGTGCTGTTAGAAAAACTGATCTATTTCATCCAGGCTGTCAAAGTTATGTGTGTAGAGTTGTTTGTAGTATGATCTTACTGTATTTTTGATGTCCTCAAAGTCTGCAGCAACATCCTCTGTTTCATTCCTGAATTGGCATTTTGTGTCTCTCCTCTGTCCGCTCTCTCTGTCACTCTTGCAAGAGGTTTGTCAATTTTATCTTGTCAAAGAACCAGCTTTTTTGTTTCATTGATTCTATTATTTTTTGTTTTCAATTGTATTGATTTTTGCTCATCTTTCTTCTGCTGGCTTTGGGCTTATTTTGCCCTTCTTTTTCTAGGTTCTTGGGATGAGAGCTGATTTGATTTGAAACATTTCTCAATTAGATCCTATTGGTTGATGATGTTGAGTTCTTTTATATCCTTGGTGATTTTCCATTTGGTTGTTCTATTAATTGTTGAGAAAGCCATATTGAAATCTCTAATTATAGTTATGAATTTTCCTATTTCTCCTTTCAGCTACATCAATTTTTCCTTTACAGATTTTCAGCTCTGATGTTTGGTGGATACATATTTAGGATTGCAATGTCTTCTTAGTGGATTGACTCTTTTATCACTATTTAATGTCTATTTCTGGTTATTTTATTTGCCTGAGTCTACTTTATCTAATATTAATATAGCTAATCCTGCTTTCTTTTGATTAATGCTTACATGATAGATGATTTTCATCCTTTTACTTCCAGCCTATCTATCTCCTCATACTTGAAGTGAGTTTCTTGTAGACAGCACATAGTTTTGGGTCATATGTTTTAAATCCACTCGGCCAATTTCTGACTTTTAATTGGTGTATTTAAACCATTTACATTTAAAGTGATTATTGATATGTTATGGCTTAGGCCTGCCACCTAATTTTGTTCTTTCCTGCTTGTTCCTCTGTTTTTTGTTTCTCTTTTCTTTTTTCTTGTGTTCCCTTGGATTTCTCAAACAGTTCTTAGAATTCCATTTTGATTTATCTATAGTTATTTTGAGGGTATCTCTGTATATAGCTTTTTTAGGGGTTGCTCTGGGTCTTACATTATATATACATAACTAATCACAGTCTACTGGTGTCAACATTTGAGTAAAGCATAGAAATCTTGGCTCCCTTTGTGACCCTTTACTTTCCTTCATTTATAATATAATTGTCTTAAATATTTCCACTGTATACATTTAGAATCACATCAGACTATATCATGATTTCTGCTTCAACCATCAAACATAATTTAGAAAACTCAAAAGGAGAAGTAAAGTTTCTCTGTCCATTTTTCATTCATTCTTTCTTATATTCAAAACCCCTTTTTAAAATTTCCATTTTGTTTAGAGAGCTCCCTTTAGCCTTTCTTTTAGGGTAGGTCTGCTGGCAACAAATGTTCTTAGTTTTTCTTCATCTGAGGATGTCGTGATTTCCCCTTCATTTCTAAAGTATATTTTTGCCACGTATAGAATTTTAAATTGATAGTTCTTTTCTTTCAGCATTTTCATTTTCTTTTTCTTTCAAAATGTTGTGCCACTTCCTTCTAGCCTCCATGGTTTCTGATGCAAAATCCACTGTTGCTTGAATTTTTTCCCCTGTAGTTAGGGAGGATGTTATTTTCTCACTGTTTTCATTTTTTTTTTTTTAACTTTAGTTTTTTTTCAAGTTTGACTGTGATGTGTCTTGGTATGGATTTCTTTGAATTTATACTATTTTAGAGATTCATTCAGCTTTTGATTCTGAAGGTTTATGTCTTTTACAGGATTTGGGAAGTTTTCAGCCATTATTTCTTTCAGTACTTGGTCCAGTCCCATCCTCTTCCTCCTTTTCTTCTGGGACTCCAGTGTTATATTTTTGGTTGTAGTTCTAGAGGTCCTTAAGGCTCTGTACATTTTTTTAAGTTTATTTTCTCTCTGTTGTTCAAATTAAATAATTTCTATTGTCCTATCTTCAAGTTCATTGATTCTTTCCTTTGTCCCTTCCATTCTGCTGTTGAGCCCAACCATTGAGCTTTCTATTTTGGTTATTGAATTTTTTAGTTTTAAAATTGCCATTTGGTCCTTCTTTCTATCTTCTACTTCTTTCCTGAGACTTTCTATTTTTCCAAGGGTGTTTGCAACTGCTTGTTGAAGCATTTTTATGATGATTTTTAACATTTCTGTCATTTCAGCATGGATCTATTGATTGTCTTTTTTTGTTCAAGTTGAGATCTTGCTGGTTCTTGGCATGGTATGTGATTTTAATTGCAACCTTGACATTTGGAGTATGTTTTGAGACTCTGGATCTTGTTTAAACTGTCTGCTCTAGTTGGCTTCCTTTCACATCATTCTGGCAAGGTGGCTTTGGCGAGGTGGAGGCTCTGCCCAGTTACTTCCAGGTAGGGGTAGAAGTCTAGGTTTCCCACTGGGCGAGTGTATTAGTCTGTGTAATTTATAAAGGGAAGAGGTTTAACTGACTCAGTTCAGCATGGCTTAGGAGGCCTCAGGAAACTTATAATCATGGCAGAAGGTGAAGAGGAAGCAGGCACTTTCTTCACAAGGCCACACGGGAAGGAGGAGTGCCGAGTAAAGGTGGAAGAGCCCCTTATAAAACCAGCACATCTCATGAGAACTCACTATCACAAGAACAGCATGGGGAAACCACCCCTATGATCAAATTACCTCCACCTGGTCTCTCCCTTGACACGTGGGGATTATGGGGATTACAATTCAAGGTGAGATTTGTACAAGCCTAACCATATCAGCCACCATTGACATTCAAGATGGAGATGGTTCCTGGTTCTTACCAGGTGAGGGTGGGGGTGGGAGTTCTGACTCCCCATTAGGCCTCTGCTGATACCTGGCTGGGAGGGGCCAGGGGGCCTCATCCCTGCTCCCCACACATCACTGACACCATGGGGAGGGAGATGTTCTTATTACTACAAGGCAGTGGCAAAAATCCTGACTCTCCACTAGTTCTCCTCTGACACAATCCCTGCAGGGAGAAAGGGGCACCTTGTTACTGCCCAGCAGAGATGAAAGTCCACCTGGTGATTGTCACCAAAATCTAACCACTCATTCCCTTCCTGGCATGGGTGTGGGTGAAGCCACAGATTTTTCTTTTCTGTAATGTGTGACTGGAGTAGTGAAGTTATTGCTAAATGTTTTCTGTCTCAGTGGGCTGACCCTTTCTTGGTCCTTTGGCTAGAGAAAGCGGACTTTAGTTGGGCCTTTTTTTTTTTTTCTGTCCTTTAGGCATTTCTGAATTGCTGACTTCTTCAGCTCCAAATCTGGGATATGTAACACAAAAAGAACTCAGCAATGTGTCGTTTCTTGGTACCTAACCAGCCTACTGTCTTCTTCCTGCCTTTCAGAGTCTTCTGATGTCTGTTTTATCTTTAGGTCCAAGGATTGTGGTTGTATTGAAGAAGCATGTCTACTCTGTCTTCTCAGAATTGGAATCCTTAGTGTTTGTTTTTTAAGATTATCTCCTCTTCTATCCCAGAATGCCAGCTTCATGAAAATGGGAGCCTCGTTCACTTCACTACTATCCCTTAGCACCTAGAATGGTGCCTGGCACATAATAGGTGCTCAGTAAATACTTGTGGAATGAATGGATAAACACAGATAAAATAAAAACAGAGAAAAGGACAGATATGAAAACACTGCTCTGGTTTTAGCATGGGTGAGAGGCTATATCCATGAGCCTTCATCTCCCTGTTCCTCTCACCCCCCAGGGCCCCAACGCACCCACAAAATACACAGTTTGAAAACTCTGGGGCCAGAACACCTGCTGGTTTTAGCAGCTTGTACTTCTGAACTGGCACACGGAGCTGCGTGGGTGATTGGCCTGGTTTCCGGAGCCAAGAGCAGATTGGACACCATAGGGAGAAAAGGGGAGGGTGGTGACAGGGGTTGTCAATTCTTCATCCCCTGGGAGCAGCAGGGGCAGAGGGACACAGGGGGAGCAGATTTAGAGGCACATAGACACCACCTTGCAACCTACTCCAGGCCCTGCCCAGTGGGGAGGTTGTAATGGATCACTAAGGAAGGCTGCCTTGGCTGCCTGCAGACCAGAGGGGTACAGATTCACCATGTGGGGCACGGCTGGGCACAGATGCATAATCCAGGCCACCCTCAGGGCCCAAGAGCTGATGGGACTAGGAGCTGGATAGTGGCAGGCTCTGAGGGCCCAGCTGGTCCCTCCATGGCCCACAGGGCACCCTTGGGCAGCCACATCCCTTTCCCCAACCCTGGTCTTAGAATAAAGGAGGCCGCAGCCACCTGCCTCAGGCTGATGAGTAAGGGCAGACTTCCTGCTGATCACACAGCCTCTCAGCAGAGACATCAGCACACACACCCTCTCCAGTTGTCTTTGGGGCCCAGGCTCTGGTAGGGTCACAGCAGCAGACTCAACCCCTTAAGGGATTGGCCTGCTGGAATACCAGCTAACCCCTCCAGAGAGCAAAGGGGCCGCCTGGGGTCCCCAGAGAGGAAAGAGGCTGGTCTGCTGTTTCCACATAGTCATGGAGACTAGAAAGGGAGGGACAGCAGTGAGGCCTATATTCCACAGGGACAGGGCCCCAGAAACAGAAAGGGGCCACTAGGACAGGAGTGAGAACCTTCCCTAGATCTGGCCCAACTTGCTACTCTCTTGCTGTGTGACATGGGCCAAACTGCATAACTTCTCTGGGCCCTCCAGCTCTTATAAGCTTCCACACCACGATGTCCCACTACCCTCAGTCTGCAGAGTGAATGCTTGAGATAAGATTTCACTGTGTGTGCAGGAGTAAGAGGAGAACTTTTTCCATTTCTCTCCAGACTGATAAAAGGCAAAACAGAAGCAGAAAGCGCAAGGCTAGCTTTCCACACTCCTGCTGTCACCAGGAAAGCTGACATTCCAAGCAGGGGCCACAGACTCAAATTCCTGCAAGGTCAGGCAGATGATGACTAAGTGTGGAAGCGTGGGTAAATGTAAGGCAATAGGGTGTGGTGGGGACTGGGGTGAGCTGGAGACCAGATGCCTATCTAAAGTTTCAGTCATTCTCAGCCTTATCTCCAGGCTGCCTGGTGGCAATGCTGGTTGTGCAGGAACAGATCTTCCAATGATCATGAATCAGAAACCTGGACTTTTATGTAGAAGTTTTACCATTTTAGATGTTAGAAATAAATCCAAACTTTTATAAGACACAATGGCAGGCCTAAGAAATCATCCGCAGGCTGGGTTCAGCCCCGGCTGCATGCAGTTCACAGTATCCAAGGCTAATTGTGTGGCTTTCAACCTGTTTCCTGGTCCCTGAAGGGGGATGGCAGCCCCTCTCCTGGGGATCAGTGACAGGACCAGGCAACTCGGGGCTTGTAAAGTGCCTCCCACTGTGCACAGCACAAAGTAGGTGTAGTAACCTTAATCTTTTTTTTTTTTTTTTTTTTTGAGACAGAACCTCCAGCCCAGACTGGAGTGCAGTGGCACGAACACAGTTCACTGCAGCCTCAACCTCCTGGGCTTGAGTGTCCCTCTCACTTTACCCTCCTGAGTGGCTGGGACTACAGGTGTGCACCACCACAGCCAGCTAATTATTTTTATTTTTTATTGTTTTAGAGATTGGGTCTGGCTATGTTGCCCAGGCTGGTCTTGAATTCCTGGCCTCTGGCGATTCTCCCACCTTGGCCTCCCAAGGTGCTGGGATTACAGGTGAGTCACTTTGCCCAGCCCCTCTCCCATCTTGGCCTCTCAAGGTGCTGGGATTACAGGTGAGCCACTTTGCTCGGCCCCAACCTTAATCTGATTCACTTGGTCCCTGCCACGTTAAGCCAAGCAGCTGCTTGGGCGCCCATCAGGGTCCTGACCTGACGTTGTCACAGGTAGGGAGAGCTGAGACATGGCGCCAAAAGGAGGAGTGGGCAGGAGGGCTCGCACTCACCGAGCAAACTCTGTGCTGAGTGCTCCACATGCATTGATTCACTAGCTCCTCGTGTTGGTTACTGTCTCCAAAGCTGGCCTCCAGGGAGCCACACCTCCCGCGGTTCATGCCTCCCCTTGAAGCTGGCCCTGTCACTTGCTCTTAACCAATAGAATGCAGCAGGAGTGACACTGTGTGATTTCTGAGGTTGGCTCATGCAGATACTGTGGTTTCCACCTGGGTCTCCTGGAACACTCACTCTTGAGATAGTCTCCCCAAGGACCCAGCCTCCAGGCTGTGTGAAGCCCCTCCGGCCGCCAGCCACCGCCAGCCGGCACCAGCTGCCAGTGTCATGAGGTGCCACCTTGGAGGTCCACCCCAGCCACGCCCCAGATGACCTCAGCTTCAGGTGACATCCAACTGAAGCTTCGAGGAAGAACCCAGCAAGCACCACCCAGATGAGCCCGGTCCACCACCAAACGTAAGAACAAATAACAACACATTTTTACTAGTTACTATTATTACTACATAATAACATATTTTTTACTAGATTTGGGGGTGATGTGTACACCTCAACAGAGAAATGGAATACAATTCAAGAGACCCCCATGAGGCGGAAATTCGGGCTGTCCCATTTTCCAGCTGAGGACACAGAGGTGCAGAGGAGGTAAGTGACTTGGCCAAGGTCCCCGGCTGGTGAGGGGCAGGGGCAGGATCTGAACCTGAACTGTCTGACTCCAGGAGCCACACCCTTGACCGCCCCTCCACGCTGCCACAGTGGCCCAGCAGTGTATGTCGGGGTGAGATTTGAACCCCAGGCTGTCAGACTCTTAACCATGGAGACCTTCTACTTCTTGCAAAGGTGTCCCTCTAAGAAACCGGCACTCAACCGGCTTTGAGCGCCTCAAAACCCCTCCAGCTTCCAGAGACCCTGCAGCTTGTTCTTCCCTGCTGGGCAGGAAGACAGAGGTGGGTGCCATCTCTTCTCAGAGCTGTTCTCCTCTCCAGTACCGGGGGAGGGAGCAGGGGAGGCTCTCGGGCCAGGATTTTGACAAATGGCCTCACACATATTAAACAAGAGAGATGACATGGTGCAGCCCTGGCGAGGCCCCAAATGTGAGGGATGAAAAACGGGGCTGATCCATCTTGCAGGTCTCAGTGACAGGGAGAAATGGATCAGCACTAATAGGGGCTGCACATTGGGCCCCGGCCTTTAATAAGTCCAGTGGGAATTCGGTGCCCCTTGGGAGGCCAGCCCCGAAGGAGGGAGCAGAGGAGCAGGGCAGAAATCCCTGGCTTCCAGGGAAAGAATGTTCCCCTGGCTGACACCAGCAGGCTTGACTTGAGACACTGAGCACCAGAGGAGAGAGCCAGGGCCTTCTGGAAAGGGGGACTCATGGGGAGGAACCAGTTCCTACCAGGGCAAGTGATTCAAACTTTCTGATTCTCAGCATCTGCATATGCAACACGAGGTTACTGCATGTGTTAAACTTCTTATCAGTAGCATGATATTGCTCATGTTAAATTTCATATCAGTAGCACGATGTCGCGCGTGCCGAATTTCACATCAGTAGCACGATGTCGCGCGTGCCGAATTTCACATCAGTAGCACGATGTCGCGCGTGCCGAATTTCACACCAGTAGCACGATGTCGCGCGTGCCGAATTTCACATCAGTAGCACGTTGTTGCGCGTGTTAAATTTCATATCAGTAGCAACAATATAAGAGCTGGTGTTTACTGAGAACACACCATGTGTGGAACATCACAGAAAGCACATCAATGAACTCTCATTATTACCCATCTTCTCAGAGAGGCTTCCAGTATGGCTCTAGAGCCAGACTGCCTGGGTTTGAATCCCAGCTCTACCCCTCGCAGCTGGAAGACCTCAGGGCAGGTTACTTAAGTTCTCTGTGCCTCCATGAAATACCTACCTGATTCATGGCACATCAGCGCTCAGTAAATCTAAGATATTATTACACACATGGTCAACACAAATATTAGTTCCCTTCCTCTGTGCCCTTCTCTAGCTCAGGGAGAAGATCTTCCAAGTTCAAGGTCTCAGGAAGGAACAGCTGCAGGGGGAAGGGTTGGGTAAAGGGAGGTCAGAACCTCAGCTGGCTTCCCTGGGATTGTTCTACTTAAAGGGATCGGGGCCAGGGTTAATGGGTCAAGGTCCCTTTAAGGCAAATGCTTTTGGTTTTAAAAGGATGGAATTGAGCAGAGAGTGGAGATGGAGCTGGGGTGCCCACTGAACTGGTATGGGGTCTTTTTTAAAATTATAATCATAGTCCCTCCTGCTCCATTCTGAGATGCTCTCTCACCTCCAGGTCCTTGGACCTGCTGTTCCCTCTGCCTAGCACCTGATTCCCTCCTGTTTTGCCTTCAAAATTCTTCCTGGGGACCCGCCCCACCCAAAGCTGTGTCAGTCAATGCCCTTCCTCTGTGCTCCTGCAGCTGCCTGTGAACTCTCCTCCCCACACACATCTACATCACAGCACAGTTCAGATACAGCTGGTTCACTTGTCTCAATCCCTGTTGCAACGCTGTCTCAGCACTGCTGCATCCCGAGCACCTAGAAGAACAGCTGTCCTAGAGGAAGTACTCAGTTAATATGTGTTAAATGACTGAATGGGTAAATGCTCCCCAACTACCAGCCCCAGACCTGGATACCCTGTGTAGTGGACAATTGTGGTCTCTGTCTTTCCAGCCTGAAGAGACTTCCCCTACTTCTCTTTCTGTCCAAGGGTTTGGGTGAGGCTAATGCCACGCTCTGGACCATGTGGCTCAGGTCATTCCAGTCTCCCCCAGGGTCTAAATCATTGGTTCAGGTTTGGTCACATACTTAAGCTAAGCCAATGAAAGTCATAACCAGGATTTTAGCTGGAAATATGGGAAAGAAACCCTATCTCTCTGCTGGTATTGCTACAATTTTAAGATGGAAGTCTGGCACTCCAGCCTGGGTGACAGAGCAGAGACTCTGTAAAAAAAAAAAAAAAAAAAAAAAAAGGAAGGCTGGTCTGTGCATTGTGATAATCTTTGCTAGCATTTGGGGAAAAGCTGTTTGAGAATGAAGCCAACACCAATTCAAAGGGAAGAGAGACAAGATAAGGAGAGGGCATGAGGGCATGACTGGGTTCCAGATGAAATCTGGTCACCTGGATCCAGCTGTGTCTGAAGCAGACTTTGTGGTAGCTCACTCAGCATCTATTCCATCCACTCACCATTTGAGAGGTTTTGACTCATTCTTTGCTCCAGAGGTGGGCTTGGTCAAACTAAGGGAATAAGCTCATGATATTCCCCCAGCTGTGGCAATGAATAAGGAGAGAGAATATGACCTAAGCCCACCAGAGGGAAGCTTGGGACTCTAGTCAATCTTGGAGAACAAGAGGCCCTTTCTCTCCTACAAGGGAAGGAGAATGCACCAGCCTTAGGAAGAGCTCTCCCCAACAGGGAAGCCAGCCCAGCAACAAAGTAAACATGTGGAGGGTGCCAAGCTCAGATGACTATACAGAGGAAGAGAACTCAGCCCTTATGACCTCAGTGACTCTGGAACAAACGTGTCCTGAAGTCCACACCATAGCTGTGCTTTTCCTTTCCATGAACCAATGTATGATATCTCCTTACTTAGACTGATGCAGGTAGGTTTTTCTGTTACAACCCAGAGCACCCTAGCTGATCCACCTGGACTTTCCAGTTACACAAACAAATGAACACCCCTTGTTCACTTACGCTTGGGATTCTATCACTCAAAAGCAAAAGAACCCTGACTAATCATGCCTTTCATATGCAAACCCTGCTTTGAGGTGCTGACCTGTTTCCTGTATTCAGAGCCCCTCACTGGAGTCCACCTACCCCATCAGACCACCCAGAACCCTCCACAGCTCGCCTAACTTCAGGTCTTGCCAGCTTCCATCTCCAACCTTCCATAGCACGCCTCTTAGGCAGGGGTCGGCAGGGGGTCAGAGAGTATTTTTGACTTTGTGAGCCATTCAGTCTCTGTCACCACCGCCCAGTGCTGCCATCTCAGTGTTAAAGCAGCCGTGGATAATATAAAACAATGAGAGTAGCTGTGTTCCAAGAAAACCTTATTTATGGACATTGAAATTTGAATTTCATGTAATTTTCACATGTCACAAAACAGCATTCCTCTTCCTTTGATTTATTTTCTTAGCAGTTAAAAATCCAAAAGCCATCCTTAGCTTGAGGGCTGCATATAAACAGGTGGTGGGCCAGATTTGACCCACAGGCCCTAGTTTGCCAATCCCTGCCCTGGGGTCTTAAAGCGCCTTTGGACTACAGCCCCTCCAACTCTCCCCATTTCTCCTCCCCCCCACCGCCCCCCACCCCACTGGGCTGAGCTGCTGAAGTCCCAGCGTGCCTTGGGCCCTGGTGCCTGAAGCTGCTCTTGTCCTGAAGGTCCACTTACCAGAAGGACCACCCGTAGTCCCAGGAATGGGGTCTCCAGTCCTCAGGACCGAGGCTCACGGTGACCTGGAACACCTGCGTGTACATCATGTGGGCGACCATTCCCAGGAGGCCTGTGGGGCAGAGAGCAGAGCAAAGCGTCAGGAAGTAAGGAAGGGCTTTGTCCCCACACACCCACAGCCTCTCTGCTGCCTGCCTGCCTGTCTGCCTGTGATCACTGTGGAGAACAGGGACCTCTGGGTAAGGGAGGTCAGCAGGAACAGAGCTTGGGAGGCCAGAGAGGGTAGTTCTCTTTTCTTTCTTTCTTTTTGTTTTTAAGACAGGGTCTTGCTCTGTTGCCAGGCTGAAGTGCAGTGGCACGATCATAGCTCCTGGGCTTAAGTGATCCTTCCATCTCAGCCTCCTAAGTAGCTGGGACTACAGGTGTATGCCACTATGACAGGCCAATTTTTTGTATTTTCATTTTTGTAGAAATGAGCGTCTTGCTATGTTGCTCAGGCTGGTCTCAAACTCCTGGGATCAAACAATCCTCCCACATCAGCCTCCCCAAGTGCTAGGATTAGAGGCTAAATTGTTTATGTTTAAAGCATTTTCCCCCATCTAGTAAGAAGACCCAGCTGTAGAGTGGGCTTTGGCTGGGGTCAGGGGACCATTATTTTCTCAGTGTTTTGTAGACTTTCCACTCTTTTAAGACAGAGCAGAGAAAACTGCCTGGCTGCTAATGGGAGAATGGGGACCCCAAAAGCCTATTATATTTCTCTTAGTACTAGTGAGCTTGAGCATTTTTCACATTTATTAACCACTTCTAGTTCTGCTTCTTTGAATGTCTGTATCATTTGCCAATTTTCTTTTTGTTTTTAAAAATCTTTTTCCTTATCAATTGGTAGGAATTCTTTGTGTATTCTGAATATTAATCTTGTCTGTTGCATAGATTACACCTTTTTAAAACAATTAATAAACTTTTTTTTTTTTGAGAAAGAGTCTCGCTCTGTCACCCACGCTGGAGTGCAGTGGCTCCATCTGGGCTCACTGCAAGCTCCACCTCCCAGGCTCAGTTGATCCTCCCACCTCAGCCTCCTAAGTAGCTGGGACTACAAGCACGCACCACCACACCTGGCTAATTTTTGTATTTCCCCTACTGATTTTAAAGGACACTTTTATACCATATTCCAAGTCCCATAATTACATGGGTGCACTTCCTAACTGTTCATTCTGTCCCACCGATCTTTCTCTGTGTTCCTGCATCAGTGCCACACTGTTTTAATCACTGTAACTTTACAGTACAATCTGTTTTCTGAAGGGACAAGTCTCTCCTCTTTATTACTGCCCAATGCTGAGTCTCTCTGGAATTGTTACCCTGCCCAGAAGCTGTTCCTGCTCAGAAGGGTGTTGACCCCTTTCTTAGTCTTCTGCCAGTTCCTTTTCTGAGGGCTGGAATATTCATGAGAAGGACAACTCCTTATGCCAGGATAGTAGGAGCACAACAGTATTTTAATACAAAATCTCCCACCCAGAAGGTGGACTTAGCCTGTTGGCAAAATAATTAATTTTCTGAACTATTAGTTTAGAAAAGCATTGATTCCTAAATTAAATTCTATTTATCCCCAAATACGAGAGACCATGCTTTAAGGAAATTCAATAAGTAAAAATTACAGTTCACTCAAAGATACCTTGGTGGAACTCTCTGATTGCATTTTAAAGATTCTGCTTCAAAATCTGACCCTGGCCGGGCACGGTGGCTCATGCCTGTAATCCCAGCATTTTGGGAGGCCGAGGCATGCGGATCACGAGGTCAGGAGATTGAGACCCTCCTGGCTAATACGGTGAAACCCTGTCTCTACTAAAAAAATACAAAAAAATTACCCGGGCGTGGTGGTGGGCACCTGTAGTCCCAGCTACTCAGGAGGCTGAGGCAGGAAAATGGTGTGAACCTGGGAGGCAGAGCTTGCAGTGAACCGAGATCGTGCCACTGCACCCCAGCCTGGGTGACAGAGGGAGACTCCGTCTCAAAAAAAAAAAAAAAAAAATCTGAACCTTGCCTATGTTTTCAAAAGCTTGTTCATTCTGTAAAGCAAGGTCCACCCACAGCATCTGTCCTACAAATCCTTGTCAGAAGGAATCATTTCCAACTCATCTGAATTAAAAAGAGACTTTTTGGTGAGTTACTGCACCTCCTGAATTAGAGGAGACTAAATGAATGAGGCTTTCCTGCTGCCGTGATTACTTCCTGGCTTGGACTCACACCAGGAAACCCACAGCTGTAAATCTCTCCTTGTGGTTTCTGGAATCTCCCAACTCCTGAAACTATAAATGGAATTCCCAACCGGTGTGGTCAGGTGGGTATGGTTCCTCCAGGCCCCAAGGAAATCTTGGAGAACACTGGAAATGGGGGGATGTTGGCCAGGGAGCCAGAGCTGGGCTGGGTGTGGTGCTCCCCAGAACTTAGAGCAGGAAGAGCTGTCATGACTCCTAGCCCTGCCCTGTGCTAGTCCAAACTGAGGAAGCTGAATTCTGTTAAGTCCAGGAGTGTTGAGTCCAGGGGGGCTAAGAATTAAGAGACAATGTCAAGTGCATCACAAGGTGAGCCCAGAGGAAAGCAGAGCCAGGAAAGTGAAAGAGAGAGCCGAGCTTCCAGCTCTGTCACTGATATGGTGTGGATCTGTGTCCCCACCCAAATCTCTCACCGAATTGTAATCCCCAGTGTTGGAGAAGGGGCCTGGTGGGACGTGACTGGATCATGGGGGGAGATTTCCCTCTTGCTGTTCTCGTGATAGCGAGTGAGTTCTCACGAGAGAGCTGGTTGTTTAAAAGTGTGTAGCACCTCCCGCTTCACTCTCTTCCTCCTTCTCCAGCCATGTAAGACATGCCTGCTTCCCCTTCGCCCTCTGCTGTGATTGTAAGTTTCCTGAGGCCTCCCAAGCCATGCTTCCTCTACAGCCTGCAGAACCATGAGCCAATTAAACCTCCTTTCTTTACAAGTTACCCAGTCTCAGGTAGTTCTTTATAGCAATGTGAGAACTGACTAATACAGTCACTTACCAGCTTTGTAACATTGGGTAGGTTGACTTTCTGTGCCTCAGTTTCCTCACCTGTCATATGGGGATAATAATAGTACCTACCTCATAGACTGGTATGAGGATTCAGTGGCTTATATTTATAAAGCACTTAGAACAGCACTAGGCACAAAATAAGCTCCACAGAAGTTTCTTGAATGAATGAATGAATGAAGAGTGCACATCTGAGACTCACTATGTAGGCCCACTAGACTGTATGCTAGTCCAGAGACCAGATCTGTTTGGCTCTCCCCTGAATCCCCAGCGCCAAGCCCAGTACCTGACACACAGTAGGCATTCAATAAGTGTTTACTGAATGAATAAATGAGCAGTGATTGAGAGGTGCTTGGGGATGTTGGGCTGGTTAGTATAAAGGTCAAGAGTGTGGGATATGGCAATGAGCTAGGACAGGACCAGACTGCAAAACTTTGTCTAGGAGAGCACGTGTCAGGGTCACCATTCATTCATTTATCATGTATTCATTCAATCAGCCAACGAATATTTAGCAAAGGCTTTTCACATGCCAGACACTATTCCAGGGGGTTGGGGAGTGGTAGACTGGAATAGATGGGCGGATGTCCTGCTCTTAACGGGCATGGGTTCTAGTGGAGGCAGCCAGACAATTAGCATATAAACTAACATGAAATTTCAGGCAGTAAACATTTCCATGAAAAAACTAAAATAGGGCCAAGTGGTGAAGAGTCCTTGGAGGTGGGGGGCACTTCAGCCTGGGTGGTTAGGGAGAGCATCTCAGAGGAAGTGACATTTAAGCAGAGGTTTGGAATGAGGAGCTGAGGGCAGCCATGCAGAAGACTGGGGAAGAGCATTCCAGACATAGAGAGAAGCCTGGGCAAAGGCTGGGGCTGAAGGCTGGGAGGAAATGCTGTAGCAGAGTGAGCAAGGGGTAGGATGGGCCTGGTGCGGTGGCTCACGCCTGTAATCCCAGCACTTTGGGAGGCCGAGGCAGGTGGATCACCTGAGGTCAGGGGTTCGAAACCAGCCTGACCAACATGGCAAAACCCTATCTCTACTAAAAATACAAGAATTAGCCAGGTGTGGTGGCACATGCCTCCGCTACTCGGGAGGCTGAAGCAGGAGAATCGCTTAAACCTAGGAGGCAGAAGCTGCAGAAGCTGCAGTGAGGCAAGATCATACCACTGCACTCCAGCCTGGGTGACAGAGTGAGCCTCTATCCCAAAAAGAAAAAAAAAAAAAAAAAAAAGAGAAAAGAAAGGGGAGGGATGTGTCAGATGGAGTCAGAAAGGCAGGCAGGAGCAGGGCCATGCAGGGCCCTGGAGCCCACAGTGCAGTTTGGCTCTCACCCTATGCAGGACGAGAAGTCAGTAAAAGGCTATCCGCCTTAAGCAGGGGTCTAACTGATTCTTCTAAGAAAATCATTCTGATTACTGTGTGGAGACAGTGATTGTAAGGGGAGGAGGTAAGCCCGGCTGACAGGCTGTTGCAAGGGCCCAGGGTAAGCTGTTTTTGTTTAGGCTGGTGTTGCTGGCAGCTCTGAGGTATGTTTAGTTTGTTTGTTTACTTTTGTTTTGTTTTGAGACAGAGTCTCACTCTGTCATCCAAGCAGTAGTGCAGTGGTGCAATCATAGCTCACTGTTAACCTCAAACTCCTCCAGCCTCAGCCTCCTGAGTAACTGGGACTAAAGGTGCATGCCACCACACTTGGCTATTGTATTTATTTATTTATTTATTTATTTTAGAGATGGAGTCTCCCTGTGTTGTCCAGGCTGGTCCCAAACTCCTGGCCTCAAGTGATCCTCCAGCCCAAAGCACTGGGATTACAGGCGTGAGCCACTGTGCCCAGCCTGGGGCAAGTTTTGAGGGTGGAGTCAATAGGACTCGCTGTTGGGCTGCACACAGGTGGTATCCCTGGGATCTAGGATGACATCAAGAGTTTGGGTTTCAGCGTCTGGGCAGATGCCATTTGCCAAGATGAAGAAGATGAAGGGAGGAAGAAGTTTGGGTGGGTAGAATCCTATTTGTGCCATATTCATTTGAAATGCCTTTTTTTTTTTTTTTTTTTTTTGAGATGGGAATCTCACTCTGTCACCCAGGCTGGAGTGCAGTGGCATGATCTTGGGTCGCCACAACCTCTGCCTCCCGGGTTCAAGTGATTCTCCTGCCTCAGCCTCCTGAGTAGCTGGGATTACAGGTGCCACCACTACACCCGGCTAATTTTTGTATTTTTAGTAGAGACAGGGGTTTCACCATGTTAGTCAGGCTGGTCTTGAACTCCTGATCTCAGGTGATCTGCCCACCTTGGTCCCAAAGTGCTGGGAATACAGGCGTGAGCCACCGTGCCGGCCTTGAAATGCCTATTTTATATCTAAGCTGGGATAGCAAGCAAACAGTTGAAGGGCCAGTTCTGCGATTCAAGGAGTAGTCAGAACCGGAGACTTAAATGCGTGAATCATCTGCATGCGAATGATAAATAACACAATGTGCCTAGAAGAGGTCACCTGGAGAGAGACTGTAGGAAGAGGAGAGAGAAGGGTCCCAGGATGAAGCCAACATCTGATATTAAGCAGAGCAGGAGGGACCAGCAAAGAAAGCTGAGGCAGAGTGGCCAGGGAGGCTGAGGGAAAACCAGCGTGGAGTCTTCAACTGCAAGAGGTTTAGAAGAGGAGGAGGGTAAATGATAGAGAAAGCTTTCAAAGCATAATGCTGCCTGGGGAAGTGGGAAAATGGGGGTGATAGCTGGAGAGGGCCTGGGGCTCAGGAAGGCATTTTATTTATTTAAAAATATATACATGTAATACATCTATCTATCTATCATCTACCTTTTTTTTTTATTTTTTTTTTGTACAGACAGCGTCCCTCCATGTTGCCCAGACTGGTCTCAAACTCCTGTCCTCAAGCAACCCTCCAGACTCAGCCTCCCAAAGCTCTGGAATTACAGGCATGAGCCACCGGGAGATAGAGAATGTTAAACGCCGGGAAGGCGTTTTAACAATGGGAGATAGAGAATGTTTCCATGCCCATGCAGAATGATCACGTGGAGAGGGAGAGATGGACAGAGCAGGGGAGCGAGAGGGCGATTGTGGAAGCAAGGTCCAGAGACGGCCAGAAGGTGCGAGGAGGTTCTAGAAAACAAGAGGGCTGGCTTTTGATGGGAATTGGGATGCGTTACCCAAGAGAGCAGGAAGACAGCGTCTGAGCGAGACCCAAGTTTTGTCTGTTTGTTTTTTGTTTTTTAAGACAGGGTCTCGCTCTGTTGCCCGGGCTGGAGTGTAGGAGCACCATCATAGCTCACTGCAGCCTCAATGTGCTGGGCTCAAATGATCCTCCTGCCTCAGCCTCCAGAGTAGCTGGGACTATAGGCAAGTGCTGCCATGCCTGGCTGACATTTTTATTTTTGTAGAAACAGGGTCTCATTATGTTGTCCAGGCTGGTCTTGAACTCCTGGCCTCAAGAGATCCTCCTGCCACAGTCTCCCAAAGTGCCGGGATCCAAGCAGGAGCCCCTGTGCCCTGCTGGATCTGAGTTCTTAAGCAGATTCACCCCCCTTCTCTCCAGCAAGCTGGAGACAAGGTCACCAGCTGAGAGTGGGGAAGTGGGGGTTGAGGAGCGGCAAGCAGAGGGTATGAAATAGTCTTTTCTGAGAGTGGGAAAGCACAAACACGCTGCAGAAATGCATGCGGCTCTCAGGGCAGTGTTGCTTGTTGTGTGAGATCCGTGCTCATGAATTTAAAGTGAGCCCAGGCAGGGCAGCTGTGGGATTCAGGTAGGGAGAGACAAGTTGGCCTGGTGACACCTGTCAGGGCCTCTTGAGTCCAGAGGACACACAGGAATGCCAACCCGAGATGCCACGAATCATCTTTTGCTCAATCACTGGGGAGAGGGGTGGCAGGTTCCTGCGCCTCCCTCGAGGTGGGGGTGGACCAGAGCCCACATGACCCCTCCCAAGGGGTCTCCAGCCTGGAGCTACCCCTGGGTGAGGACATAGAGCAGCGGTGACAACCCCAAATCCAGGATCTCCCCTGCCTCTGGCCTGGCTCCCTTTGACAGGGTTTGGATGCTTTATGCGAATGCCACGCTCCATTTAATTGAGATACCAGGGAGGTAGCTGATTAATTGATTTATAATAGAGTTTATTACTAAAGATGCTAAGTTATTACTGAGAACACGCAGTGAGCACTCATGTTTAAATAAATATTCTCGTAGATGCTGGGCATGCGTGTCATGTCCGGGACTTGAGACACAGAGGGGCTGGTGGGGACCTGGAGGATGCTGGAGCCAGAAAGATGGGGCAGGAGGGCTGCAAAGGGAAACCCCTGACCTTCAGCTGGTCACTGAGCAAATATCAGGCACCTGCTGTGCTTCAGGCTTTTCCACAGTGGTCAAGCGGCCTGTCCTCCCAGTGCTTCCATTGGGATGGGAGAGGCAGACACACAGGCTGGGCACCTCTCGGTGTCAGGGCAGTCAAGAGGAGAAGTCCCGGGGTCTGTGGGGTGGGGAGGTCAGAAGAGGCTCCCACAGAAGATGATATAGCAGCTGAGAGTGGAAGGGTCAGAGGGAGGAGGAGGAGGGTGGAGCAGGCAGGGGAACCCACACCAGCAGAAACCCACAGGCAAAGTGGTTTGGTGTGGCTGTCACAGGCACTTAGGTGGGGCACGTGAGAGGTGAGAGATGCTGCTGCAGGGATAAACGAGGACATTCCATGGGAAATTTTAAGCCATCCGAGGCAGTTTGGACTTTATCCTGAGGACCCGGGGCAGGAATTGCAACTTTCGGAGCAAAGTGGTTGGGTGGGGATGGTGAGCATGGCTGTGGCCTGAGAACAGGCGAGAGGAGCAGGAGGCAGGGAGCCTGGGAGGAGCAGCTGCAGTCCTCCCCGCAGGTGAGGATGAGGATGGGCGGGACTTGCCAGGGCGCTGAGATGCTGGAGGCATGGAGCCCCGGGGCACCGGGTACCGCTGAGACCGCTTACTTCCCAGCAAACCATCAGGCACTGAAGAACCCTGGCTCAGGAATGGCAAGGGACTGGGGGAAACTAGGAGCAACCAGGAGAAGCTGTTGGGACTGACCCAATTAATATCAGCCCCAGAACAGCCTCCCGCGGAAAAAAAACTTGAGAAACTAAAAGCTGCTGTTTCATGAGACCAATCGGCTGGGGGCAGAGGAAAAAATAAATCTCTTATCTGAACGTATCTAAAATATCCTGATGTTGGTCACGACGGAGACCAAAGCCTGGCTTTTCCCTGTGCCCTCTGCCCTGGGGGAACCCCACGTGGCCAGGTACACCTGCACATAAGGCCACCCCTGAGAAGCTGAGCTGATGCTATGTTTAAAACTTGCCCAGACCTATTTTTAAAGAACAAGCTATTTTTAGACACCCTCTTGAGAACCCGAAGCCTCTCTTGGTAGCATATTTCAGGGTTTAAAAAGTTCCTCCTTACACATAACCTAAATCTTTCCCGCTCCAATTTAAGCTAATTTCTTGCTCTGCCCTCTGAGGACACGGGGAGGGGGGTGAGCCGATTGGCATCTTCTTGAGAGGAGCATTTTGGGGGGTCAGCAATTACTGAGGTGCCCCCCAACCTTGTCTTGTCTGCAGAGATCATTCCAATTTCTCTGCCCTTTCTCCAAAGGTCCCCTTTTAGATTACCAGAGTCATTAGCGTCACTCTGGTTGGAATTCTGCCTTTTAAAGTGAAGTGGTCCAAATCGGAGGTGGCACTTCATGGAGACCTTCCAATTTCAAGTAATGGGTTTACTGAACTTCCACCAGCCTTGTTCAGCTCAGCTGCCCCCATCCAGCCCTGTGGCAGTGACTAGGCTCTGATCCCCCAGGTGGGGTTCAGAGTGATCCCAGAGGCCATGGCCGCAGGACCTAGTGGGTCCAGGGTAACCCAGGACAAACTGCTGGTGGGACGATATCTGACATTAATGGACATGTAGCCAGGCTGCCAGCATTCCCTGTTCCCCTTGTCATTTGGGTAACTAGATAGAAAACACCCATGACCTCAGGGCACAGCTGTCCCAGAAGACTGAGAGAACAGGAGCCCAATTTGGCTTTGGAGATTTCAAAAGCCTACATCCAGGTGTTCCAAGAAAAAGGTTGAGAAGAATACGCTATCAAGAGAGAGACAGTTTCTCTTCCCCTTCCACCTGGAGATCAGCTAAAGTTGCTCGCCTGGAGGGGACTGGGACGCAGGGGAGGAAGAGGAGGAGGGGAAGGGGAGAGGAAGGGGGAGGATGGGAAAGGCTGGGGAATGGGGAGGGTGAATAGAAGGCAAAAGGGGAGGAGGAGGGGGAGGAGAAGGGGGAGAGAAGGAGGAGGAGGGAGAGGAAAAGGAGAAGGAAAAGGGGGAGGAGGAGGGGGACGGAAGGAGGAGGAGGGGGAAGAATAGGAGGAGAGGGGGATGGTTGGCCCCAAGAAGGAATGAGCTGCACTATGCAGATATGAGCAGGGCTTCCCTAAAAGGCCGCCGGCCTCCACTTCAAGCCCTTTCCATTACATCCCCTGGGAGCCACAGGGAGGTGAAGTTGGCACTCACAAATGGTCCTTTCCCAGTCTGAGTGAACAGTGGACACCTTGCGAGTTGGGCCGTGTGCTCACAGACACAGCCAGCACATCCTCGAGGGCTGTTCAAAAAGAGTGATGTCCACCTGTGCCCACCTGTGTCACCTGTGTCACCTGTATTTCCTGATGGCCACCTGTGTCCACCTGTGTTCATCTGTGTCCACTTGTGTCCTGGACACCCCACATGCCTCTTCACCTGGACTGAGCTCCATTTTGGTGGCCTTGTACCCTCACAAGTTCCCCAAGATGAGCGTGGGCCTCTCACCTGAAGGATGATGGAGAGAGGACAAGGAGAAAGTTCTCAGGCTTGTGATTGGGTGGGAATGAGATCCAGGAGAGCGGGGAAAGCCACCCTTGGATGTACACACCCCTAAGTCACAATCCTGCCCATCTCATCTCTACCTTCTACATTTCTACCCCAGAAATTCACATGCTTGAGCCCAGGAGTTCAAGGCTGCAATGAGCTATGATCATACCACTACACTCCAGCCTGGGTGACAGAGCAAGACCTCGACTCTTAAAAAAATAAAATAAAATTACCCTGGGACAACAGACATCCAGGGTGCTCGACCGTGATGGTGGAATTGATGAATGAGGGAATGACTCCCACTCTGCAAGGGATCCTCCCCCTGGTGGATGCCCTGGCTTGTCCCCTGCTGAGGACTTTCATGCCCATTCTCCTTTGATCCCCACAACAGGCCCATTAGGTGTGCATTTCACAGGTGAGAATGAAAGTGGGCTGAGAAGAGGTTAAGGGCTCAGCGAGCTGTGGTGAGTCCAGGAGTAGAGTCCACATCTCTTTTTGGCCCAACCTTCATTCATTCCACATGTAGCTATTGAGTATTTGCTACAAGCCTGACACGGCGCTAAGGGCTGCAGAAAAAGACCAACGGGGCCGGAAGCAGTGTTACAAGCCTGTAATCTCAGCACTTTGGGAGGCAGAGGTGCATGGATCACCTGAGGTCAGGAGTTCGAGACCAACCTGGACAACATGGTGAAACCCCATCTCTACTAAAAATACAAATATTAGCCAGGTGTGGTAGCCGGTGCCTGTAATCCCAGCTACTCGGGAACCTGAGGCAGGAGAATTGCTTGAACTCAGGAAAGAGAGGTTGCAGTGAGCTAAGATTGTGTCACTGTACTCCAGCCTGGGTGACAGAACGAGACTCAGTCTCAAAAAAAAAAAAAAAAAAAAAGAGACCAACGGAACAGACATGGCCCCTACCCACTGTGAGTTTCTGCTCCAGTGGAAAAGGCAGGTACTAGCAAGAAATCACCCTCAAGGGTCATGAGTCAGGGCTCGGGAGGTACAGGGGCCCCTGGAGCCAGAGCCTACACCGGGTGCTCTGTTCTGGGGGTCAGGGAAGGCTTCCCTGAGGCAGGATGTTTCAGTGCAGCCTGAAGGAGAAGGAGGAATTAACTAGGCCACAGCTGCCCAAAGTGTGGGGCTCACCCCTCTGCGGTGCTTAAGCTCATTTTAGAGCAGGATTTCTAAACCTCAGCACTACTGACATTTGGGGACAGAGAAGGCTTTGATGTCAGGGCTGTCCTAGGCGTTAGTGGGTGCTGAGCAGCATACCTGGCTTTGATCTACCAGATGCCAGGAATGTGCACCCCCCCCCATCCCCACATACCCCAGTCATAAAAACCAGAAAATGTTTCCAAACATTGGCCAAATATCCTTGTGGTGGGGAGGGCAGGGACAGTGGGGGACAAAATAATCCCCCATTGAATCCACTGTTTTAGATTCTTCATGAATGTTTTTGTTTCTATTTTATTTTATTTTTCAGGAAGGGTCTTGCTCTGTCACCCAGTCTAGAGTGTAGTGGTGCGATCATAGCTCACTGCAGCCTTCAACTCCTGGGCTCAAGCGAGCCCCCCACCTCAGCCTCCTGAGTAGCTGGGACCACAAGGTGCTCACCACCATGCCCAGGTAATATTTTTGGTTTTTGTAGAGACAGGGTCTCCCTATGTTGCCCGGGATGGTCTCAAACTCCTTGGCTCAAGTGATCCCACCTCAGCCTCTCAAAGTGCTGGGATTACAGGCACAAGCCATCGCTCCCGGCTCCTCACGAACATTTTTACAATGGTAATTTCTTTTTGACAGTTCTTTTGTATTTATTGCAAGTGATACTGGCTTTTCATTTCCAGTGGTGATCTGAAGGTTCCTTTCTGAATGAATTTATGTTGTGAGAACAGTGAGTGATTTAGAGAAAATGCGAAGTGAACATTGTACCTTGGGCATCGGATGTGGCAATGGTCACAGGAGCAGAATGCAGACAGATGAAGCAGGAGAGATGCGGATTTGGGTGAGGAGTGGGGTGGTGGCTCCCATCAGAACGTGGAGGTGGGCTCTAAAAGTGTCCCTGACAGGCCTGGGAATCCCCCAGGGAGGTGTCACATAGGTGCACACACCAGTTCTCTTGGAAGTTCAAGCCCAGCTTTCTTCCAGCCTGGCAACAGATTGGTCTCTCTTCGATTGGGCACCAGAGGAAGGGGTTGGCTCAACTTTGGGGGCCCATGTGGAAAGACAAAGATCCCTAAATACTAGACGCACCCTGTTTGAGGCAAGATGCTTGCATGATGAAAGGCATGGGGGTGGCCAGAAGCAGTGGCTGATGCCTGTAATCCCAGCACTTTGGGAAGCCAAGGTGGGCAGATTATTTGAGGCCAAGAGTTTGAGATCACCCTGGGCAACATGGTGAAACCCCATCTCTACTAAAAAATATAAAAATTAGCTGAGAGTGGTGGTGGGCACCTGTAGCCCCAGCTACTTGGGAGGCTGAGGCAGGGGAATCTCTTGAACCCAGGAGGCAGAGGTTGCAGTGAGCCAAGATCACACCACTGCACTCCAGCCTGGGCAAGAGAGCAAGACTACATCTCAAAAAAAAAAAAAAAGAAAGAAAGGCGTGGGGGGCCAGGTGCGATGGTTCACTCCTGTAATCCCAGCATTTTGGGAGGCCAAGGCAGGAGGATCACTTGAGGCCAGGGGTTCAAGACCAGCCTGGGCAACATAGGGAAACCCCATCTCTACAAGAAAACGAAAGGCAAGGGGTTCTCTGAGATAAATGGGAGTGTGCAGCACCCCGGGGAAGCCTATCTTAATTTCCTTCTTTGTTTTGAGCTCATGGGAGACACTGGGCGGACTCCCCCTCCCTGAGACTTCTTTCTCTCCATCTCTCTCTCATTTTTGTCTCTTTCTCTCTGTCTGCCACTGTTTTGTGTCTGCCTCTCTCTCCCTACCCCCTCTCCAAGACGTCCAGTTAAATGTCTCCAAGTGACAAGCAGGAATAGTCACTGTATTCATGTCTCCATGGTGGGCCTCCCCCTCTCCTCCTGTTTTGCTCTCGGAGGGCCCTGATCGGCAGAGACACCTGTGACGGGTCTACACCTGCAGTGTCAGGCCCCAGCTCACCCCCCACCAGCTCAGTCCTTCTGCCTTAGCATAGAACTGAGCCCTTTGCAAGCCACCTCAAGAACATTCCTCCCAGCACTACCTTCCATCCCTCTGGTCTCATTCGCTGAAATGCAAATCCAACTCTTCTGGCTAGTTAAGTTTTAAGTGCTCTGAGCTTCCACACTTCCCTGCGGCAACGCTGGGACTCCATCCAATTAGTTTCACTGGCCAGGACCTAAGAAAGCTGCCTGTGCACTAAGAAAATGAGAGGATGAGCGGCCACCTTGACAACCGTCCAGAGAGCCAAAATTGACAGCCTCTCTTTACCCCGGGCACTTTACAGTTTGTAAAGCACTTGACCATCCCTTGTCCTTTGTAATCCTTGCCTTAGCCCAGGAAGGCTAGGTTTCATTACACCCTATTTGAAAAAAGAGAGTGTAAAGCTCATAGAGGTATATCAACTCAGCCAGGGTAACACAGCAAGGAAGGAGTGTGTTTGAGTCCAGGTCAGCCCAACTCCAAGTCCAGGTGTTTTACCATTCCATCACAGTCTCTTCCACTCATTCATTCATTCAGCAAATATTTATTAAGCACTTTCTGGATGATAGGCTGTCTTCATGGTTTAGGAAATAAAGGAGTATATAAGACAAAAAGGTCCCTGCCCTCAAGGAGCTGATAGTCTTATGAAGGAAGATGGGAAAAAACACACCCATTTAAAAATTCAGAATTTAGCCAGGCACAGTGTCTCATGTCTGTAATCCCAGCAATTTGGGAGGCCAAGGCAGGAGGATTGCTTAAGGCCAGGAATTCAAACCCAGCCTGGGCAACATAGTGAGACCCCATCTCTACAAAAACAAATAAATAAAAATACCTTTTGAAGTTCACAGTTTAATAAATGCTGTGAAGGCAAAGAACGGGATATGGAAGATAATGATTGAGTCAGTTAGTTTAGCCAAGGAAGTCAGGGTAGGCCTCCCTGAGAAGGTGACATTTAAGCTGAGACCTGAAAACTGTGAAGGTTCTGGAGGGAGAGAGCCCCAGATGGAGAGAATGGTGAGGCAGGAAGAGACCAAGTGTGTTCACAGTTTCAGACCCAGGGCAGGGAAAGAGTGAGGAGGTTAAGAGGTGGGTGAGAGGTGGGACTGTTGCTATGAGGAGCCACGAGACGGTCTTGAGCTGTGGGAGGGGTAGGAGTGACACTGTCTGCCTTATCCCATTTGGAAGTGGATCTGGCTCCGTGTCTCTGCAGGCTCTTGGTCTTCTCCTGACTTCTGGCTCTAGGGGGCGCTCATAGAGGGGCCTAGACACTTCCCATGATAGTGTCTGGCTCTGCGAGGCCCACCTCTGTTCTGGGACAGGATCCGAGATTTGAAGCCTTCAAGATTGGGACCTAGGCCATATATGGCCAGAATGACAGGCAGACAAAGCTGGAGTGAGGTCACGCAGAAGCATGGAG
Organism: Homo sapiens; assembly: GCF_000001405.40. Classification (NCBI taxonomy): domain Eukaryota; kingdom Metazoa; phylum Chordata; class Mammalia; order Primates; family Hominidae; genus Homo; species Homo sapiens. Next base: position 27,859,398 of record NC_000016.10, read on the forward strand.
GGGGGTCTCGGCACCATGCCCTAGTCCATCCTCCGGCGAGTGCTAAGAGCTCCATCAGGGTAAGCAGCTATGAGATTGCCCAGGGCCAAGCAAATATAGGGGCAGAGAGGGCAGGGCCCTGGCAGCCCAGGGCATCTCATGCGTCTCACTGCCTGGCCCAGACATCACTGTCTTTGCTCCCATTGGCCCTAGAGTCCCTGCCAAAGACCGTCAGCTCTTCTCATCTGTTACATTCCTTGAGCAGGAGTTGGTTTTCTATCCCTCTTTATTTATTCTATTTACTTTTTATATTTTGAGAGTTAGAGTCTCACCCTGTCACCCAGGCTGGAGTGCAGTGGCACGATCATAGCTCACTGCAGCCTCAAACTCCTGGGCTCAAGTGATCCTCCCATCTCAGCTTCCCGAGTAGCTGAGACCACAGGTGTGCACCACCATGCCCAGCTATTTTTTTTTTTTCATTTTTGCGCAGAAACAGGGTCTCGCTCTGTTGGCTAGGCTTATCTGGAACTCTTGGCCTCGAGCAGCTCTCCCGCCTCTGCCTCCCAAAGTGCTGGTATTACAGACGTGAGCTGCCACACCCAGCCATCCTGCCTGTCTTCTGAGGAAGGCCTGTGACTCTGGCAGGTGCTCCCAGCAGGGGCTCCCTCTGGCTCAGAGCTGGGTTTAGGACTAGGACACCCCTTCAATCACCAAAGATTAAGGCTTAACTGGTTTTGCAAGCTGCTGAGAAACAGGCAAGAGAGGGGGAGGCTCCAGAGGAAGGGGTGGCTCTAAGGAGGCCCTGGGTGGGCACCTGGGCTGCGGTTACCCCAGTCTGCACCTGCCTGCCCTGACCAGGCTCAGGTGTGAAGCCACAGAGACCCTAGGTCACAGGCTCACACAGGCTCAGCCCTGCCCTCGTCCTGAATCGGGCTTGGTCGGGCAGGAAGAGGTGCAGGAGCCGCATAGTAGGTGCTCAGTAAATGCTGATTGACTCTCATAGCCTCTATCTCAGCAGGTCCGGAAGCCCCCAGCCTTTCCAGCCCCTGCAATATCACATGGGCAGTAACTAGGGGACAGCTGCTCCCCGTTGCAGACAAGATGTTCTCTGTTCTCTGTCCTCTGGCAGAGTTTGCCAGACCTCCACCTTCCCAGAGACAAATTGTGGGTAAATGCGAACTCACATTGTCTCAGAATAGCCATTGGGGAGTTTCTGATCCTGGGGAAAGCACAGGGAAAAGACTATTGGTGGGGAGAATTTTCCCAATATGGAGAATTTCCATCAAGGGAAAGTGTCCTCTTAGGGGCTTTTAGACTCCCCAGCCATCTGCAGCCAAACAGCCTTCTGCAGGGAGGGGCTGGGAGTCCAGGGAGACAGCAGCAGCTCTTCTGTGTGAAACCAGGACAGGACGCCAGCCTAGGCAGGGACCAAGGACATCACAGTCATGGAGGACCCTCAGAAAGGGCCAGTGGGAGGCTGGGCGTGTTGGCCTCTGTAAATACTTGTTGAAGGAATGAGTGTTACAGAAGCTGTGGTAGAAGAGGATTGGAAGACACATTTGAATCTTTCTGCCCCTTCAAATAGGCACTCTCTCCTGGGCCAGGGTGGGCCACTGGTGGGGAATGCAGGGGGGTTGGCGTGAGCTGCATTCATTAGCCTGAACCCTCTAATAAATGCCCCATTGTAGGTCTAGAAAAGTGAAAGTGAGGGCCGGGTTCGGTGGTTCATGCTTGTAATCCCAGCACTCTGGGAGGCCAAGGCGGGCAGATCACCTGAGGTCAGGAGTTCGAGACCAGCCTGGCCAACATGGTGAAACCCCGTCTCTATTAAAAAATATATATATACAAAAATTAGCCAGGCGTGGTGGTGTGCACCTGTAATCGCAGCTACTCAGGAGGCTAAGGCACGAGAATCGTTTGAACCCAGGAGACGGAGGTTGCAGTGAGCCGAGATCGCGCCAGTGCACTCTAGCCTGGGCAACAGTGAGACTCCATTTCAAAAAAAATTAAAAATTAAAAAAAAGAGAAAGGGCCAGTGGGAGTGTCAACTCTGCGAGGGAAGAAGGATGAATTTGGCAATGGCTGTCCAAACTGAAATGCACTTTCCTTTTGACCCAGCAATTCCACCTCTAGGAATTTACCCTCAGACATATTTGCAAGTGTGGGCAAAATTTATGGACAAGGGTATTCACTATAGCAGAGCATTGGAAACACCCTGAAAGTCTACCAGTAGTGCACTGATAGATTGAGCCATGGCCATGGAAATCTGTGTCTCCATCCCTGACCTCACTTCCCGCCCCTCTTTCCCTCTCTGGCCTCCTTCTTGTCCCTTGCATACCCCAAAGCATATTCCTGACCCAGGGCCTTTGCATGCACTGTTTCCACTGCTTGAGCCATTCTTCCCCCAGACACCCACGTCTTGTTATTTGTTACTATCTCAGGGCTCAGATTCCAGTCCCTTCTGCAAGGGTGACTGTGGCAATTTGGAGGCCATATTCCCTGGGCTTCAGAAATGCCAAAGCAGATTCATCCACTCTGACGAGCCAGAGACCCTCAAGCCAAGAGAAGCCAATGGCCTAGTGGTCTCGACTCTCTCAGATGTGACCCAACCCAAGTGGACGGGTTGCACACCATTCAGCTTTCTAGTCACAGGGCACCATCTGCCAAGCCTGCCAAGCTGCCGTTTATTAAGGTTATGAAGGAGCAACTCTAAGGTGATCCCATGCCCTAGTGTAATTCTTTCCCCTTAATTGCAATAATCAATAGGATATGGCAGTGGTAATAGGATGTACGTGACTATGTTACATAAGATTGTGACACTTCTCTTGCAAGGAGCCTGTCCCTCTTGATGACTTAATGAAGTAAGTAGCCATATTTGAGGTCCACAAGGCAAGGAACTGAAGGTGACCTCCTTGAGCTAAGGATGGTCTCCAGCCAACAGCCAGGAGAAACTGAAGCCCTGAAAGAAACCAAAAGGAGCCGAAATCTCCGAACAACCAGGTGAGCTTCAAACAGATCCTTCCCTTAGATGGGTTCTAAAGGGGAACTCAGCTCTGGCCAACACCCTGACTGCAGCCTAGTGCAGAGCACCCACTTAAGCCAGGCCAGGACTGCTGATCCACAGAATTGTGAGCTAAGAAATGTGTGTTGTTTTAAGTTGCTAAGGCCATGGCAATATTGTCACACATTTGGCAAACACAGCAGTGGGCTCTGGGTCAGGCCTGACCAGGGCAGGCAAAATGGCTCTGGGGCTGGCTGGTTCCCTCCTGAGTCTGCTGGGGGAGCCATGCCCATGGCCCAAACCAGGCCATGCATTTGGTCTTGACACCTAACTACCCCTCCTGACACTAGTCTCCCAAACCTTGAACCCCAGCCTGGCTGCAGCCAGTTTCTCTTTACCAACACCTACGCTCCCCATATACACAGACACACGCATGACACAGAATAATACAGAGCTTTGAAAACAGAGCAGGCTGAGTCCAATTCCTGGCTCCAACATATTTTGTTTATGTTCTATATGTGTGTGCTTGAAATAAACATATATTCTCTAGGGTTTTTTTTTTAGGGGAAATAGAGTTCTATATATAGTTAATAATTCAAATGTATTCATTGTATTGCTCAGTAGCTCAGTTCACTTTTTTGTCTGTTTCTCCATTAGTTTCTGAGATGTCTGTGTGTATGTTAAAAATCTCTATCACTGCTGATTTATCTGTTTCTTCCTGAGGTTCTGCCAGCTATTGCTTGCTATAAAGTTTTTGTTGTTAGGAAAATATATGCTTATGACGACATATTTTTTCTTGTTTTGTTATTCTTTTTACCCACCTATAATTTCCTTATTTGCTCCCTTATAATTTTTGGTCTTAAATTATACTCAGTGCTCATTTCATCAGCATATACATTAAAATTGGGATGATAAGGGAAGATTAGCATGACCCCTATGGAAGGTTGACATGCAAATTTGTGAAGTGTTCTATTTTTACAAGAAAAAAATTCTATTGAATCAGATAACAAAACTGTTAACCCAGCTTTATTTGGTTCATTTTTTTCAGGTATATCTTTTCCCATTCTTCTCTCTTCCACCTTTCTATGTCTTTTAAAGTGTGCCTCTTGTATGGTTGGATCTTGCTGTTTTTATTTCTATAACCCAAGAGTTCTAACTTTTAACTGATGAATTTAACCCAGTTACATTTATTGTAATTTGAATTTATTTCTGCCAACTCCAGCACTTACTAAATGTGTCACTGATATCCCAGAGGTACAGCTGGGCTTGGCAACAGGGGATTCCAGGCCCAAAGGCCTGACTCAGCTCAGGGAACTATCATATTTCGAGATGACAGCCAAAAGAGAGCCCAAGTTCCTTATACTGGGCCAGGAGAAAGAGATCCAACAGCCCAAGGAGTTCCTGTGGCCCTGGCTGAGCTCCTCCTACCTACCCTCATTGAAGACCCACAGTACTTTGTGGCTAAGCCTATACCAGCTGTGTTAGGACTCATAATCACAAGTGGTGACTACCTAGCTCAAACTGGGTTTTTTAATGGAGGAAATAAATTAACTCATGTAATGGAAAGTTGTAGGGATCATTTGGCATTATACAGAGCATGATCCAGGTGCTCATATGATGAGGTCAGGAATCTGTCTCTTCCTCTCTCAAGCACTGCTATTGGCCTCATTCTCTGGCAGATTCCCTCCATATGTTGAATCCATCAGCTCCCAGCTTACATCCTCTCCTCATTTAAAAGGGCATTTCTGGTGTTCCAGCAGTTGCCACAAACATCCTAGAACTGAATCTCATTGCCTTGATTTGTATCACATGCTCATCCCTGAACCAATCATTGTGGGCAAGGAGATGGAATGTTTTGATTGGCCGGGCTTTGGGGCCACCTCTGCAGTGAGATGTGGTGCAGTAAACATGGCATGAGGGTGGAAAAGAGATAGTTTCCAAAGGAAAGTCATTGTGTTCTAAGCTGAAGAAGGTAAAAAGGATGCTATCAAGGCAAAACGCACAGAAATCCACTATGAACACTATGACATGGAGATGACATGGAGACAGTCAGAGGCTGGGCTCAAAACAGCCCTTCACTGCCTCTCTCCTAAGACAGCCACATCCCTGCAGTTCTCAGCAAAATCCCCAAAAGCCAAAGTCATCAAATGGACTTAATCTTCTCAAAGGTGGCTGCTCTCCCCTGTGCCCACCTGCAGCCACAAAGAGAAATACTGAGAGATGACATTACAGAATGACCTTTAGAAAAATACGGTTTTGCCTCAGATTGAACAAGTTTCCGCCCCTTGGACATGAGACAACCAGAGCCCAGACATGAGACCCAGCAGGCTTTGATGCAGCAAAATGGAGGTTGCAAAGCCCTCGTGTGAACTCTCAGGAAAGCTCTGGACATTGGCCTACAAAGCTGAGGATGAAACCCTGCTCTCCAGGTCTTGGGCCCTCTCTGCTGGCTGCATTCTGGCCCGCAGGAAGGAGCCCAGCCCATGTGTGGGTCCACCTCCAACACCACAACTCTACCCAACAATTCCTTCATCTGAAAACATTCACAGAGGCTCCCACTGAGTCCTACCGGGCTCCAGAAACACAGAGATGAACAGAATGTGGTCCCTGCCACAAGGCTCAGGGTTTGGTTTGGGAGACAGGTTTGTGCTGTGAGGTCCCCTTAGACTTGGAGTCAGCTGTGATGTCTGGTGCCTGAGACCAAGATGGCGCCAGTCCCACGCATTCTTCTGTGAGCCAGTCCAACTCTCACCCCCACACTCTGGGCTCCTGACCATACTGGGCTCCAATCCAGCCATCTCCTGGGATGTCCCTTACTTCCCCCAACCTCAATCCCACTGTGCTCTAGGTCTACGAGGCCTCTGGCCCTCTGGCACCCAACTCCTGACCTGGTCCTTGGAGTGTGTTTTCCTGGATTGACTAAGAATCATCCCCAGGTTCCTTTGGCTTGATACTGTCCTGGTCACCTTGGGAAGTGTCCCCTGCCCCAGCATCACCTGAGATCCATTCCCGGCTGGGAGCCCTACAGGTCTTCTCAGCCCCTGGGGGATTCACTGCCACCTGGTGGGGAGTGGAGGTGGAAGTGGCCGCACTGGATAAATGTCAACCACAGAGCAGGGACGCTTCTTTCTTTCTCTCTCTCTTTCTATATATATATATATATATATATATATATATATATATATATATATATATACACACACACATACATACATACACACACATATATATACACACACACACATATATATGTGTGTATATATGTGTGTGTATGTATATATATATATATCTGTTTGTGCCCTAATCACTGGCAGTAAATGCACTTTTTTTCTTTTCTTTTTTTGAGACAGGGTCTTGTTCTGTCACCCAGCCTGGAGTGCAGTGGTGCAATCACGGCTCACTGCAACCTCAAACTCCCCAAGTGATACTCCTGCCTCAGCCTCCTGAGCAGCTATGACCACAGGTGCACACCACTATGCCCGGCTAATTTTTTATTTTATTTTTTTAGAGATGGGGTCTCACTATGTTGCCCAGGCTGGTCTCAAACTCCTGAGCTCAAGTGATCCTCCCACCTTGGCCTCCCAAAGTGCTGGGATTACAGTTGTGAGCCACCGCATCTGGCCAAATACACTCTTAGTTTCTGTTTCTCTCTCTCTGTGTCTCTCTCTAGTTCTGCCTTCCTGTGTATCTTTCTATTTTCCACCTCTGTTTTTCTCTGTATATCTCTCTGCCTCTCTGTATATCTCTGTATGTCCTGTATATCTCTCTGCCTCTCTCTGTCTGTCCTCTCACACACAGATACATTCTTCCCTTTCTGTAATTAATCTTGTCCACACCCCCTCTCCCGTTACATGAACTACATACAGTGTCACTGTAATACCAAATCATTACATACTTAAATACCATGAAAGTCTCAGTGCTGCCACAATATTACCAATTCTGTTACAGTCATCATCCTCAGAGCCAACCATGTATCAATCACTGTGCTGGGCACTTTATATGTGCTCACTCCTTTAATCTGCACAACCCCACCAGTAGTCTGACTATTATCCCATTTTGGAGAAGGAGTAAGTAACTGAGGCTCAGAAAGATGGAAAATTTGGCCCAAAGCACACACCTGGTGTTGAGGCCAGGATCCACACCTGAGCAATCTGCCCTCCACCCCTACCCAAATGCAGGCTCTCACTTTCACTTTTCTTTTTTAATTTTTTCGAGACAGAGTCTTGCTCAGTCACCTAGGCTGGAATGCAGTGGTGTGATCTTGGCTCACTTCAACCTCCGCCCCCCAGGTTCAAGCCATTTTCCTGCCTCAACCTTCCAAGTAGCTGGGACTACAGACTTGCACCACCATGCCAGGTTAATTTATGTATTTTTAGTAGAATCAGGGTTTCACCGCGTTGGCCAGGCTGGGGTCGAACTCCTGACCTCATGTGATCCTCCCGCCTCAGCCTCCCAAAGTGCTGGGATTACAAGCATGAGCCACCGAAACCGGCCCTCACTTTCACTTTTCTAGACCTACAATGGAGCATTTATTAGAGGGTTCAGGGTGATGAATGCAGCTCACGCCAACCCCCCTGCATTCCCCACCAGTGGCCCACCCTGGCCCGGGGGCAGAGGAGAGAGTGCCTATTTGAAGGGGCAGAAAGATTCAAATGTGTCTTCCAATCCTCTCCTACCACAGTTTCTGTAACACTCATTCCTTCAACAAGTATTTACAGAGGCCACCTTGATGTCTGTGGTACTAGGGATACAGGGATCACCCAGATAGACCAAGTCCTGCCCTAAGACTCATGCTCTAGGAGGAGGGGCAGGAATAGACGCCCACCCAGATCAATGCACAAGCTCAGTTCAGCGCACAGCAGGTGATGCAGTGCTTATGCAGGCAGGCACTGCATGGCTCTCAGCCCAGCTCTCCCACTCATGCTGTGTGACCTCAGGCATGTTAGTTAACCTCTCTAAGCCTCCTTCTCCTCATCTCTAAAATGGGGATGAGATGCCTGAGTAAAGGACCTGGCACATTGACAAAGAGGTGGGAGCCACTGGGAGGCAGAGGGTGGGCCTGGCTCCCACCTCTATGGCTCAGGGGCAGGGCAGATCAGTGAGCGCTGCCCCATGAGCTGTGGCAGGTGGTCCTCAGAGCCTGGCTACTTCCAGTCGCTGGGCAGACAGGAGTTAGACTCTCCCCACTGAGCCCTTGCTCACTGTGTGTCAGAGACTCCAGGAGCTCAGCCTTTCCCCTACGACAGGGCTTTGGCCTCGGTTTCCCTGCTGGGTTCCCCACCCAACCCACTCCCTGGGGAGCTGGATCCTATGCCTGTGCTGCCCTCTACTGGCCACCAGGAGGAGGGTACCTGCAGCGCACCCACCCTGAGGATCTCCGGCGGCCCCACCCACCCACTCGGCTTCCTCCTGAGGCCACGCCCCCTGAGGCCACGCCCCCTGAGGCCAGCCACTTCCTGGCCACGCCCCTCAAAGTCCAGCTTTCCGGCTGAGTCGGAGCCTGGGCCTAGCAGTCCTGTCCCAACCTCCTTGCGTTTCTCGCGAGACCAGGCCCAGAAATTCCCAGCATCCCTTGCTACACTCACTCCACTAAGTCCCTTAAAAACTGCCAGAAACCAGCAGTTCCTCCAGCGTAGGTTTTATTTCCAATTTTTATTGAACTTATTAAAATTCTTACCTCTTCCCACCTCCCTAAAGCCCAATTTCTACTTGGCCCTGTGCCTGGGGCCAGGCTCATTTGTATGAAAGGCCTGATGGCCTGCAGACTCCCCCAGCCCAGGCTTCTAGCAACATGCAAAGGATGTGGCGGAATTTAAATTACTAATGGCCAGCCGGGAAGGGGAAAATGACAGGGGCCTGCCCCATCTGTCCCACCTCCCGAAGACTCACTGGCTGTTCCCTCCCCAGCTAACAGGTCCTGATCCCCTTCTAGAATCCTCAGACCCTTCTGCAGGCCACTGATTTGCTTCTAACACTCCAACTCATTCATTTAACTGACATTTATTAAGCATCCTCTGTATGCAAAGCATGGGGCCAGCCACAGGGGATATGGCCGTAAATACGGCAAGGCCATTCCTCCAAGGCTAATGAGGAGAGTGACATAAACAGTGACGTGAAATCAATTATTACAAATGCTAAAATAGAAATAGATCCAGCTACCATCTAAAACTGGCACCCCATGGGCTGAATCGAACCTGCAGATGTTGGCAAGAGCTGTAAAAAAAAAAAAAGATGATATTTTGATGCCAACATTTTAAAAATTTGGAGGATTTCCATTAAAATATGGGAGTTTTGGCTTCTCTTGTAAAAAATCAGAAACGCAACACTGGGTCCACATTTCTTCTCGGCAACCCTCAGCTGGAGCTAGGCTGGAGCTGGGGCGTTTCATGAGGGCCTGCAGCTGCCAAGCCCCTCAGTGGTGCCATCGTCTGCCCGTCTGCTGCCCTCTGCCATAGCTCCTGCAATATCCCCAGCTCGCTCACTCATCCACATTCCCTCCCAGGCCACTCAAGGCATCTTGAGTTTCAGCCTCCGAGAAGGGCCTGAAGGAGATAAAAGGTCTGTGTTCCCTGGATTGGGGAAAGGCTTCCAAGGTGAGCTTGGAGATGGGGTTGGAAGGCCAGCATGTGTTCACTAAGAGGCAGAGGGAGGAGGGAAGGAAGGAGGAAGGCAGATGTGAGTGCGACAGCCAGGAGATGGGAGCAGGGCTCGGGGCCTCCCGTCCTCCCAGAGCTGGGGGTCTCCTGCATTGATGGGGCTCCTCACTGAGGATGGGCTCAGCTCTCCTCTGATCTTCTAGGACCTTCCTTGGACGGGTAAGAAAAAGGCTACAGGTGAGTGGAAGTTATGGAGGTGGAGAGAACAGAAGAAGGAGGGCCTTCAAGGCTCCGGGAATTGCAGAGGGGTTTTGAGGAGAGTCAGTGGCCTTCCCTCTCATAGGATTAACACTTTGATGATGGGCTGGTATATAGCAGGTGCTCAGTAAATGTCGGCCCATTTGCTGCTGTTTGCTCCCTGTGTCTCTCTTGTTCCTCCTTTTTCTCTCACTTCCTTCTTCCTCCCTCCATCTTTCTCTGCTTCTCTCTCTCTGTCTCCCTCCATCTCTCTCTCTCCTTCTCTCTCTCTCTGTCTCTGTCTCCATCCATCTCTCTCTCCTCTCTCTCTGTCTCCCTTCATCTCTCTCTCCTCTCTGTCTCCCTCACTCCCTCTCCTTCTCTCTGTCTCTGTCTCCATCTCTCTCTCCTCTCTGCGTCTCCATCTCTCTCTCCTCTCTGTCTTCCTCCATCTCTCTCTCTCTCCTTCTCTCTCTGTCTCTGTCTCCCTCCATTTCTCTCTCCTTCTCTCTCTGTCTCTGTCTCCCTCCATCTCTCTCTCCTTCTCTGTCTCTGTCTCCCTCTAGCTCTCTCTCCTTCTCTCTTTGTCTCTGTCTCCCTCCATCTCTCTCTCTCTGTCTCCCTCCATCTCTCTCTCCATCTCTCTCTGTCTCTGTCTCCCTCCATCTCTCTGTCTCTGTCTCCCTCCATCTCTCTCTGTCTCTGTCTCCCTCCATCTCTCTCTGTCTCTGTCTCCCTCCATCTCTCTCTCTCCTTCTCTCTCTCTCTCTGTCTCTGCCTCTGTCCATCTCTCTTTCCTTTTCTCTGTCTCCCTCCATCTCTCTGTCTCCTTCTCTCTCTCTGTCTCTGCCTCTCTCCATCTCTCTTTCCTTTTCTCCCTCTGTCTCCTTCCATCTCTTCTCTCCTCTCTCTGTCTGTCTCTGTGTCTCTCCATCTCTCTTTCCTTCTCTCTCTGTCTCCCTCCCTCTCTCCTTCTCTCTCTGTCTCTGTCTCCTTCTGTTTCTCTTTCCATCTCTCTGTCTCTCTCCATCTCTCTCTGTCTCTGTCTCCCTCCATCTCTCTCTCCATCTTTCTGTCTCTGTCTCCATCTCTCTCTCTCCTCTCTCTCTGTCTCTGTCTCCCTCCATCTGTCTCTCCTTCTGTCTCTCTGTCTCGTCCATCACTCTCTCTTTCTCTCTCTCTGTCTCCCTCCATCTCTCTCTCCTTCTCTCTCTGTCTGTCTCCATCCATCTCTCTCTCTCTGTGTTCTTTTCTCTCTCTCCTTAAGTGTGTGTCTCCCTCTGTCCCAGGGGCCTGTTCATCATCTTCCTCTGCCTCCCATCTCCTGCTCCATCTCTTACCTTATCAGGGGCCCTCCACTCTCCTCTCTTCCCTTCCCCGCCCTCCTAGCCCTGCAAAGACTGAGATGTGATGATGGAGTATTTCCTGCAGGAGGTCCTGCCTCAAACCTCACACGCCCAGAATGCACCACTGTCCTCCTTCAATGCTCTTGCCCTCATGGGATGACTCCCCTGTTTCCCCATCATGGTCGCAGCCTGGCATCTGCATCCTCCATGACTCCCACCCTTGCCCTGCAGTTTGTGGACCATCAAGTCCTGCCAGTTCTGCTTCTCTGGAGCCCATCCACAGTCCTCCGTTCCCTCTGCCACCATCTCCTTGTGGCCAGACACCTGCAGTCACCTCTTAGCCGTGCTCTCCAGCCTGTACCGGCCCTGCCTGCCCTTCCTGTACCCCAACAACAGTCTTTGTGAGACTCACCCTGACCTTGTCACTCCTTCACTTAAAGCCCTTGGTGGTTTCTCATTGCACCCCCACACTTCCTAGCCTGGCATCCAAGTCCAGCCATGACCTGACCTCACTTTCCCCTTTCCCAACCCCAAACCAGCAGTCTTGCTGATTCCGTGTCCAGCCAGTCCTGGAGTCACTGTCTCTGAACATTCCCCCATGAAAATTCCGAGTTGTCGTGACTTGGGGAGGGGGTGCCACTGACATGTAGCAGGTGGAGGCCAGGGATGCTGCTGGACACCCCACAATGCACAGGCCAGCCCCCAACAGCAGAGAACAATCTGGTCCAGGAGGTCCGTAGTGCCAAGGTGGAGAAAACCTGGTCCAGGGAATTGGGCACAGACAAGTAAATAAATTAATTTGGGGCCGGGCGCAGTGGCTCACACCTGTAATCCAAGCACTTGAGGAGGCTGAAGCAGGCAGATAGCTTGAGCCCAGGAGTTTAAGACCAGCCTGGGCAACATGACGAAACCCCGTCTCTACAAAAAATACAAACAATAGCCAGGTGTGGTGGCACACGTGGTCCCAGCTACTCAGGAGGTTGAGGTGGAAGGATCACCTGAGCTCAGGGGGGCCAAGGCTACAGTGAGCCCCCTGATTGTGCTGGTGTGCTCCAGCCTGGGTGACAGAGGGAGATCCTGTCTCAAAAAGAAAACAAAGAAAAGAAAATGTGGTCAATCCATACAATGGAATATTATTTAGCCATAAAACTAACAAAGTACTGGTACGAGCTACAACATGGATGAAACTTGAAAGCGTGTGAAGTGAATGGAAGAAGCCAGTCATAAAAGATCCTATCTTCTATAAATCCATTTATAGAAAATGTCTAGAATAGGCACATTGATGGAATAGAAAATAGAGCAGTGGTTGCCCAGGGCTGGGAAGATTGGTGGAAAATGAAGAGCGACTGCTAGTGGCATGGGGTTTCTTTTTGGGGTGATGAAAATATTTTAAAATTAAGCTATGCTGATGGTTACTAAAAATCATTGAATTATATGCTTTAAGCATGATATGTAAATGATACCTCAATAAAGCTGTCTAAAATTTTTTGAATTAAAAATCAGGAGTTAAGAAAACAGATTTTGGCCTTCCTCGAATGCCATGCATATGAGCTCTGAAGTTCACCTCTGCTGCCGTATTCCCTGCTGTATTATATCTGGGCAGCTGCACTCATTTAAGTCACCTCCATGGTCGCTCTGGGCATTAGATGTGAGACCCCCCAGTCTGGAGTGAGGAGACCATGCGTACTGAAGTTACCAGCCTCATTCTCCCATCTCATGTCCAGTCCTAGCAGCAAAGAGCCCCTGGGGACCAGAAGGGGCCGTATGGACATGGATGGCCAGCAGTAGACTACATGGACCAGTCTAATAGCAAAGCCCATGAGCCTTGAAGCCAAAATCGCCACTTACTAAGCCTGTGCCTCAGTATTCTCAACTATAAAATGGGGACAATAAGAGCACCTACCATTGTAGTGTCAGAGGCATTTGAACCAGAGTGACTCCATCTTGACGAGGGGCTGGGTAAAATGAGGCTGAGACCTACTGGGCTGCATGTCCAGGAGGTTAGGCCGTCCAAGTCACAGCATGAGTTAGGAGGTCGGCAGAAGATACAGGTCATAAAGACCTTGCTGATAAAACAGGTTGCGGTAAAGAAGCCAGCCAAAACCCACCAAAACCAAGATGGTGACAAAAGTGCCCTCTGGTTGTCCTTACTGCTCATTATATGCTAATTACAATTCATTAGCATGCTAAGAGACACTCCCACCAGCACCATGAGAGGTTACAGATGCCATGGCAACATCAGGAAGTTACCATGTATGGTCTAAAAGGGGGAGGAGCCCTCAGTTCTGGGAATTGCCCACCCCTTTCCCAGAAAACTCATGAATAATCCTCCCCTTGGTTTGCATATAATCAGGAAATAATACTAAGTATCCTTAATTGAGCAGCCCATACCACTGCTCTGCCTATGGAGTAGTCATTCTTTATCCCTTTACTTTCCTAATAAAGTTGCTTTCACTTTACTCTATGGACTTGCCCTGAATTCTTTCTTGCATGAGATCCAAGAACCCTCTCTTCGGGTCTGGACAAGGGACCCCTTTCCAGTAACAATAGCGCTGGACAGAGGTCATGTCTCAGCACACAGTAGGTGCTCAATAAATGTGAGCTATTGGTGCTATGATTCTTGTTTGTGATTTCAAATTCCCAGAAGTTCTAAAATCCAAATGTTTTTTGCAACTCATCTGGTCACAATACCTGACTTGGCCTGAACTTCTTTGGAACATAAGCCTGACCTGGATGGATGTGAGGCTATTTACTATCTTGATTTATCACCCCCTGCCAGCCTGCATATGTGTTTTACAGCAGAAATATGAATGGATTTGATTATAGGGATCTGCCCCAGCTGCTGGTGGGGTGTGATGGAATGGATAGTCTATGTCTTATGTTACCTTCCAAAATCTAAAAAGTTCTGAATTCTGGAACACTTTTAGACCCAAGGATTTCAGACTGGGCACTGTGACCTGTATGATGAAGATGATAACAACAAAGATCAAACCCCGCCCCCTCTTTGCCAGATGTTGCATTAAGAGCCAAAAATGGTGGCACAGCCCCAAGCAAAGGCAGAAGGGAGAAAACATCGCAAAATTCTGAAGATAAATCTTCTACCAGCCCAGGGGGATGGGGGCTTAGAATTAAAATTAAGGTCCTATCCAGAAATGAAAGAGCTGAAGTGTTGCTTGCACACCTGGGCTCAGGGATAAGAATAGCACTGGCCACCTTAGCTTTAGAAGACTGAGTTTGGAGAGACTCAGCTTGGTCCACTACCTTGGGGAAAGGAGGGGTGAAATGGATGGCTACAGAGGGGTGAAATCTGTAGCATCTAAAACACACAGGGACTCCCCATAGAGGGCCAAGCTAAGCAGGCCCAGCCCTATTGCAAATGCTTAAGGCATTAGTCCCCAAACAGGGAAGACTTCCCAGGCCTCTCCCTTAATGTGTCAATGGCTCTAGTTGCCCCAAACTGAACATAGCTGGGAGAGGGGAGCAGGTGACAGCTCAGCTGCAGATATGTGCTCCTGTCTCCCCACCCAGGACCCTTGTTGTATAATAAAGAATTTGACTAGCCCTTGTCCCTGTTTCAGGAGGGACACTCTAAATCCTTTGAAGTTTGTAATAGAAGTGTCTTTGTTATTCATGAGGCTCTTGAATCACATCAGATTTGATGCTAGTGAGATGAGATGATGACTCAAAATGGGGGCTGCGGGAGGGTCACTAAAAAGATCAGCCTTGCAATTAGAGGGCTGGGGCTTTGAGCCAGCCTGACCTCAAGGAGGAGAGGGGACTGGAGATTGAGATCATCTACACATCGACATGGCCAATGATTCCATCAATCGTGCCTATGTCATAAAATCCCAATAAAAACTCTGGACACTGAAGCACAGGAGAGCCTTTTTTTTTTTTTTTTTTTTTTTTTTTTTGGACAGGGACTTTGTCACCAAGGCTGGAGTGCAGTGGTGCAATCATGGCTGACTGCAGCCTCCTCAACCTCCCAGGCTCAAACAATCCTCCCACCTCAGCCTACCAAGTATCTGGGATATAGGTGTGTGCCACCATGCCCAGCTAACAGGCAAGCTTCCTGGATGGTGAACACATGATGTGTTGGAGGGTGATGTGTCCTGATTCCACAAAGAGACAGCATGGGAGCTCTGCATTGAGACCCTTGCCAACCTTGCCCTATGTGTTTCTTCCTTTGTCTGGTCTTGATCTGTATTCTTTATAATACAGCTGTCACCTTAAGTAGAGTGACTTCTGAATTCCGTGAATCATTCTAGTGAATTATCGAAGCCTTGTATTTGTAGCCAGTTGGTCAGAAGTGACAGTGGCCTGGGGACCCCTGAACTTGCAGCTGGCATCTGAAGTGGGGGCAGTCTTGCTGAGGACCATGCATTAAGCCTGTGGAGTGTGATGCTGCTTCTGGGAAGATGGCATCAGAAT
Organism: Homo sapiens; assembly: GCF_000001405.40. Taxonomy (NCBI): domain Eukaryota; kingdom Metazoa; phylum Chordata; class Mammalia; order Primates; family Hominidae; genus Homo; species Homo sapiens. The sequence continues at coordinate 27,874,988 of NC_000016.10, forward strand.
TGCATCAGCACAGACCAGCTGGTGTCAGAATCCCCCCCTTGTCTTGACTTGACTTTCTGTGGCAGACATTGTCTTGCCTCCAATCATATCTCCTTGGCCCACACCAGGCGTCATCTGTGGCTTTGGTTAGGCAATTCCCACACATGTTGGTGACTTCTTTCCTCAAAGACTTGCTTTCTTCGGTGGAGAAGGCTGGAGATTATGGGGAGTTAATGTCTCAGGAGTGACCCTAAACTAATGGTGGATGGAAGTTGGTGAGCAAATATCACTGCTTTCTCACCCCTTGAGTGAACAGTTTTGGGGTGTGCTCTACTCAGCCTCCATGAGGGACTGAGCCCCAGTGGCCCACAGTGGTTACCTTCTCGTCAATACTCCCTTTAATGTCTTTCCTCCCTTCCTGGCATCCTTTTCCACTCTCCCACCGTACTTGCTAAGATCACCTCCGAAAGAAACTGCTTGCACCTGAATCTTCATCTTAGGGTCTGCTTTGGAGAAACTCAAAATAAGGCCTCTGCCATTCCTGGGGCACCGGATCGTTCGGTTCCACTGTGGACACTCTGATAATTTGACAGTTTGACAACACATTTGGGCTTGTATCAAGCAGTTCATTTTGGCAACCACTTGCCTGCTGTTGCATGATAATCCTGCTTGGTCCATGACTGAGCCCACATCATGGACGTGCCAACAGACCCAACCAAACCTGGCTAATGAGAGTAATTCATCCTCTGGCATGGTAATTTGTTTAGAAATGAGTCTATGACTTAGTTGGTCCAATTATAGTCCTTTTTGGACAAAACTCCAAGCAGACACTATTGGAAAGGAGCTCTCTCTACCTCTAGAATTTTAAATGAGCCTGGGCTACTTGTAGCCATCCTCTCCGCATGGAGAGGGCCTGACTGAGAATGATACTAACACAGAAGAAGGCAGAGTTTAGAGATATAGATTCCTGATTACATGATCACCTGGATGCAGCTGTGCCTGAAGCCCACCCCCTCCACTTTTCAATTACTGAACCAACAGATTTCCAGCATGATCCCCTTTTTTCCCTCCAGCTAATTTGATCAGGTTCTTGTCACTTACAAATAAAAGGATCTTTAATAATATGTAAATATTCATCTTTCTGACTTAGACCCTCTGCATTTTTAAACACAAAAATACTTGCCCTCTAAGCTATGAGCAAGAAACCAAGTCTGCCAGGCCAGGGAAACTGAACAGAAGGGGTTATGGGTGGGGGATTCTTTCAGCACAGGTGAAGGTGGCAGGGGTGACTGGTGGAATTAGGGTCCCAGCAAACTTGTCCTAAGATAATTTGTGGCCATTTACAGGAAGAAGCACAAGACCAAAAGTCACCACAATAAGAGTAAGCTCCAAGAAAATGCCAAGGAATTAAGAAGTGTAACAGGAAGGAAGCCTTCCTTGGGGGAAGGTGTCATGATTGAACACAGAACTTAGATCTGAGCTTCCTGGCAGCCGATGGAAAAAGGCAAACTCAGTGAGCGCATGGCTCACATTCACTCCTAAAAGGCAGCACAGATGAGATCGTAAGGCAAATGGCTCTGCAAATTTGCTTTCCTAAGAAGCCACATGCTGCCTGGCTCCTGGCACTGGTACCAGGCCCAGGGGAGTTGCACTGTGCCTGCTCACAACCTAGTTCCCGAGGATGTGAGTATAGGCAATGGAGTGAAGTTGGTATGCTTTGCCCCTTGGCCCCCAGGCCTCCAGGTCCCCAAACTCCTGTCCAAAACACACTGGTGGCACCCACCCCGCAGGCCATAGGGGAGTGTGCTCTTCAACTCGGTCCACACTCTTAAGATGGCACCTGAAATTCAGATTTCAAAGAGTTACCTTGTCTTTGGTAATTTGGGTTTTATTGTGACATTTCATTTTCTCTTTAGGTAACAAAATAGATGCTTGCTGATTTCTCCACGAGGCTGATTATTTCCCGGAGATGGACAGGTTTCTCTTTGTGCCAGTGCTGTTTTTCCTGAAAGCCCACAGTTAGCTGGACTGTGCAGGAATTTTCCGAACGACTTTCTCTTTTTTCCTTAGTGGATCAGCCTCAATTTTTGGAGGAGCTGGGGGAGGAACAGAAATTTGCCCAGCCCGCTCACAACCCTTTCTGGATCTAAGCCCCTGACCACTGGGGAGCAAGAGGGTGGCAGAGCCCTGTCTTCCCCAATACCTCTCGACCGAAGTCACAAGACTTGGGGGGAGTGGAGACATGGGCAGCCGGAGCCATCCCTGGTCTCGAATTAGTCTTGCTTGGCTGGGAGAGCACGAGAAAGGCCGTGGTCTAGTTCAGGGCCACATTATGACTTTTATGGGCCCTGGGCACTTTTGCCATCGTAGACCTGTTCCTCCATAAAAGAAGTATTAAGATTTACCTTTTATGACAGTAATGGTATAAAGACAAATATGACCCTGTCTAGATTCATTTTTGTATCTTCATTATTATTACATTCTTTTTTTCTTCTGGTTTTAAAAGAAGTCAAAATTAAACATTTCATGGGTCCCTAGCAGTATCGTGAGCTCCAAGCCCTGTGCTGGCTGGAGAAGGTGACCAAGGGAGCCAGAAGTCACCAACTTCCCATTCCCTTGCCCCTCCCCAACCCTGTCCCTCAGCCCTGGGGGGCCACCTTCCTATATAACCCTCTGCTGCCAGCAACACTGAGTGGGGAGACAGCCTTGACCCTTTTTCTCCCTTCACTGAATCATCCAAACCCCAGCCCCTGGGCCCCAGCCTTGAAAATTGCCCACCTTTGATATCTGTTCAAATTGCCCCAGCCTCATTTTGAGAGTGCTGGACCTTGGGGCAAGATCTGTCCCTCAGTTTATTCAAAGGCAGCTAGGAATAATAATAATGATAACAACCTGAAGTCCTGGGTGCAAAGCCCTGCTCAGAACACTTCACCATGGCAGACTCTAGGGTTCAACACGTTACTAGCCATGTGGCTGCAGGCAAGTCAGTTTTCTGATCTGTAGAATGAATGTAATGCTACAGGAGGAGTAAAGAGATTAACACATGTGGCAGGCTTACCCCAGGGCCAGCGCATAGTAGCATCTGTTAAAGAAAAAAAAAATGGTTTTTGAGAGACAGAGTCATGTTCTGTTGTCCAGGCTGGAGTGCAGTGGCATGATCATAACTCACAGCAGCCTTAACCTCCTGGGCTCAAGGATCCTCCTGTCTTGGCCTCCTGAGTAGCTGTGTATTAGTCCATTCTCACACTGCTAATAAAGACATACCCAAGACTGGGTAATTTATAAAGAAAAGGGGTTTAATTGTTTCACAGTTTTGTGTGGCTTGGGAGGCCTCAGGAAACTTACAATCATGGTGGAAGGGGAAGCAAACATGCCCTTCTTCACATGGCGGCAGGAGAGAGAATGAGTATTGAGCAAAGTAGGAACCCCTTATGAAACCATCAGAACTCTTGAGAACTCACTCACTATCATAAGAATAGCGTGGGGGAAACTTCCCCCATGACTCAGTTACCTCTATCTGGTCCCGCCCTTAACATGAGGAGATTATTACAATTCAAGGTGAGATTTGGGTGGAGACACAGAGGTAAACCATATCAAGCTGGGACTGGACTACAGACTCACACCACTATGCCCAGCTACTTTTTTTTCTTCATAAAGACAGGGTCTCACTATGTTGCCCAGGCTGATCTCAAACTCCTGGCCTCAAGTGATCTTCCACCTTCAGCCTCCCAAAGTGCTGGGGTTACAGGCATGAGCCATCACACCCAACCTGTTAAAGAAAAACTTATCCAAACACTTTAGGTAAAAACGGTAAGGAGGACTTATTCAAGAGGGACCACTGCCTTGGGGGCTTGCAGTAGTAGGGAGAGATTGGGCTCAACTCTGAACACAAGGACAAGTGGGGATTCACAGCCAAGGAGCAGGGTGGGGTTCACAGATGAAAATCACTATGAGGAAGCATCAGGGGTAAGGGGGTTCTGGCTAAATTGACTCAACAGGGTTTTGCTGGAGGCAGGCCAGGGTGATAACACAATCAGGGGAGAGGGAGGAGGAATTTGATCAGATATCAAGGCTGGGGGGTTTTTGATACACGGATCCAGCAGGATTCTTGCTAAAATGGGACTGAGTGGACCAAGGACAGAACCCAAGATTGGAGTCTAGTCAGAAGAAGGACTCAGAGGGACCTGATTCAAACTGGGTCAAAGGAGAGAGCCTTTATCACATCTCAGTCAATGCTGGCTATTGTGATTAATGATAATGAATGAATGAATTATAAATCAGTTGTCCTTTGATATCCACAGGGGATTGGTTCTAGAACTCCTCACGGATACTAAAATCCAAGGATGCTCAAGTCCCTGATATAATTTGGGGCCCACGCCTGTAATCTCAGCACTTTGGGAGGCCGAGGAAGGAGGATTGCTGGAGGACAGGTGTTGAAGGCCAGCCTGGGCCAATATAGCAAGACCTCATCTTCACAAAAAAATTAAAAATTAAAAAAATTAGCTGGGCATGATGTCACACACCTGTAGTCCCAGTTAGTCAGGAGGCTGGGGTGGGAGGATCACTTGAACCCAGAAGGTCGACACTGCAGTGAGCTGTGATTGTGCCACTGCACTCTAGCCTGGGCAACAGAGAAATACCCTGTCTTTAAAAATAATAATAAATTTTTTAACTTTTAAAAAATGGCTTAATATTTGCATCTAACCTACATGCATCCTCCTGTATACCTTAAATCATCTCTAGATTACTTGTAAAATCTAATACAATGTAAATGATATGTAAATAGTTGTTGTATTGTTATTAAATTTGTATTATTTTATTTATTATTTTTATTGTATTATTATTTTATGTATTATTTTTATTGTATTTATTGTTGTATTGTTATTTTTTAATTGCTTTTTTTTTTTCCCAAATGGTTTCGCTCTGGGGTTGGTGGAATCCACAGATGCGGAACCCATGGCTGCAGAGGGCTGACTGTAATTGGTTAGAGAAAGGGCTGCCCCAGTCTCTGCTTTCTCTACCAAGGCACTGACCTTGGGCTGAGCTGGTCCAGCAGATGTCAGAGCCCAACCTCTCCCCAGATAGACCTGGCTGCTGGCCTCTGCCCAAGCCTGCCTGCCAGCTCTTCCTAGACAGAAAGCAGCACTTTCCCTCCCACAGGAGCAGAGCAGAAGCCCTCTCCACCCCCTCCAAGCCCCTTACCACCTCTTGCCCTGTTTCCAAGGGGCTCCCTAAAGACCAGCCTCCCATGTCTTCCTGGCCAGACGCCCAGCTCTCAGCAGCAGCCTCAAAGTTTATCTCCTCATATTGTGTCTCTCCTGTTTATCTTCTCCTGGGCATGAATACAAAATCCTTTCTCTCCACCACTTGCTACCTCAGTCTTATTCCATCATCTGGCTGCTACATCCTTCTCAGTTACTGTTTTCTGAAGACTTAAAATCTTTGTCCTCCCGCCTGGT